>NC_000002.12:191429011-191732042 GCF_000001405.40 Homo sapiens
ATTTTGTGGTCCATTTTACTGTTGATGGCCATTTGGCTATTGTACATAGTGCTGCTGCAGATGTTCTTGTACCCGTCTTTTGGTGAATATGCGTACACATTTCTGCTGGATATATACCTAAGAGTAGAACTGCTGGATTATAGGGTAAGCATATGTACAGCTTGAGTAGATTGTCAAACTGACTTCTAAAGGAGCTATACCAGTTTACACTCCCACCAGCAGTGCATGAGGGTTGCAGTTGTTCTACATGCTTGGTATATG
Organism: Homo sapiens; assembly: GCF_000001405.40. Classification (NCBI taxonomy): domain Eukaryota; kingdom Metazoa; phylum Chordata; class Mammalia; order Primates; family Hominidae; genus Homo; species Homo sapiens. The sequence goes on from NC_000002.12 coordinate 191,429,273, forward strand.
TGGTATTGTCAGTCTCTTAAAGATTCTTCTTATGGATCTTAGCCTTCATTTTCATTTCCTTATGACTAATGAGCTCAATTACCTTTTCAATATTGGCCATTTGGATATTACCATTTGTAAAGTGCCTGTTCAAGTATTTTGCCAATTTTTCTGTCTAGTTTTTGTTTTGATTTGCATTTGTATATATATTTTGAATATGAGCTCTTTATGTATGTGACATGTATTTTCTCATGGTGTGTGGTTACCTTTTTCTTCTTCTACCAGTGTCTTTTGATTAACAGAAACTCTGTTTTAGTGTATGTAATCAAGTTTATCAATTCTTTCCTTTATAGTGAGTACTTTTTCTTTTCCATTTATGAAATATTTGCTTACCCAATATTATGAAGATATTTGTCTATGTTTTCTTCTAGAATATCTATTGTTTTACTTTTCACATTTAGATTTTCAGTCCACCTGAAAGCATCCGGCTTACACCTGGAAGATTTCATTATAACTTGACCACCTTGAGCCAACTCTATCCCTAAACCTAATTGATTTTTTTAAAGATTTTTTAATGATGCAGGGGGTCAAGATTCATTTTTTCCCCATATAGACATCTAGTGGACCCAACACCTTTTATTGAAAAGGCCTGCCTTTTCACTGCGTTGTTTCTAAATTTTCTTTTCTATTACATTGTTTATTTGTGTCAACACTAAACTGTGTTCATTATTACAGCTTTGAAATATGTTGGCATAGTCGTTGAAAAGTGAAATTGATAATTCTTAGTGACAGGTCCTAAGCTCTGGGTGCTAGGCAGAGGAAAAAGACATTAAAACTAATAAATTTACTTGTTCAGGTATAGGAAGTAGTGATAGTTCATCAGAGTTTTAAAAATATGAACATAAAGCCCTTTCCTTTTGCCACAGGGATTTGAGCTTGGGAGTTCCTAATGGGATTGGATGGGGAAAATATGAGATGTTTCCTTGAAGTAAATTAACAGTTTCTAATTTTATGCGATATTTTGGATTTCCATTGACTCAGTGGTTTCTAGCCATATTACTAGTCATCTTCATTTAAAGTTTTCCATAAAGTCTTCCTAAAATTACTGTCTTATATAAATGCATGTGAATATTTTCTTTTGTTTTTAGGTGAGACTGCCTGTTTCCCTCTTCCTTTAAGTAGTTGGTAATGAGAGACCTCTGAGGGTTTTTCTAATTCTTTAAATATTATAGTCAGTTATCTTGTTCAATGATAATAGTGTATAGATGAGGCCAGATGGTGCCAGAAGTGGAGTTTGTATCTTTGTTTGGCTTTTTTAATACTGCCACCTTTTTTTTAAAGAGATTTTTCTAACTCATTTCCCAGTAATCCATCTCTTGTGTGCAATTCTGAGCTAGTTAAATTCAGAGTTGCCTTTTTAAAAATAATCTCTGCCAGCTCAGCTTTCCTGAAATTGGGATTTTAATTGACAGAGAGGAGCAGTACCAAAAAGGCAGAGGAACTGTTTTTAGTAGCAGTAAAGACATATGCATCATTTATTTTTTCATGAGAAGCAAATTATAGTCAAAGGAAAACATATTTAACTTAGTCGTATTATGTGTACCAATAAGAATCAATTGCTTGACAAAGTCAAATAGGAAATGCATAAGTTTTTTATCCGTCTAAATTCACCTACTGAAAGGAAGTGGAAGGTTGTTGAGGCATTGCATAGCAGAAAACAAACATTTTCCTCCATCCTTCAGAAACCTGAAAGTAGTCCTTTAGCTGCAGTATACTACAAATTCACCCTCTTTCTTTATTCAGCAATGTAACTCATATGGTAATATTTACATTCTGTTGTCTCTTAAATCCTAACTTCTAGAATGGAATAATGCCATTTTTAAGCAGAGCAGCCATCAAAACTAATTCTCCGTGATATCGTCTCTAAAATGACCTGAAATGAATTTCCTGAAGTTTGAAAACAGCAGCTTTTAGAATAGAAGCTCTTAGACAGGGTCCCCAACGCCCAGACCATGAATGGGTACCGGTCTATGGCCTGTTAGGAACCCAGCCACACAGCAAGAGGGGAGGAGCACGAGCATTACTGCCTGAGCACCACCTCCTCTCAGATCAGCTGCGGCATTAGATTCTCACAGGAGGGCAAATCCCATTGTGAACTGTGCATGCGAGGGATCTAGGTTGCACGTTCCTTGTGAGAATCTATTGCCTGATGATCTGAGGTAAAACAGTTTCATCTCTAAGAGATGCCCCCTCCCAACTGTCCATGGAAAAATCGTCTTCCACGAAACTGGACCCTAGTGCCAAAAAGGTTGTGGACAGCTGCTTTTAGAAGTTAGGATTGTATCCTACTAGATTGGACTCAGCATTGTCAAATAAAACTACCTAATACTTTCTGATAGGGGGAAATCAAATAAGTTTCTATTCAGATGGCCATACCATTTGCAGAGAAGGGGAGAAAACTTACTGCCACCTTGAGCATTATTTTGTAGCATGTGGATGACTATAAACAAAAATAGGAAGATATTTATAGATATCTCGGTGTTTGTTTTGTTGGAAAATACCTTCACTTTACTGTGGCTTTGAATTTAAATGGGGCAGAAATTTTTGTGTCTCAGTATTAATATGAATGAGTAAGTGTGAAGATCCAGGAAATGGCAGTAGTTGGAATCTAGTCTTTCTGCTCATCTTGGAGACTAATTTGGTAACTCTTTACTTCCTAGCACAAATTGGACTTGGATCTCAAAAAGAAATGGGAACTGGTAGCATTAAATGGAAAGTACTTGGGAGCTGTTGTGGAAACACTACTAAAAGGGAAGGAAATTCACCCACCAATTTGTTCTTTCCACTAGAAAAAAAACCCCACAGATGAAGATTCCCTGTGTTGTGTCTTGAACTGTCCTCAAACCACACGAAGCACATGGGCAAATTTTGTTTGAAAAAGTCTATTTCTGAAGTGTGATTTGATAGTATAGATGAAGACACACTATTCATATCCTTGTCATCTCTGAAGAGCACATGTGGTCTAATCAGGGAGATTGGTATGGTTCTCTACTCTCCCGGATTGCAGTAAGTCATCATTGGTCACATGGTTGCCGATTGCCTGCCAAAACAAACCCATCTTTGAATACACCATCTTTGGGGCAACCACTGGGATTTTATTATATTTTCTGCTGAGACATGGTACATTCTAGTAATAGGAACTGCTTTGAGTGTAGAAATTTAAATTACTCTATTAATATGCCATTACGTCTTATTTGGTTGAGCAAGTCAGTCACTTTACAATAACTGCATCACCATGTGTTCTTTTTATGGATCTAATAAAATGCATTTAGACTGAAATTAGATCCCTGAAATGAGCCATTTTGCTCTTAGACTTCACCTCAACCAGTCTTGCCAAATCTGTGTCATTAGCCAGAAATGCCAGTTGATGGCTTGGCAGAAACCCTATACTGCCATTCAAATGAAAGTACATTAATGTCTCAAAGGTTGCCATCTTGATTTAGAATATGGATGCTGAAGACTGTGATAGTGAAGGAAAGCACTTTTTTCTAAAAAGAATATTTTCCCTGTATACATTGGGTTTCAAGAATATCAACGAAATATTAAAAACAAAATATTAAGAAATTATGTCATCCAGTTAGATGTTTCCCAACGTTTTCTAGTATGAAGACCATTTTTTAATGTCTTCATGAACACCTACATGATGGTAGTCATGCTTTTAGCATCTTTTGATTGGGCCAAATATATAATTTGTGTAAGTTCGAGACAAGAAAATTTGCATTTTCTTAATTACAGCACACTTAAATATGTTTGGAAAATGTCATTACATGTGTTTACAGGTCTTATTTAATACAGTCAACAAACAATACTTGGTTCATGTGAACTTATGGACCCTTTACAAAAACTCCAAAGGTTGGAAGTTGCTGAACTGTACCCTCCAATCCCTTCACTTTGCAGAGAAGAAAAATCAGGGTCCAGAGAGATGCAGTGATTGGTCCAAGGTTTTGTGGTTACTGGAAGAACTAGACTACAATTTATGTCTTCTGGGTTTCCACTCCTACAGGCTCCCCAAGGAGGATTAGGAAAAGATGCCCAAACACTTGTTTCATTTAGGAAATTAACAGCTGTGGATATCAATGGAAGATGCTGACTTTTTTTAAAGTACAAGAAAGATGGGACCCCAATGTGGAAGCCGAAACTGGCAGGGCCTGGCACATATTGTTCAATAAATAGAGCACACAGAAGCATAACTTCTTTCCCATATCTAACCCTCTACTTTCCTAAGCATTCTAGTTCTTTTAAACATGAAACTCTCATTGTCCTTGTTTACTCAAGTTGTCCAATTGAATGTTCAAGCCTGCTTTCCACAAAGATAATTATTTATGGTAGTTCAATTCCCACTCCCCTCTACTCTCCCCACCCCTATAGCTTTCTGTAATACCTGTTTAAGGGGCTGATCTTCGGTTCCTGTGGACCATCCCTCTGGCAGGAAGTGGGCACAAGTAGATGTCCTCTTTACCAGTGTGTCCTAAGTAAAGTAATATTGATATGAACAATTACATAATTTTTCCTTGGTCTTTTTTTCCCTTGTATAATAGGAGTTATCTCTAAGCTAATTAAGATGGTGCATATTCCAAAACAAAATTGTATCTATATCATAAGTATAAACTATCCTGCAGCACAAACACCCATTTCACAAACACATTTGCATATCTTCCCCACCTCCATGAAATTATTACTTGAGTCCCACGGAACTCACTTTTGTGCAGAGCCAACGTAAATTTCTAAGGAAAAGTGAAACTTGTTGCATGTATTAAAAGAAAAACTTCAGACAAATTTAACAGAGTTTATCTGAACAAAGAATGATTGATGAATTGGGCAGCACTCAGAACCAGAAGAGGTTCAGAGAGCTACACCCAGGAGTGTGAGCAGTGAGCTTTTATAGGCTGGACACAGAAGCAAAGTAGAGGAATCATCTGATTGGCTACAGCTAGGCGTCTGCCTTATCTGGGCATGGTTTGATGAGCCGACTGCCTGTGATTGGCTGAAACAGCTGTTTGTTATACTCCTAAGACAGGTTGCAGTTTGTTAGGTAGGATCTCAAAGTATGGAAACGACCTCAGGCTAATGGCCTTATGCTTATTTAAACACATGAAGAGTAGGTTTGCTAGGCAAACTGCATTTCAGATGGCCATTTCCTGGAGTCAGCACTCTTTCAGACAAGTCAAAGTGATACTCCTGATTTTTCCCAACGGAAAGAGGAAAGAACAGAGACCTCTGGCTGCCTAAAGAGACACTGGGCATTTAGAAACTTCTGCTCTTAGTTTCCTAATGGTTATTTTTTAAGTTGATAGTGTTCATGTATAAAGAAAGAAATTTTAAGTCTACATGAGAATGAGGCCCTTACATTTGTTTATAGAAAAATTGTGGCTGCTTGCAACCCATACCATTTACTTAATAGGAAGGTTAAGAGAAATGGATTGAGTATCATGAGGCTAAAGTGAGCCAATGTTAGCTACTTCTGATAGGCAAAATCATGGTGGGATTTTGCACAGATGTATGCTGCTGAGATTCGAGAGCCCTAACATCTTTCACTTTTTAGGAAGAACATTTTAGAGTAGATTGGTAGTTCTTTCTAGAGTTGGCTTCATTAGATCTTAATCCTGGTTTATAAACACACACACACACACCCCAGAGCTTTTGTAGCATGCACTTCTGTAGAAGCTTATTTTTCAAGGACAATTCTTAATGCTCACTTTGCCCCGTTCTTCTTGGTTGTCTCAACCTCTTTAATCTCTCTTGTCTCTCCACCCCCCAGCCTTCTTAGGATGGATGCAAAGCAGGAACTCAAATGATTGGCCTTGGTGTTTGGCCCTGAAGCAGTCAGATATGTGAGGCGAGTTGCTCAAAATTTTCTCATGAAAAATTAGTAACTCAAAATTAATAAAAATTAAAATGACACAGTAAAATGTATCACAGATGAAAATTTGATTGAAGAATGACTGTATGAAAACTACAACTATGCCTTCTGCCTTGTCTTCTGAAGCACCTCTGGAGTTCTGCTTTCTTCCACGTGACAGTAGCATCGTTTCCTCCCACAAGAAGCATCATCTTCATACCCTCCAATTCTCTGCGCATTTATGGTATGAATCCCAGCCCACAGCTGGCCTGCATGCAAGGCAACTGGTGTCCCTTCTAAAATGCAGCCTCCAGAACGAAACACAATGCTCATCAGGGTGACAACCTGAAGTTCCTCACTTCTGGAAGAGCCGACATGTTTGAAGCCATTTCCAGTTAGAGAAAAACAAAAACACAAGCTATTGCAGGGGAGTAAAATGATGAGAAATAAAATCTACAAAAATGATACGCTTTCAGAACATGCCTAAGAAAGGCATGTCTGTATTATGCCTTTGGGGATAGATTTGGTTGCTGAGAAGTGTATTCTGAATAACACGTGGTTTCTTGGTTCTTTAAGCAGGCTATTACTTTCTCTGTTGCTTTCCTCTTGTTTTCTAGACTGTCTAATGAAATTCTTTTACAGAGGAAAATTAGAATAATATGACCAGATATGTTTTTTACAAACGAAAATGGTGACAAGTTGAAAATATTTTTTCAACGACTGGAGTTTCAACTGGAGTTTCAAGCAGTGGTGTGAGCATCTTAAGCATGTCCTTCAGCACTTGGTGTGAATGACAGCTGATAGAGGTGAGGTAGACTGGCAAACTGCTGCCTGAGTCCAAGATGGCTTTGAACCTACGCAGCTGGTGCTTTGGACCATAAAGAGAAATAATTGCATCTGCAGAGTTTTACGTGTGTTTCATTTAAGATTTGTAAGAGAGGATAGTTTACTGTTCCCTTTTAAACTCTTGGGGTTCAGCTGCCTATTATATAGACTCTTACTCCTTCTATTTCTGGCACTTTTTCAACATGGGAAGCCTTATTTGCATTTAAATGTTATATACAGCGGGGCGGGGGGGGTGGGTGGGGATGGGGAGGGGACCTTTCTTGACTTAGCAGTAGTGTTTCTAAGATTTCCATGTGCTTGTGACTGATGGATGGATATTTAAAACAATCAAATGTATTTTATTCTGTAAAACTATATATATGATAGTCTCTTGAGACTAAGCTGTTATTTAAAATAAAAAGTGTCCAAAATCCTTTGCTCCAAAGATGGTGTGTGTGTGTGCATGCCTGTGTGCATATGCACATGGGTATATATTTACAAAGAAGGAAAACAGAAAATCTCGCTATGTGCTCGTTTCCTTGAACTTTAACCTCACTTGCAAAGAGGCAGATCTCATCTGTGATGTGTCTAATCAGGAAGTACTAGAGTTATTTTTGTAACTCTTTTGCAACATAAGGCTGTGTCTTTCTGCCTTCCTTAAAAATATGTCCTGTCCCTCAAATACCATGACACTTGGGTTAAAATTTGAAAAAAGCAAAAGAATAAAATACAATTCCATGATGCCAATTTGGACTATATCCACCCTACTCATCCGAAGTCCCAGATGTCAGGCCCCGAGGGGTCACTGTTAATTCCTTCCCCACTACTGGAAAAATGTAACTTCCTTTCATGCCATGGGGAAAATTCTCCATTTCTCTTTTGCGGCATGGACTAGCATTAGCCTTTGTGGCTGTAGACCATTATGACAGATTCATGGGGAAGTAGGGTGAGAGAGATAGGAGAACTGCCCAAGCTGTGTGAACAGAACAGCAGACAAGGCAGAGCTAAGGATGGGAGTTTAAAGGACTGGAGATTACAAGTGGGAGGAAATATTCGGCAATGGCAAAAAGATTGTTCAAATTGGATGTCTTAACATACTCTTTAATTAATAAAGTGTTCAATTACATCCTTAAATTTATCCTTCCAATTAGTCTGCTAGAAAAATTATAAAAAATGATTATTTTATTATTAAATCTAAAGTTACTTATATAAATCATACAATTAACTTTTCAGAAAGAGTCAACATGGGAACTTTTTTTTTCCTTCCAACTTTTATTTTAGGTTCTGAGGGCAAATGTGCAGGTTTGTTACATGGATATTGTGTGTCACTGAGGTTTGGTGTACAGATTATTTTGTCACCTAGGTATGAGCATAGTACTGTTACCGGTGGAGTGTGTCCAGGTTCTTAGTGTCTTGAACAAAGAATTGGACAAAACGCACAAACAAAGCAAGGAAAGAATGAGCAACAAAAGCAGAGATTTATTGAAAATGAGAGGATGCTCCACACGGTAGGAGTGGACCCGAGCATAAGGGCTCAAGTGCCCTGTTACAGAATTTTCTGGGGTTTAAATACCCTCTAGAGGTTTCCACTGGTTACTTGGTGTATGCTCTATGTAAATTAAGAGGATGAAGTAAAGTTACAAAGTCATTTACTGTTGTACGCCCTACGTAAATGGAGAGGATATTTTCTGTTATAGCTGAAGTGTTTTCCATTTGACTTTGTTCTAGGAAGTCCTTATGTTCCTTGTCTCCAAACCCTATTCTGCCTCAGTACCTAATAGGTAGTTTTTCAATCCTCCTCTTCCTCCCACTCTCCCACCTCAAGGAGGCCCCAGTGTCTATTGTTCCCATCTTTATGTCCATGCGTACTCAATATTTAGCTCCCACTTAAAAGTGAGAACATGTGGTATTTGGTTTTCGGTTTCTGCGTTAGTTCTCTTAGGATAATGGCCTCCAGCTCAGTCCATGTTGCTGCAAAGGACATGATTTTGGGGTTTGTTTTGTTTTGTTTTTAATTAGCATGGGAACTTTCTAAATCATGAAACATCCTGTATATTTGGATGAAGTTGTGTGCTGTCTCCCCACACCCCACCCCCATTCCATTCCCATTGACCCACTCTGGACAGCATTGCTGCGTGCCCGGGGAGGACGTGTCCTCTCTACTTCCTTTCTCCCCACCCCTCAAAGGGGTGTTGTATGTGGCTGTGCTCCGCACTCCATCTCTGCTTTCTCTTCTATTAGCTCGGCTCACTGCCTGTCTGGAGAGTTCATTCTCTTCTGCGTGCGCACATTCTTATGACCTCCTTCCTTCTTGCTCCTTAGCCTGTCAGTTTCCTCAGAAGAATTATATTTCTTCCTCAATTTCATTAAAATCTTTGAACCAAAAATACGCGCCAGTCATGGCGAAGTAACTCTCTTTTTGAGCACTTAGCTAACTTTAAATCAGGTTTACACTCATTCATGTGATTCTTCTATGAGTTTCTCTCTCCCCTACAAGAAGGTAACTCCATGAAGGTGTAGACTTCTTCAGTTTTGCTCAACTTCTTTTTTTCTATTTCCCAGCTTCTTTATAGTGGCAGGAACATGGCAGATGCTCAGTAAATATTTGCTGAATTAATGAATGAATGCAATAAATATTAAAAGTAATGACAAAAACCACAATTACTTTTGCACCAACCTAATATTTATTGAACTCCTCTCTATGTAAGATACTGTTCTGGGTGCTGGGGACATATGGCAAATAAAATTAACAAGTCCCTGGACTCCTGAAGCTTACATTCTAATTGATGAATAGATCAAATTAGCCTCCTCTAAAAAAAAGAAAAAGCATTTTAACTGAAAATAAAACCAGTATGATCAACCTCTAAAATACTTGAAAATACATATAAAATTCTATCTCCTCAAATTTTTCTAGTTAAAGCCTCTCCTGGCCAGGTGCAGGAGTTCACACCTGTAATCCCAGCACTTTGGGAAGCTAAGATGGACGGATCACCTGAGGTCAGGAGTTCAAGACCAGCCTGACCAACATGACGAAACCCCATCTCTACTAAAAACACGGAATTAGTCAGGCGTGGTGGCACATGCCTGTAATCCCAGCAACTCCAGAGGCTGAGGCAGGAGAATCGCTTGAATCCGGGAGGCAGAGGTTGCAGTGAGCCGAGATTGCACCATTGCACTCTAGCCTGGGCAATAAGAGCGAAACTCGGTCTCAAAAAAAAGCTTCTCCCTAAGCCTTCAGTTGGAAATATTTCTTATTTTACTTCATTATTTTTCTCTTTCAATTACTAATATTATTATTTTCAAGTACATATCATTGCAAACATGAGGTGTTTCAGCCACAGTATATGAATAAATTTGAGATGAGCAAGGGAACCAAACCATCTTTTAGAACAGTTTTTATGGCAAAAGATATTCATGGTCTCTAACAATGCACTAAATTAACTTTTGAAATATAGTCTATCTATGGTGAGAGGGAATTTCAGCACAGGCAAAACACCATGAACTGCTGAAAGAGGAATTGCAGAGTGTTAATAGCTTGGCTCTTAAAAAAAAAAAAAAGATGTAAATATTTCATCTACTCATTCACCCAACATCATTATCAAGAGGGAGAACTCAATCATGGTCCTGCAATGTGTTAGTGCTATCTCCTTCCCAGCTGAGGGCCCATTACACAGGCTTCTCCCATTTCAAAGGGAAAAAAACCAAACAAACAAAATAGCTGTCATCTCTATTGATCTGGGAAGACTATTTGCCAACTAGAAAAGGCAGGCAAATCTTTTCAGCAAGTCACGTGAATTCTTGTGAGGTATTAAAGTTAAAAGGCATATTGTGAGAAACTCCTTCCAATATAAATACTATTTTGCTTTTTTTTTTTTTTTTTAAGACGGAGTTTCGCTCTTGTTGCCCAGGCTGGAGTGCAATGGCGCGATCTCAGCTCACTGCAACCTCTGCCTCACAGGTTCAAGTGATTCTCCTGCCTCAGCCTCCCAAGTAGCTGGGATTACAAGCATGCACCACCATGCCCAGCTAATTTTTCTATTTTTAGTAGAGAAGGAGTTTCACCATGTTGATCAGGCTGGATGGTCTTGAACTCCTGACCTCAGGTGGTCTACCCGCCTCGGCCTCTCAGAGTGCTGGGATTACAGGCATGAGCCACCGTGCCTGGCCACTATTTTGCTTTTGCAAAATTGCATTTATTTTCTTTATCTTCCTGTCATTCCTTTCATTCATTAATTTATCCATCAAATATTCATAGAAAGGAATATTGTGAAAACCATTTAACAACATAAAAGTGTATAATACTCCCCCCAAAAGCCTGGAAAGCAAAATTGTGCCTTGTGTATGGAATATGTACATATGCTACATGTTACATTGTCATTGCAGTTAAAAGACTTTAGTTAGTCATGGTAGCAGTGACTGTAAATTGAATCTATCAAGTTCAAACTCTATCTTCTCTGTCACTTATTTTATATAATTGTGAGTGTGGCAGAAAGCAAAAGGTGCATTAATATTTAAGATGGAATGGCATATATTCATTCAAATATATTTAATCTTCTAGTAAATTTTTATTCACATCAATTCTGCTTAAATATTTTCAAATACTTTGATAATGACTCTTTCCATGAAAGACGAAATCTGTTTTCCGCTGAGGCAAATGCTTTCTTGTGAGTCTTGTTATCATTGCTGAGAACACTTAAGTGTGTGTATACCCATGTGAATCACAGGAGAGTGAGAGTGTGTCTACCTACTGAATATGGGTGAGCCAAAGTGTCATGCCAGAGTCTTCTACATGTCTCATTTAAAGACACACTTGTATTGAGACCTGTACTTGGAAAATATGATTTCAGGACAGTTTTTGCTTCCTTAAAGATTTCTTCCCATTAGGAAGAAATCTATCGTGGGCCATTTCCTTTTTTTTTTTTTTTTTTTTTTTTTAAGACAGAGTCTTGCTCTGTCACCCAGGCTGGAATGCAGTAGCAAAATCTCGGCTCACTGCAACCTCAGCCTCCTGGGTTCAAGTGATTCTTCTGCCTCAGCCTCTCCAGTAGCTGGGATTATAGGTGTGCACCACCACGCCCAGCTAATTTTTGTATTTTTTTGTTTTAAATAGAGACAGGGTTTTGCTGTGTTGGCCAGGCTAGTCTCGAACTCCTGAGCTCAAGTGATCCAACCACCTTGGCCCTCAAGGTGCTGGGATTACAGGCATGAGCCGCTGCACCCGGCCCTTTTCTTTTTCTTTTTTTTTTTTTTGAGACAGGTTCGCTGTTGCCTAGGTTGAAGTGCAGTGGCACGATATTTGCTCACTGCAGCCTCAACTTTCCAGGCTAAGCAATCCTCCTCCTGCCTCAGCCTCTCAAAATGCTGAGATTACCACACCCTTAACTGAGGCCTGAGCCACCCAGCCTGGTTCTGTGGGGCTTTTCCACGTAGCCAACAACATCAGTGAGTTTTTAATGTTCAGTTTCTAACTTTTCAGGGTGATATTGCTGAAAGGGAGGTAAGACGCCCGGGGTTTCTTTATGTAATTCCCATGTTCCCCTAGATCTCCCTTTTTCAGTGTCTTTCACTGCTTTGATGCCGCTGGCTGAATGAGCACGTTTACTTGCTTCATTTTTCCAGTCATGAGCCTTTTCTGCCTCATGTGAAGGTGTGGGCAACACAGCAGCCTGTGCCTGTTATAAATTTGAGCCTCCTGCATGAAGCGTTCTGCTCAGGGCAGATATAATGATCTCTTCAGCTTGGAGAAGCTGGCTGATTTTTTTTCTAGACCAAAGCTGTCATCTCGACCATTAGGGAAAATGCCACATAAATCATCAAGTCAGTGATATCAGTGTAATGCAGCACGTGCCTCCATTGGAAGGGCCTGCCGTCCTAAGTCAGGGGGAATAGACGCCTAGAACTCAGACCTGCTGAAGGCTGGCCTCTGAAAGACGGTTTACTCCCTTTTTAGTTCCAGTGTGGGAAGTATGACAAAGCCTTCGAGGAGAGTGAGAATCAAAGTCAGACTGCTGGCACCGCCTGAGGCGGAGGGCACTCCAGCAGGCCAGATGTTCCGAGTCCCATGTGGAGAAGTGTTTGTGGTTGGATTCTATTTGAAACTGATTGTTGATACTCTCATGAGACAGCCTGTGACAAATTGTATAATAAAATTGTTAAAAATAGCGTATTTATTCCCTGGAAAAGCTGAGTTCCCACAATTCAGTGAGCTGGGAAAATTGCTAAGCTTCTTGGACACGAAGTGCTGAGTCGAGTCCCTGTTCGTATAACCCTTTCCTTACCCATTTGATTTTTCATTGTAATTTTTGTTTTTCTGAATTGCTAACGATGCTCCAGATAGCACTTTTAAAAGAATAAAAATAAAACAAATCAACTTATATTTTTGAATAAAATCGTAAAAGCCTATAAAATGTACATATAATATTGACAGATTAATTACAAAAAATTATTTCTATGTATATACTAACACTGTCCAATAGAAATATAATGTGTGCCACAAATGCAATCCACACATGTAATTTTAAATTTTCTTTTTTTTTTTTTTTTGAGACGGAGTCTCGCTCTGTCGCCCAGGCTGCAGTGCAGTGGCGCGATCTCGGCTCACTGCAAGCTCCACCTTCCGGGTTCACGCCATTCTCTTGTCTCAGCCTCCTGCGTAGCTGGGACTACAGGCGCCCGCCACCACGCCCGGCTAGTTTTGTTTTGTTTTGTTTTGTTTTTTGTATTTTTAGTAGAGACGGGGTTTCACCGTGTTAGCCAGGATGGTCTCAATCTCCTGACCTCGTGATCTGCCCGCCTCGGCTTCCCAAAGTGCTGGGATTACAGGCGTGAGCCACCGCGCCTGGCCTGTAATTTTAAATTTTCTAACAGCCACATTAAAAAAGTCAAAAGAATCAAGTGAAATTAATTGTAATATTTAATGTTTTATAATATTTGATCCTATATATCCAAAATATTATCATTTCAACATGAAATCAATGTAAAAACATATTGAGATGGTTTACATTTTTTCTTATATTAACGGCTCAAAATTCATTGTGTATTTTACATTTACAGCACATCTCAATTCAAACTATTCACATTTAAAATGCTCAGTTGCCACAGGTGGCTAGTAGGTATCATATTAGATATCACAGGTCTATACCATAGCAAACAATTGAATAAAAGTGAGGAAAGAAATCCTCTGTCTAGAGATAGGTAAATATTTATAAGTGTTTCCTAGGGCCTTTGATATACAATAGAGAGGTAAGATTTTCAGAATCATCAATCTTAGTTGAGAATGTAGGTGATGAAGAATAAGTAAAAACAGATCAGGGAAGTACTTTGTGTGGTTGTGGTTAAGGTGAACTAGGAAGAGAAATGTTTGGAATATCAAAGTAATTTCATACATTTCAAATAGCACTATGTATCAGGAATGATTTTTGCTGTAAATCACATAAACCTGAAATATATCAAAGTTTATATGTCAACGTGGCTGGACCATGGTTCCCAGGTATTTGGTCAAACATTATTCTGGATGTTTTTGTAGGGGCATTTTTGGATGAGATTAACATTTCAATCAGTGAACTTTGAATAAAGCACATTCCCCTCCATAACGTGAGTGGACCTCATCCAATCAGTCGAATATACTGCCTGCCAAAAATACATAACTTAAATTAGTGGTTCTCAGCTGGGATTCATTTCCTCTCACACTCAGGAGACATCTGAAAATGTTTGGAGACTTTTTGATTGTCAAGACTGGAAAAATACTACTGGCATTGAGTGAGTAAAGGCCAAGGATGCTGTTAAACATACAATAAACACAACGCAGAGCACAGCCTCCTACAACACAGAATTATCTGGCCAAAAATGTCAATAGTGCCAAAGCTGAAAAATCCTGACTGATATTTAATCATGAGGAAATGTCAGATAAACCCAAAGTGGGGGACAGTCTACAAAACAACTGGCCCACACTTTTCAAAAATATGGACAAGGAAAGATGAAGCAACTGTTCAAAGTTAAAAGAAGCTAAGGAGAGAGAGAACTAAATGCCATGTGTGATGCTGGACTGAATCCTGATGAAGAAAAGGACCGTCATGGAACAATTGATAAAATTTGAGTAAGGTCTGTACATTACACAATAGAGTTATATCAGTGTTAATTTCCTGATTTTGATAATTGTACTGTAAGCATGTAAGATATTAACATTCGAGGAATAGGTAAACAGTAGATAGAAATTTTTTGTCCTATTTTTTACAACTTTCTCTGCCAATATGAAATTACTTCCAAATTGAAAAAAAAATTTAAATATAAAATATTTAAAAATTAAAAGCAAAAAATGAGTAGCCGGGTGCAGTGGCTTATGCCTGTAATCCTAGCACTTTGTGAGGCCGAGGCAGGTGGATCACCTGAGGTCAGGAGTTCGAGAGCAGCCTGGCTAACATGGCAAAATCCCGTCTCTACTAAAAATACAAAAATTAGCTGGGCGTGGTGAAGTGCACCTGTAATCCCAGCTGCTCGGGAGGCTGAGGCAGGAGAATCTCTTGAACCCGGGAGGGGAGGTTGCAGTGAGCTGAGATTGCACCACTGCACTCCAGTCTGGGCTACAGAATGAGATTCTGCCTCAGAAAAATAAAAAAGAAGATATCCTTTGAGTATCTAGAAAAAATGAGCACATTGCTGGCGCAGTGGCTCGTGCCTATAATCCCAGCACTTCGGGAGGCCAAGGCAGGCGGATCACAAGGTCAGAAGATCGAGACCATCCTGGCTAACACGGTGAAACCCCATCTCTACTAAAAGCACAAAAACTTAGCTGGGCGTGGTGGCAGGCGCCTGTAGTCCCAGCTGCTCGGGAGGCTGAGGCAGGAGAATCGCTTGAACCTGGGAGGGGGAGATTGCAGTGAGCCGAGATCGCACCACTGCACTCCAGCCTGCGTGACAGAGCAAGACTCCGTCCCCCCAAAAAAAAAAAAAATGGAAAAGAAAAAAGAAAAAATGAGCATATTGTTTATAAGGAAAAGAAATTAGATTATTATACTTTTTAACACTAATGCTGTATGCAAAAAAATATGGAGTAAGATATTTAAGATCCTCATGGAAACAAGTGTGAATTCTATATCTAGCATGACTTTCAAGTATAATAGGCACCAACAGAACTCCGGGAATATTATTCTCATGAGCCCTACCTGAAAAATCTTTTAGAAAATGAGGTTCAGATAAAATAACTAGACAAATATTGACTACTATAAGGACTGTTGGTGAGCATTGAGCACATGAGTCCCTAGAATGAAGACTGAGGGCTAAGAAAGAATGCTAATCAACTGTTTAAAATGGAGAGGGGGAATAATTTCATTGGTTATATTGGTATTAGTCTTACTATTGCCATTCTGAGACTGCGTGTAAAATAGAATAAAACAAATGAATAATTCTGAGATATTAAATCTATCATCTCCTTTGTCCTTGAGAACCAAGATTCTTCCTTGATATGGAAGAAAGGTGATACTAAAGTAGAGAAGAGATTAAATAAAACCTCAGTGAAGATATCAATATAAACCTACGTGATTCTTTGTCTTATTTTATTCCCAGATGTGTCCACTGAAAAGACACAGAGGCGGTAATCCCAGGACTTTGGGAGGCCAAAGTGGGCAGATCACCTAAGGTTGGGAGTTCAACACCAGCCTGACCAACATGGAAAAACCCCGTCTCTACTAAAAATACAAAATTAGCCGGGTGTGGTGCCGCATGCCTGTAATCCCAGCTACTCAGGAGGCTGAGGCAGGACAATCGCTTGAACACGGGAGGTGGAGGTTGCCGTGAGCCAAGATCGTGCCATTGCACTTCAGCCTGGGCAACAAGACAAACTCTGTCTCAAAAAGAAAGAAAAAGAAAAAGAAAAGACCTAGAAACAATAACTACACAGCAGCAGTAAACATCTCTAGCTTCTTTTTTGTGGTTTTACAATACCATTCATCACTGCAAAGGACCAGGTCTCTTTGGAGACAGTGCTGATTCCAGGTGTAATGCAGGAAATGAACAGACGACCCTGGAACATCTTGTCATACCAGATGGTTAGGGAGCTATCAAAGACAACTAGGGTCATGTCTAAAGGACTCAGGAGTCAACTTGAAGAGGCTACCATTGCCAAAGATGGAAAATTTTGAGTTAGTAATGATAATTGCAATGGATTAAAATTCATCAAATAGGTTTAAATCCATGATTTCATGATAATATAAAAACGTAATTATTAGTTTTGGAGGATGATAAGAAATGAAATCATTATCTTGGTAAACAGAGCCAAAAAACCAAACATTTATCCTTCATTTCCTATATGAAATGTTTTACTCTGTAAACAAATAGTAGATAAGGGGAAGTGTCACTTTATGAAAGTATTCTAACTAATAAATGAAAAAGAAATGATAGAACTAGAATATCACCATTTTGCAACCTTTAATGAGTGGCTATAGGTGTTAAGTATCAACAGTTTCTAAAATCACAGAGACAACCAGACAAAATATGCCTCTATAGCCTTCAAAAACACTGCCTATAAATTTGTCAAGGGAATAGAACCTGAATCGGACCCTGTCTCTGGATTCAGCTTCCTGTTGGCAGGAAATACAGAGACTAGAGGAACAAGTCGGGATAGTGGTTATTTATGGGGAAGGGAGAGACTGTGATTGGGCTGGGCACATTGAGGGGGTTTCCAAGGCAAGTGGTGAAGTTCTGTTTCATGAGCTTGGAGGTGTTTGTCTTATAATAATTCAGTAAGCTATACATTTGATTCGTGTGGTTTTCTGTATTAGTGTTTAATTTTACAATAAAATTTAAAAGAAAAGGTGAGAAAAAAAAGCCAAAACAACCAAAGGATTGAATAAGTTTTTCTATAACTGTTTAGTTTGGGAAGGCATTGCCTCACAGAGGTCATGGGATGATTTGACATAGAAAACTCAATTCTAGGGGAATTTGGGTTAAGTTTTCTCCAATTTATTGTAACCTTTCATGAGCAGTAGATTTATTTTTAAAAAACAAGTAAACAAAATGGTGATAAGCTTTGTCCCTTGCTCTCCCAGAAGTGGTGAGAAAATAGAGTTATGTGTTTTCTCTTGCAAAGGCATTGCACAATATTACCTAAAACATATTTGTAGTTTATCAGGGCAATAAATTTCTACGAGGCATTTAAGCAGCATAGGGAGAATGATAAGATATATGACTCTAGATTGTTTGTTCTTGCTACCTACTCATTCATATCACCTAGGTGGAATCTTATACACACGTTGGTGCTTGCATAATAGGCATATAGAGATGGTGCCTTGCATACTGAAAATAATAAATACTTGTTTTAGAAAATGTAAGTGAATAAATGAGGGGAAGATATTGAACTCCTCTATGAGGATGCAAATAGCTAAATACAGACTGTGGATTTACATACTATTTATAATTGAGAGTAGGAAGGTCTTTATCAAGAATGTCTCAATCCAGTCTTCTATGTTAATTCCCTAAATCACCTCACAGCTTTAAATAAACTGATGACTACCAACTTTATATTTGCAGCTCAGACTTCTCCCCCAAACTCCAGAAGTGTATTTCAATGGCTTACTGAACAGCTCTACTTGGATAGCTGATAGACAGCTCAAACATCCTAGGTCCTAGATCATCCTGATTCCCACCTCTGCACACTTTCTCCACCCACCGTTTTCCCATCTAAATAAATGTTTACTTCTTCCTTCCATTTGCTTTGGTTCCAAACCTTGGAGTCCTCTTTGATGCCTGTCTTTCACACCCCAAAGCCAAGCTGTCAGCAAATCCTTTGGACTCTACTTTTGAAATATGTTCAGAAATCTGACTGTTTCTTATGACAGGCACCCCTACCACTGTGGTTCAAGCAGCCATCATTTTCTTTTATTTCAATATAATTTTAAAAGTATCAAAAAGTTGCCAAAATTGTACAAAGAATTTCCATATACCCATTGCCTAGATGTACCAATGATTTATATTTTGCTTTAGTTGCTTCATCATTCTCTCTCATCTCTTTTTTCTTCCTTCTCTCATATACTTGTCCCCTCACATACACACAAGTGAGAGGTGAAGCCGGCTGGGCTTCTGGGTTGGGTGGGGACTTGGAGAACTTTTGTGTCTAGTGAAAGGATTGTAAATGCACCAATCAGCACTCTGTGTCTAGCTAAAGGACTGTAAACGCACCAATCAGCACTCTGTAAAATGGACCAATCAGCACTCTGTAAAATGGACCAATTAGCGCTCTGTAAAATAGACCGATCAGCAGGATGTGGGTGGGGCCAAATAAGGGAATAAAAGCAGGCCACCCAAGCCAGCAGAGGCAACCCGCTGGGGTCCCCTTCCATGCCTTGGAAGCTTTGTTCTTTCGCTGTTTGCAGTAAATCTTGCTGCTGCTCACTCTTTGGGTCCGCACCGCCTTTATGAGCTGTAACACTCATCACAAAGGTCTGCAGCTTCACTCCTGAAGTCAGTGAGACCACGAACCCACCAGGAGGAACAAACAACTCCAGACGCACCACCTTTAAGAGCTGTAACACTCACTGTGAAGGTCTGCAGCTTCACTCCTGAAGTCAGCGAGAATCCGAACATCAGAAGGAACAAACTCTGGACACACCATCTTTAAGAACTATAACACTCACCGCGAGGGTCTGCGGCTTCATTCTTGAAGTCAGCAAGACCAAGAACCCACCAATTCCGGACACACAAGTATACACATAAACACACATATGTATACTTGATTCTGAACCTTGATTACTTGATTAAAGTGGTATCTGCCTGGTTCTTCAATGCTATTATTTTTTTCTCCCTTTATAATTTTTTTGGGGTTTTTTGGAGACAGTATTGTTCTGTTGCCCAGGCTGGAGTTCAGTGGCATGATCTCAGCTCACTGCAACCTCCACCTCCCAGGTTCAAGGGATTCACCTCCCTCAGCCTCCTGAGAAGCTGAGATTATAAGTGTGCACCACCACACCCAGCTAATTTTTTTGTATTTTTAGTAGAGACGGGGTTTTGTCATGTTGGCCAAGCTAGTCTCGAACTACTGACCTCAGGTGATCCGCCCACCTCAGCCTCCCAAAGTGCTGGGATTGCAGGCATGAGCCACCATCCCTTTATAATTAATAAATACTTTGTGAGCAGATTCTTAAAGACTATATAAATATGCTGTTCCTCATGAAGTTTTCAACCACTAATTTTAGCTTCTATTGGTGATTTTCAAATTCCAGTATTTCTTCTATGTTTATCAGTTGCTATTATTCTATATAGAAGAGCTTTCCTTTCTCTCCCGTTAATTTATGTATTGCATATTTATTTATATCCATATGAACTTAGTGACTCATCTTATTCAGTATGTTATATTCCTTACATTTTCCAATACATTTTGATGCTCTCTTGAGGCAGATTTGGCTAGTGATAGCCTTTTTAAACTGGCTCCTATGTCCTTTTGCTATGTTCCCATTTATCCTGGGGCACTTCCTTACTTTCTGGCATGATGTTCCAGGCTCATTTTGTCTTTTTCCTTTCCCAGCCTTGGAATCAGCTACTTTTACAAAAAGCCCTGGTTCCTTCAAGTAGGGAATAGTATTTACAAACAAAGCTATGGCTCTTTGTGTGCTCATTGTTACAGGAGCTATTGCTTCTAGGCCTTCTCAGTAGGCATAAATTAGAAAACATCTGTCTATCTATCTATCTATCATCTATCTATCTATCTATCTATCTATCTATCTATCTATCTATCATCTATCTACCTGCATTTATCATGTACTTATCTACCTATCTTTAAAAACATAAGTTCATACAGATACTCCCAATTCTAATCCAATGCTGCAGGATCCATTCAAGTCTTCCCATTGTCCAGATTTGAAACTGCCTTCTCCAGCAGTGGGAAACCTCACTCCCACCATCCTTTATATACATAAGTGAATATATATATATTCATGTTCATTTGCTCACACATAAAATAATTTCAGAATTGCTAAATCATATGTTCATTTGCTGACACATAAAATAATTCATTTGCTCACATATTTGCTCACACATTTCATTCATTTGCTCACATATAAAATGTTCATTTGCTTCACACATAAAATAATTTTGGAATTGCTAACTCATATACCTGCAAAAAACATATGTGCTTGCTAGAATTCAATATTTTTTTTGGATGTTTTTAAAGGTAATCTCATTTTATATACAGTGAGATTAAGTGGTATTAATTATATAATTTGATGAGTTCTGATAAATGTATATATTATCAACAAACTCAAGATGTAGAATATTTTTATCACCCCAGAAAGTTCCCAATGACCCTGATATGGTTTGGCTGTGTCCCCACCCAAATCTCATCTTGAACTGTAGCTCCCATAATCCCCACATGTCATGGGAGGGACCCAGTGGGAGGTAATTGAATCATGAGAGTGGGTTTTTCCCATGCTGTTCTCATGATAGTGAATAAGTCTCACAAGATCTGATGGTTTTATAAAGGGCAATTCCCCCGCACACGCTCTCTTACCTGCCACCATGTAAAACGTGGCTTTGCTCCTCTTTCACCTTCCGTTGTGATTGTGAGGGCTCCCTAGCCGTGTGGAACTGTGAGTCCACTAAGTCTCTTTTTCTTTGTTAATTACCCAGTCTCAGGTACTTATTCCTAGTAGTATGAAAATGAACTAATACAGACCCCTTTTAGTCACCTTTCCCATAAGCAACTGTACTGATGTCTATCATCATAAGTTAGCTTACCTATTCTTGAATATAAAAAAATGGAATCATGAAGTATATATTCTTCTGTGTCTGTTTTGTTGCTGTTGTTCAGTATCATGTTTTTGTGGTACATCCATGTTGTTGCATGTATTAGTTTATTTTAGAAAGTTACTCTATAACTAGGAAAGTATAGAGTAGAGGTAGATTTAACTTTTAACAAGCTGTCAGTTTTCCCCAAGTTTTTGTACCATTTTTCATTCCAACAGTCATGTATGTGAATTCCAATTGTTCTTCCTTACCAACACTTACCTTAAGCCTTTTTTTTTTTTCTTTTTTTTTGAGACAGAGTCTCTGTCACCCAGGCTGGAGTACAATGGCACAATCTCAGCTCACTGCAACCTCCGCCTCCTGGGTTCAAGCGATTCTCCTGCCTCAGCCTCCAGAGTAGCTGGGATTATAGGCACCTGCCACCCGCCTGGCTAATATTTTTGTATTTATAGTAGTGATGGGGTTTCGCCATTTTGGCCAGGCTGATCTTGAACCCGTGACCTCAGGCTATCTGACCACCTCAGCCTCCCAAAGTGCTGGGATTACAGGCATGAGTCACCACGACTGGCCCTTAAGCCACTTTAGTGGTTTAACTTTAGTGGGATGTGTGTCTCGTTATGGTTTAAATGAGTATGGCTCTGATGACAAATGCTGTTAATCATCTTTTCATGTGCCTGTTGGCCATTGGTATATTTTTATAATAGTCTGTTCAGATATTTTGCCCACTATTTTTACTGAGTTGTGTGTGTTTTTATTATTGATCTATAGAAGCTTCTGTATATTCTGGATATAAGTCCTTTGTTGGATGTATGTATTGCAAATATTTTCTTTTTGATGGCTTGCCTTTTTATTTTCTTAATGCTATTTTTTGGTGAGAAGTTTTTAACTTTAATGAAATTCAATTTATCAGTATTTCTTTTTATGTTTATTGCATTTTATATCCTCTCTAAGATATCTTTACCTACTCTAAGTTTGCAGATATTCTATTTTGTTTTTTTCTAAAAACTTTCTAGTATTAACCCTTACATGTAGGTCCATAATTCATCCCAAATTAATTTTTGTGTATGGTATAAAGTAGAAGTTGAAATTATTTTTTTCTATATATTTATTCAATTGTACCAGCACTATGTGTTGAAAAGACTTTCCTTTTTCCATTAAATTGGCATATTGGTGCCCATGTCAAAAATCAGTTCACCAAATGGGGTTTATTTCTGGATTCTCTATTCTGTTCCATTCCATATTTATCTTAAGCCAACATCATACTTGCTTGATTCTTTTGTTTTAGAGTTAGATTAGAAATTAGATTGTGTGTGTCCTCTATGTTTGCTTCTATTTTTGAAGATTATTTTGGCTCTTCTAGGTCTTTCACATTTCCTATATATTTTATAATCAACTTACCTATTTCTAGAAAACAATCTAGAGGGATTTTGATTGGAATTGCATTTACATCTGTGGATCAATTTAGGTATTATATTAGGTGACGTTCCCAGGAAACAGACTCTGAGACTCTGATATTTACAACCAGGCAGTTTATTACCTAGTGCTTTTATGAACAATACCTGTGAGGCCTGAGGAAAGAAGGATTAGGCAGAGGGGGAAGTCGAACTGCAGCACAGTTACAACAAGGGCCTCAATCCATTCTACAGGGAGCTCTGAAGCTGAGATGGCCCTTCTGAGTTGTTCCACCTTAAGGGAAGGGGGCTATAACTTTATTTCTGCATGCACCAATCATTGAAAGAAGCCTGTCCGAAAGGGCTCTCTTCAGCCAAGAGCAATTCTAAGAAAGAGATTCAGTTGAGGACCATAAGTGGCCAACACTCCAAGCAGCTGAGGAAATGCCTCAGTTCTGAAAAGGGAATCCAGGAGGTGCAGCACATTTTATATTGCAAGAGAATGATGGGCAAGATAAATCACATCTTAGTTTTGAGTTTTCCAAGCTGTCAACATGGTATAGTTCTCCATTTATTTAGGTCTTCAGTTTCTCCCTGCCAAGTTTTGTAATTTTTGATGTAGAAATCTTGCATGTTTCTTTTTTGAAAAATTACTTCTGGCTGGGCATGGTGGATCATGCCTGTAATCCCAGCATTTTGGGAGGCCGAGGTGGGGGATCACTGGAGGTCAGGAGTTCAAGACCAGCCTGGCCAACATGGTGAAACCTTGTGTCTACTAAAAATACAAAAATTAGCCAGGCATGGTAGCGTGTGCCTGTAGTTCCAGCTACTCAGGAGGCTGAGGGAGGAGAATCGCTTGAGCCAGGGAGGCGGAGTTTGCAGTGGGTTGAGATTGTGCCACTGCACTCCAGCCTGGGCGACAGAGTGAGACTCCATTTAAATATATATATATATTTCTATATATGTAGAAATATATATATTTCTATATATGTAGAAATATATATATTTCTATATATGTAGAAATATATATATTTCTATATATACTTATATATAAATATAAATATATCTAGATATATATAGAAATATATATTTCTAATAATTGTATAGTTTTTGAGGACATTCTAAGTGGAATTCTTAAAATTCTATTTTTTCAGTTATTTGCAACTAGTATACAGAAATACAATTAATTTTTGTATATTGACTGTATCCTGTAACCTTGCAAAATTTACATATTAATTATCATAGTTGCTGTGTGAATTTTCTACTGTTGTAAAACAAATAACCACAAAATTAGTAGCTTATAACCGTGTTTTAGCTCATGGTTTCCATGGTTCAGCCTCTGGGCATGGCGTACCTGAGCCCTCTGGTCACAGTCTCACAGGTTGCACTCAAGGTGTCAGCTGAGCAAGAAAACAGAAGCCCCAGCCCTACAACCACAGGGTCTGAATTCTCTCAACACCAGCATAAGTTCAGAAGAGGACCCTGATCTCCAGAGAGAAACGCAGCTCAGCTGACACTTGGAGTGCAACCTGTGAGACCCTGAGCTGAGGGCTCAGGTAAGTCATGCCCAGAGGCTGAACCATGGAAATCATAAGCTAAAACACAGTTATAAGCTACTAATTTTGTGGTTATTTGTTTTGCAATAGTAGAAAATTCACACAGCAGCTATGATAATTAATATGTAAAATTTGCAGGGTTACAGGATACAGTCAAGGATACTGGCCTTGCTTGCTTTTAATAAGTTACTTCTAGTTGATCTTAAAACTCCCACTAGCAAGCCAAGCAGTACATAACTCCCACTAGCGTCCTCATTGATAACATCTCTGACTGTGGGTCACTATAGCAACAGGTGCTTAAAGTTGTTTTTCAGCAACTAGGGGGCAGCTCTTTCCGACTCAAGCTGGTTGAGACCACCCACCCTTCCACTCTGGGTCTGTACGGGTGACCGAAGAGTGACCTTTTGACGTCAGAGAGACAAAACTCCACCCTTAGATCATCTGACACCACCATTTTATGAACATGCATCATGTGAAGAGCCGTGTAGCTCAATTACATTTGTGCAGAAACCCCAATTATCTCACATTTCCTACCCACCAATCACCTTTCCCATATCTTGGATCACCTTGCTCCTCCATCCCATAAATATTCCTAAAACCCCATCTTCGGGCAGGCTGACTTGTGACTTGTTCTCCTGCTTCCTCACTTGGCTGCTTCATGAATAAACTCTTGCTTTTGTGCAAAACCTATCATCACAACAATTGGCTTGCTGTGCACAGACAGAATGAGCTTGGCTCAATAATACTTCCATGGAACCTTATAGGCCTCTCACAACATGTTGGTTTATTTCAAGGCCAGCAGGAGAATCTCTCCCTCCAGTCTGCTGAGACAGTCTTACCTAAGGTAACATAATCATGGAAACAATTCATCACCTTAGTCATATGCTATTGACTAGAAGCAAGTCACAGGTTCTGCACACTCAAGAAGAGGTATAACTCTTCTTATATATATAAAGGTATATAAAGGTATAACTCATTGGGGTCCCTTAGTGCAGCTGTCCCCAATGTTTTTGGCACCAGGGACCAGTTTCATGGAAGACAATTTTTTCACAGTTGGAGGTGGGGAATAATTTCAGGATGAAACTGTTCTACCTCCGATCATCAGGCATTAGATTTTTATAAGAAGCACGCAACCTAGACCCCTCACATGCACAATTCACAATAGGGTTCATGCTCCTATGAGAATCTAATGCTGCTGATGATCTGACAGGAGGTTCAAGTGGTAATGTTTGCCCACCGGCCATTCACCTCCTGCTGTGTGGCCTGGTTCCTAACAGGCCATGGACTGGTACCCGTTCCTGGTCTGGGGCTTGGAGACCCCTGCCTTAGGGTGTGTCTGCCACAGTTTCCTTAGGATTTTCTACATGAATAATCATATTGTCTGTGAATAGAGTTTTACTTCTGAATTTTCAACATTTATGCCGTTTATTTCTCTGATTGCACTGGCTAACACCTCTAGTCAATGTTAACTAGAAGCAAGAGTGAGTATCTTTGCCTTGTTCTTGCTCCTTAGGGCAAAAGGTGTAATATGTCATCATTAAGGCATGATGGTATTAATACATGTAGGTTTGTCATAGATGCCCTTTATCAAATTGAGAAAATTCCTTATATTCCTAGTTTGTTTAAAATCATGAGTTGGTTTTGAAATTAATGATGCTTTTTCCGTATTGATTAAGACAATATATTTTTTCTCCTTAATTCTAATTATTAATCCTGGTAATTGTATCACATGATTTTTGAATATTAAACCAACTTCTTATTCTTGAGATAGATACTCTTGGTCATGAAATATTATTCTTTTTACATATTACTGGATTTGATTTCCTACAATTTTGTAAGAATATGTTCATGAAGGATATTGTTCTGTAATTTTCTCTTTTTTTTTTAGACGAAGTCTCACTCTGTTGCCAGGCTGGAGTGTAGGGGCACGATCTCGGCTCACTGCAACCTCTGCCTCCCGGGTTCAAGCAATTCTCCTGCCTCAGCCTCCCGAGTAGCTGGGATTACAGGCATGCGCCACCATGCCCAGCTAATTTTTGTATTTTTAGTAGAGATGGGATTTCACCATGTTGGCCAGGATGGTCTCTCTCTTTACCTTGTGATTCACCTGCCTTGGCCTCCCAGAGTGCTGGGATTGCAGGCATGAGCCACTGCGCCCAGCAATTTTCTCTTATTTTTGATGCTTTGTTATCAGGGTTATACAGGCCTCATAAAATGAGTGTTCTGTCTTTCTCTATTTTCTGTAGGAGTTTGTGTTGGACTGGTATTATTTATTCCTTAAATGTTTAGTTGACTTCGCTTGTAAAACCACCTAGGCATGCTGTCTCTGTTGTGGGAATTCTTTTGATAATGCATCAACAGATTTTCTTCAACAGATATAGGCTATGTTCCATTTTACTTGTGTCACTTTCGTTTTTATTTTTATTTTTATTTTTTTTATTATTTTTTTTTTATTGATCATTCTTGGGTGTTTCTTGCAGAGGAGGATTTGGCAGGGTCATAGGACAATAGTGGAGGGAAGGTCAGCAGATAAACAAGTGAACAAAGGTCTCTGGTTTTCCTAGGCAGAGGACCCTGCAGCCTTCCGCAGTGTTTGTGTCCCTGGGTACTTGAGATTAGGGAGTGGTGATGACTCTTAACGAGCATGCTGCCTTCAAGCATCTGTTTAACAAAGCACATCTTGCACCGCCCTTAATCCATTTAACCCTGAGTGGACACAGCACATGTTTCAGAGAGCACCCGGTTGGGGGTAAGGTCATAGATCAACAGCATCCCAAGGCAGAAGAACTTTTCTTAGTACAGAACAAAATGGAGTCTCCTATGTCCACTTCTTTCTACACAGACACAGCAACAATCTGATTTCTCTATCTTTTCCCCACATTTCCCCCTTTTCTATTCGACAAAACCGCCATTGTCATCATGGCCCGTTCTCAGTGAGCTGTTGGGTACACCTCCCAGACGGGGTGGCGGCCGGGCAGAGGGGCTCCTCACTTCCCAGAAGGGGCGGCCGGGCAGAGGTGCCCCCCACCTCCCTCCCGGATGGGGCGGCTGGCCGGGCGGGGGCTGCACTTGTGTCACTTTCATTGCATTCAAATTTTTGACATTATTGATGTAGAGTTGTTCATAATATGCTCTTATCTCTTAAGGTCTGAAAGGTATATTTCAGTATGGATACTGGTAATTCCTGTTTGCCCCCTCTTTTTTCTTAATCATTTTTGCAAAGCATTTCAAAAACCTTGTCAATTCTTTCAAAGAATCACCTTTTGGCTTTGTTGATTTTCTTTATTCTTAATCTATTTTATATTAGGTTAGTTTTGCTCTTTATTATTTCCTTTATCATACTTTGGGTTTAATTTGCTTCCCCTCCCCCACCCCCACCCACCAATCTTCTTAATGTAGAACTTAGATCATTGATTTTTAAATCTTATATTTATTTATTTTTATTTTTGAGATGGAGTCTGTCTCTGTTGCCCAGGCTGGAGTGCAATGGCACAATCTTGGCTCATTGAAACCTCTGCCTCCCAGGTTTAAGTGATTCTCCTGCCTCAATCTCCTGAGTAGCTGGGATTACAGGCATGTGCCACCACACCTGGCTAATTTTTGTATTTTTAGTAGAGATGGGGTTTCACCATGTTGGTCAGGCTGGTCTCAAACTCCTGACCTCATGATCCACCTGCCTCAGCCTCCCAAAGTGCTGGGATTACAGGCGTGAGCCAATGGACCTGGCCATCTTTTATCTTTTATCTTTTTAAAATATAAGCATTTGTAGCCATAAATTTCCCTTTAAGAACTGACTTAGCTGTATGTCATAAATATGATGTATTTTCTTATCACTCAGTTTGAAATTTTCTAATTTCCCTTGTAATATCTTGTTAGACTCATGTTATTTATTACATGGAATTTATGTCAAATTTTATTACATGGAATATTAAATATTCCAAATATTTGGAATTTTTCTAAGTATCTTATGTTATTGATTTCTAATTTAGTTAGATGTGATCAGAAAATATACTTTGTAAGATTTAAGTGCTATGACGTATACTGAGATTTATCTTACGGCCCAGCATAAGGTCTCTCTTGGTGAGTGTTCAATGTACATTTGAGAAAAATGTGTATTCTAGAATTGTTAGATGTAGTGTTCTATAAATATCAATGAGGTTAGGTGGTGGATAGGGTTGCTCAGATCTTCTATACCCTTATTAATTTTCTTTTAGTTTATCTGCTGTGCAATTACTGGAAAGGGAGTGTTAAAAATTCCCAACTCTGATTGAAGGTTTTTCTAGTTCTTCCTTTAGTTCTGTAAGTTTTTGCTTCATGCATTTTGGAGCTCCGTCATTAAGTGCATACTCATTTATGATTATGTCTTCCTGATGACTTTGTTTTGTCTTTATGAAAAGTCTTCATCTCTGGTAATAGTTCTTGTCTAGAAGACCACAGTATGTTATATTAATACAGCCACTCCAATTTTCTTATGCTTGCAGTTTGCATAGTATGCCTTTTTCCACCCTTCTACTTTGAGCTTATCTGTGTCTTTCTAGTTAACGTGTATCTCTTGTACACAACACATAGTGCAGTCTTTCCTTTTTCCCAGTCTGATTATATCTGCCCTTTTATTGGAGTGTTTATATCTTTTTTATATTTAATGTATTTATTGATACAGTTGAACTTAGGACTACCATTTTTGCTAGTTGTTTTTTCTCTAATCTATGTTTCTTATTTACCCCCACCCCCCCATTTCTAGTATTCCTGTCATTTTTGGAGGGAGGAGAGTGGTTAATCAGATATATTTTAGTATTCCCATTTAATACTTCTATTGGCTTTTTGGTTACACATCTTTGTAATTTCTTTTTAGAGGTTACTCTGGTGATTACAATATGTATCCTTAACTTATTGTTTAATTTAGAACTATGTATATATTGTTCAACTTTAGGTAAAATGTAAGAGCCTTCCAATATTACCTTCTGCTATCTTTGTGTCATCCTTCTCATGTATTTTATATCTATGTATGTTATAAACTTCATAATTTAATAATACAATATTATTTGCTTTAAAAAGTGAGAAAATTTTTAAATAAATAGAGAAAAAAGATTTAAAAAATGCTTTTACTCACATGTTTACCATTTTAGTGCTTTTCATTCTTTCCTGAAAGTCTGTGTTTCTATCTGGTGTTACTTCCTTTCAGTTTGAAAAAAAGTCTTCCCTTGTTATTTTAGTAGTGCAGGTCTGTACTCTCTCTCTTCTTCTATAACTTTAACTACATAGATCTACATAGATATTGCACTGTTTGATATTGTCCCATATGTCACTTAAACTCTAGAAATTAAAAAAAGCAAAATTTTTTCATGTTTTTTTCTATCTGTTCCATGGATAAGATTATTTCTATTGATCTATCTTGAACTTCACTGAACTTTCTACTTTTATTTCCAGTTTATTGTTAACCCCATCTTAGTGAATTTTTCATTTGAGAGATACTTTTCAATTCTAAAAGTTTCACTTTTTTATCATTTCCATTTCTCTGCTGAGATTCACAATAATTATGACTACATTTTCCTTTAAGTCCCTGAGCATATTTCTAATAGTTTCTTTAAAGTTCTTGTCTGTTAATTTTAATATCTGGTCATTTTAGAATTAGTTTCTGTTGATTACTTTTTTTCTAAACTGAATCACATTTTTCTGTTTCTTTACATGTCTAGTAATTTGGATTGCATGCTAGACATTGTAGATGATATGTTACAGAGATTCTTGGATTCTGTTATCCAGTTATTCTAGTAAGCAATTAACTTACCTGAACTTAAACTTCAAACTAGTTAAAATCTCTAGTCAGTTTTTATGTTTTTAAATCTGTTGTTTTCCATGGGGTCCACTTGATGCAGTTCAGAGATCATCCAAAGTGTTGCATGGAATTTATACGCAGATTTTTAGGTCCTCTAGTCTTGTGTTATCTTTTTTTTCTGAGATTTCTCTGCTCAATTTTCAGTTGCTTTTACAACTCCTAAACTCTGTCTTCTGTCTCCCTAAGTCAGTAAGACTATGCTTTCTGAGTGAGTTCTAGGTGTCATATAGACTAAATCCTGCTGCCCAGTGAAAATCCACAGTTTCACTTAGCATGGTTCCCTTCTTTTAAGGGTTGAATTTACTGACATTTCTGCCTGGTTGTGTCACTTTACGTGTCTTAAAATTTAAAAAAAAAATTTGTTCAGAGTTTATACTTGTTATCTGTGAGAGGTTTAATCTGATACTTGTTATTCTGCCATTCCTAGAACCAAAATCTGCCATCATTTCTCACCTAGAGTACTGTTGTAGCCTCCTGTTGTTCTTCCTGCTGCCTCTCTTGCCTCTTTAGTCAATTTTCTACTTGGCAGTCCCCTTTTAATATTTAAGTACAATTATTAACTCTTCTGATCAGATCCCTCTATTTATTTCTCACCCCATTCAGAGTAAAAGTCAAACTATTTGCAATGACCTACAAGGCTTTTTGCAATCATCTCTCTGACCATATCTCATATTTCATGCTTTGCTTCCTTGCAATGCTAACACAAAGCAGGCATGCTCCTACCTCAGAGTGTTAGTCCTGACTGTTCCACCTGCCTAAAATGCTCTTCCTACAGATAGTCACCTTGCTCACTCTTTTACCAAAATTGTGTCTTGGCTCAAATGTCACCTCAGTGAGGCCTTTCCTGAATATTCTTTTTAAAATGCATCCCACCATCCCTCCACACACACACCCCACTACCATCACTACTAAAAATGACATTCCTTATCTCCCTTCCATGCTTTAGTTTTTTTCACAACACTTTTCACCACTGAAATATTATCAGTTTACTATTATTTTATGTATCATATGTTTACTTCTACTGAAAAAAAAAGAGCTGTATAAGGGCAAGAATTTTTTCTATTTTGTTCATTTCTGTATGTCCAGTTCCTTGCAGTGCCTTGCAGTTAGAAGATACTCATTGAACATTTGTGCAAAGAAAATTGAGTAAATTTGGATCACCCCTCTTTGTCAGGCAGGGTCTACATTTAAACCATAGATACAAATTTACTAATGGAGTTTGATTTCTCCTAATTGGGGATTGGGTGATAAGACAGGTTTACCAAATTCTTACTGTAAGATAAACCTATGTCCTGTTTGTTCCAGAAATAGCAAACAGCAATAATAAGCTTCATTCTACCATCTAGCTCTAGATTTATACAAAAATTTAAACACAGTATAGTACAAAGCACTCTGAACTTTATTAGCTGCATGGCTTTGAGTTATTTAACAACTCTGAGCCTCTATTTCCTCATCTGGAGAGGAGGATAATGGCCATTATCCAGGTTTATGAGTTAAGATTAGGTTAAGTTAGGAGTGAGAGAAAAATCCCAAATAATAGTGGTTCAAACAAGATAGACACTTATCTCATCTGTATGTCTGGAGGCTGGTCCAGAGTCAGTATAGCACTCCATGACTTTAGGGACTGTGGCTCCTTTCATCTTATGATTCTGCCCTTAGTAGTCCTTGAGCTACTATGCTTACTCTCCAGCCAGCAGCCAGGAGGAAAAAAGCAGAGAATAAAGGGTCTCAAAGTCTATCACAATGCATTCATCCAACAACCAGAACTTAGATAAAGGGCCACATACATGGTGGCTGGAAAAGGTAGTGTTTGTTTTGCATGGCCATCAGGGCAGCTGAAAATTTTAACTCCATGGAAGAAAGGGAAGAATGACTATTAGGGGCCAAATGGTAGCCTTCCACTCTAGTTTACTATAAAGATTAAATGTCTGTAAGATTCATGACATCTAAAATCATGTAAACTATTGACCGGGCACGGTGGCTCGCGCCTGTAATCCCAGCACTCTGGGAGGCCGAAGCAGGTGGATCACCAGGTTAGGAGATCGAGACCATCCTGGCTAACCCAGTGAAACTCCGTCTCTACTAAAAAAATACAAAAAATTAGCTGGGAGTGGTGGTGGGCGCCTGTAGTCCCAGCTACTTGGGAGGCTGAGGCAGGAGAATGGCGTGAACCTGGGAGGCGGAGCTTGCAGTGAGCCAAGATTGCCCCACTGCAATCCAGCCTGGGAGACAGAGCAAGACTCCGTCTCAAAAAATAAAATAAAATAAAATCATGTAAACTTTAACCATCTTTCTCCCTTTTGTGTATTAAATTATCTCTTGGTCTTTCCCTTTCAAGAAAACAAACTAACATTATTTAATCCTTTTCTTCTGGTTCCTACCTTTTACACATTTCTGCTGTACTTTTCCTAAATCTTCGTAGTATTATCCAACTCTTACAGGTAGAGATTAAATCTACTCATACCAATCTAAGTAGGGCTGTTACTGATGATGCTAAGCCACTGATGTCCATTCTTGGGTGGGCCTGTCATCAGCATAGGGATTTCCTAACAAAACCATTTTGATTGCTGGTTTCAAATGAGGTCTCTCAGATTCACAGGATTCTTTGTGATAAGATGTAGTAAGGTACGTGTACCTTATTTTATGTGTGTTTGCTGTAATACCTTTAGCCCTTTTATCAGCGCTGTATGCAAAGTGAGGGCCTGGGATGTCACTAACAGTCCCTAAAAGATCAATGTTTTTATTTCAAATGGAGGAATTCTTTTTTCAAATAAAATCTTACAGATATGCCCCAAACAGATTAAAGCATAATTTTACTCTGTGTGTTGTGGAGGGGGAGCTCTTTGCAAAAGACTGGTCCAGATCATCTCTTAACTTGTTGAGAATCAGTTAGGAAGGGATGAGTGCTACTGATTACAAAAAGGGATTGGCAAGGAAGTCAAAGTTCTCATTCACTTGGATAACTCCAGCTATACCTGAGGCCTGGTTGCCTGGCAACTCAACCCAGTCAGGACAAACCCTGCCAATATTTCCCTAAGAATCTTCCAGTAAAAGAGGCAGAGCTAATGATTAAAAGTCAAGAAACCAATCCACAGAGTTATAAATAAAACATAAGCAAACACACTGCCATTAGGCCCTTAATGTGTTTGGAGCCCTGAGGACAGAGCGGGCAGGATAGGCGAGGAGAGTGAGGTCAGCTGCCTGCCCTCCAGGACAAATAATAAATGGTCTTGTTTCCGAACCATTCTGTTACCCCTGTCCCTACACAGCCTTGCCTTTCCCACTTCACTTTTCTTGCTATAGTATTGTCTTCTGCATTTCACCTTCTCTCTTCTAGCCTTTTCCTTAGTTCACATTTAAAAAATTGTTTTGCCTGCACTTTGCCAAAAGTGCAGTTCTGACTTTTCTTATACTTTTATGTACCTTCTTCTTGTTTACATGTCTGATGCAGTGTGGGAGCAGTTTTGGGGACATTTGGCAATGTCTGGAGATATTTTTGTTTGTTACAACTTGCAGGGAGAGGGTGCTACTGGCATCCAGTGTGCAAAGGCCAAGGATGCTCTAAACATCCTACTATTAACATCTTACTATATATGGGTCAGCCCCCTACAACAAAGGATTATCTGGCCCCAGATGTCAATAAGTGACAAGATTGAGAAATCCTGGTCTAATGCATATATTCTCAACAGGGATAGTAACTTAAATATGGCTCAACCTACCTGACAGAGTCTTATTTTCCAGTATTTATATTCCGGAAACGGGCTGGTGAGATGGGAGCGTTCCTTGGACCCCTTATGGGACTTGGGACAGGGGTGTGGCTCACCTACTTGGCCGCGGCACTCAAACCCCTTATGAGAGGGGGAGCACACAAGTGAATGGGTGCTGGGGCCAGGGTGAGCGCTTTTGGGCTTCAGCCCCATGGTAGTGTCTAGGGGTGTATTACAATTAATGCTATTTTAGCAATTGCTGTCCACGGACAGCTACGTGTTAACCAGCTCAGTGGAGAGTCAGGGTGACAGCCTTTTACACCCTGCCCTCTTGGTACCCGAGTCCTTGTCCAGCATCCAGGAAGAATCAGGACACACAGACTTGAAGGATGGTGAATGCAGAGGTTTTATTGAGTGATGATGGTGGCTCTCAGTGGAATGCAGAGCTGGAAAGCGGATGGAGTGGGAAGATAATCTTCCCCTGGAATTCGGCCGTCCCCAGCCAAACTCTGCTCTGACCATCCAGCTACCCCTTCTACATTCAGACACTTCTTCTCTTCTCTCCCTCTCTGCCATGCTGCTCTGTTCCTCTGCCAGAGGAGTTTGGGATTTTTATGGGTACAGGATGGGGGTATGGCAGGCCAGGGTGGTTTTGAAAAAAGCAACATTCAGGCAGGAAAATAGGGATGTGAAGTTTTCAGTTAGGGCCTTGGGCCCAGGCTTGTGGGTGGGGCCTTTGCCAGGGAACAACCCTCTTCTACCCAGTATTTCCCTGCCTTCTGTCCTTATCAGTGTCGATTGGAAAAATAAATGTCTACAGGGACTCTTTATCAGAACAATAATTTATAATGTTGAGAAACACTGGTCTAGTGTTAGGAAACTTTCAGGGTGAAGAGTCAATTGTATCAAACCTTTATAAAGCACACAGTTACAATTCAGCAAAAGCTGGTTCCTAGCATTGATAGACAGCAATCTCCTAGAATTAAACGTGAGTTTAAAAGAGATTGATTTTGATATTCCCAGGGAGAAGGGCAGGCAGGCCAGCCATCCTGGGGTCTGGTCCTTCTTTGAGAAAAGCATATAAGCATACATATTTTCAGGCCCCAAAGACACCCTAAGATGTCTAGGGCTGGTAATTTACTTAATGACACCCAGGGACCTAGAAGAATTAATGTGCATTTAAATGATGAGCTTTTATGGTTTCCCCAAAGGTCATAATGTATTTGGCAGTTGAGCACCGTGATGTTGGAAACAAAGGCAATCATTTCAAGAACATCTCATTTGTATCAATGAAAATTTTTCTCTCAACTTTAATATGTTTCTTTTTGTTTAAAGGTATCTCTTATTAAAAAGGCTAGAAATCGCTTTTTTTTTCTCTGAAGGTCAAAAGTAAATGTATCTTGTTGGGACATTTTATCCCACCCGGGGTATTAGAAAAGTCATTATATATATATAAAAAATATATAATTATATATGTAATTTTATAAATTTTTAAATTGTAATATTTATTACATTTAAATTATTTATAAAATTCATAAAATTTTACATTTATAAAATTATAAATATAAATTATATATAATATACTAAACATATATAATATATTAGACATATATTATATATAATATATTAAATATAAATATCCCCAGACTCTAAGTCAATAACTTCTGTTTCCTCTAACCAATTGATTTTTTAAATTATTAGTATAATTTTTATCCAACCTGGTTGGTATCCCTAAGATATTAAACTTTTACTAAGAAAACAGGGTGGATGGTAAGAACACATAAAATCTGGCTGACTTTCAGTTTGACATTCTTTCATTAAAGATTGTTTGGTTTTACCGAGCTCTTCCACCTCGTGCCTGGGAACAGTCTCAAGCAATGGTTCACTCAACAAGAGGAGAGATGCTCTTTAGTGGGTGGAGCCCACAGCAGTGCCTAGACTCTCACTGATGAAGAGTCAAAACCTTTTTTTTTTTTTGAGACCGAGTTTCACTCTTGTTGCCAGGCTGGAGCGCAATGATGCGATCTGGGCTCACTGCAAACTCCGCCTCCCGGGTTCAAGCGATTCTCCTGCCTCAGCCTCCCGAGTAGCTGGGATTACAGGCATGAACCACCACACCCGGCTAATTTTGTATTTTTAGTAGAGACAGGGCTTCTCCATGTTGGTCAGGAGGGTCTCAAACTCCCGGCCTCAGGTGATCCGCCCGCCTTCGCCTCCCAAAGTGCTGGGATTACAGGTGTGAGCCACCGTGCCTGGCCTAAAACTTTTCTTTAAATCAAAAAATAGGCCTGTAATCCCAGCACTTTGGGAGGCCCATACAGGAGGATCACTTGAGTTCAGGAGTTCCAGACCAGCCTGGCCAACATGGTGAAACCCCATCTCTACTAAAAATAGAAAAAAAATTAGCTGGGCATGGTGGTGCATGCCTGTAATCCCAGCATCTCGGGAGGCCAAAGCAGAGGAATTGCTTGAACCCATTAGGCAGAGGTTGCAGTGAGCTGATATTGTGCCACTGCACTCCAGCCTGGGCGACAGAGCAAGAATCTGTCTGAAAAAAAAAATCAATTAATTAATTAATTAATAGTCTTACAACTTTGGGGACAAAGTTTGAGGCCTTGTTGGTCAGAGTAATTAAGTGGAGGTCGAACCAGGAATGTGGCCTCCTTGATCCACACAGCTGCAGAAGACTCTGGGAAGAAAGGCTCCTCACTTCCTGTAACTGTGGGTTGCTCCATTGGGACTTCCTGTCACAGGCTGTCCTGAAGGCTCCAAACATTCCCCCCTCCAACTTCTCCCTCCTACCAGTTTCCATCATCTTTAAACAAAAGAATACGGGAAAGTGAGCTCATTCAACTTTGATGGCAAAAAGATATTTTACAGCGGACCAACTTTTTAAATGAATTCACATCTTGAAAAATAATTTACTAAGTAATTTTAGTTAGAGCTTAAAAAATACAATGAGCTAGGAATGGAAAAGAGAGAAAGACCTTTATAAAGCCAAGATAGAAGTTTTATTGGATTCCATTCCAAAAATAGAGTTCCTGTGTACAGCTCTATGGATATGATTCAACTTACTGTGACAATGTAGGGCAAAACCAGTTAGTTTTATGTACAAACAATATTTTCCTTTTAAACTTGTCCTGATATTCCAAAAGAGGAAATTATTTTGGCATTGTGAAAGTTTGCTTTTCTGATTCCTTTGAGAATAATTTAATAGTTTCATGGTACTTTATATTTTTTAATTTTAGTGTCATCAGTGTTCATTTAATAGTACATAGAACATGTGTTGTGCTTGTTAAATAAATAAATGATCTAAGGGCCTAGAATGACAATTCCATAGCAAATTGCAATGACATAAATAAAATGCATGTGCAATTTTGTAGGCAGAACCCTTCCCACTTCCAAGTAAAGTACAAAGAAAAATTTAATGTTTTATATTGATCATATGAACCAAAAGGAAGTGTTCTGGCCCCAAAGCTCAAAGCTGTTGATGATAATGCTTTAAATTTGTGTGCATTTCACCAGTTTTAAAACAGTTTCTTCAAATATGTTATCTCATTTGATTTTCTCAGCAATTCATCATGTAGGCCTGGCAAACATTATGTGGTGAATATGGAACTTACAATTCAGGAGTGGAAAATGGAATTTGTCTATAGTTTACATTAATTTCTGACTCTTGGTGGGTGGGAGTAGTTAACTTTCAGGGCTCCACCAGCACATAATTTCCAGAAAGCACCTCTTCCAGATAGTAGAATCACAAAACACACCTTGGGTGGACAAATTACAAAGCCTCTTCCTCTAGGTGCAGTGCTTGGGCTGCAGAGAACACTGGATTTTTACCCACCCTCTACCCCCATCCCTTGGCCAGGCACTTTTGTGTAGGACACAACCAACACAACACAGGGTGATGTCAGTCATCCTGACAACGTTCATCTTCCTTGAGCTTTTCCCCTATCCTGCCAGTGTAGGTGCCAGAGTTCTTGGACACTGAACTCTGTTCCCGGAAGTTCCCAGACCTCAAGAAGGGGTGGTGGGAGAGCAGAAGAACAGCTTCTGCTTGTTCATACACGTCACCATGGTGACGTCCATCATGCTTGTCTGTGTAATGCCTGCAGGCCTGGCACCTCTCTGCTGTTTCCATGCCTCATGTGCGCCAGTGAAATGTTTGCTCAGAAGCATGTGGTCCCTTCCCCAGATGCACTATGCAGCCATTTTCCCTTGGCCTTCTGGAAGGGGCTGCACTTGTGCCCTCTGCTCCTGGTTCTCACCCTCTCAGACCTCAACTCTGTTTCCACCTCTCACTCTCACTTGCTTTCTCTCTCTCACATTCTGCTTTTTCTCCCCACAAATGGGACAGGTAATCCTTTTCTGGTCTAGAGAGAGAGAAAAAAAAGGGGCAAAGAAGCATTTCCTTAAGGGCTCAGACTTTTGCAGGACACAGCCAGAACTTCCTCTACTGTTCCAGACCTGCTACAAATGTTTCTGGAGACCAAGAGAGTAGGACTGACCAACACTTTGAAAAGAGAGAAGCAAAAGGAAGGAATACAAGGTAGAGAAAATTATTCAACCACACAATGCTAATTTTTAAATGAAAAATATATTGCTATAAAGGTTGAAACCAGAATAAAACTGACAATAGATGCTGTTGGCTCTTTTACATCACAGAATGTTAAAGTGAACTAAAGATTAAATTTCCAGAGGGAAAGGATAGGCTGAGCCTGTCTATGATTTAAGTGGACTGTCAGAACAATATGGTCAAGGATAAGAATGAAGCTGCTCTATTTTTTGTTTTCCACTCTATTGGGTAAAAGGTCATCTCTTGGGAGTAATGGAATCCAGCAGTCTCTGACAGGTCATCAGGCAGCAAGGCTCTCTGGGAAAGACTGAAACTACACCACTAACCTGGGCGTGTACACCTTCCTCCCCCACTGTGCTTTTCCCATATGTTGAGCATTTTGAAGGCATGGCATTCTCAGAAGAACCCTTTGATGTATAACTTTTCTCATGGAGAGTAACGTGTGCTTTAGAATACACAGGAAAGGCTTTACACCCAGAAAGCAAGTGAGATGGTGGTGGTGGTAGGGGTTAGGAAAGTGACATCTCTAAGGAAGAAGTGCCACCTCTAGTGAGACCTAGAGGTTGAATAGCAATTATCCAGGAGAAGAGTGTGAGGTTGAGAGAGGAGCTAAGGGAATAGCATATATTTAATAAAAGGCCTGTAAGCAAGAAGACATGGCTCTTGGTGGGACTGAAAGTAGTTTGCTGTTGCTACAGCAGAAAGTGTAAATGAAGGATAAGAGAATGGAATGAGGGAGAAGAGACTGGAAAATTAAGGTCAAGAAGTGAGCAGAAGCTGATTTGCTGTCTATAACTGAAAATCCAAATAACAGTGGCTTTAATAAGATAGGCATTCGTTTTTCTCATGTAGTAAGTAAGAGGCGGGAAGATATTTGCTAGTATTGGTTGGGTGGCTCAGCATCAAGACTAAGGTCTCAGTAAGTCTCCTGGCCCTTCTTACATGGCTCCAGCCAGCACTTCCACTTTTCAGGAATGAGGGAAAAAGCAAAAAGAGCAAAAACGGTGCATACCTGTGGAGCCTAACTTTTTAAAGGAGTTTTCCTGGAAGTCCCACTCTAAAACTTCAAATTATATCTCATTGCCCAGAATTCTGTCACACGGAGGCCTATTTTTTTCTCCTAAACATCTCACAAAAATCTAGGGATTCACTCTGCACGGATACATTTGGTACATATTTCCACTTTCTTGAACCAATCCCTGCGGCAAATGCACTGACTGGCCCAATCCAGGCCTTTGTTATGTTATTCCTGAACTACAGCAGAAATTCCTGATGTCATTTCATTTTGCCAGGCCCCTGCTCAAGAGACTTCAAAGACTTTCCATTACCTGAAGGCTGACATTCAAGACTCTCCTCCAGTGTGCCTTCAATTAAATTAAACAAAAGCATATTAAGTACCAACCACATGCAAACCAATTTAGTCATTAACTTCCTTTCTCAAGCCCTCTGTCACAGGCGGCCTGGAAGAGTCAATGCTCTCTAAACAAGCATCGTCATTTCCATCCCCTTGTCTTGTTCTCTCCTTTTCCTCATTCATCCTATGCATTTTACCTACTTTACTCTAGTGTTCCCTTCAGGACCCCGCTGAAGTCCTAGCTTTTCCTGGATGCCGTCCTGCACAATAACTTAGGAAGATTCATTCCTCTCTGTAATTCATAACACTTATTGTCGGGCACCTCTCAACCAGCAATTAGAATTGGACGGCCTTGTTGCTACTTTTTTTATTTTATTTATTTAGTTAGTTTTTTTTGAGACGGAGTCTCACTCTGTTGCCTAGGCTGCAGTGCAGTGGCACAATCTCGGCTCACCATAACCTCCGCCTCCCGGGTTCAAGCGATTTTCCTGCCTCAGCCTCCTGAGTAGCTGGGACTACAAGTGCGTGCCACCACGCTGGGCTAATTTTTGTACTTTTAGTAAAGATGGGGTTTCACTGTGTTGGTCAGGCTGGTCTTGAACTCCTGACCTCGTGATCCTCTTGCCTCGGCCTCCCAAAGTGCTGGGATTACAGGCGTGAACCACTGCACCCGGCCTGCTGCTTCTTTTTTTTTTTTTCGAGACGGAGTCTTGCTCTGTCACCAGGCTGGAGTGCAATGGCGCGTTCTGGGCTCACTGCAACCTCCGCCTCCCGGGTTCAAGCGATTCTCCTGTCTCAGCCTCCCGAGTAGCTGGGAATACAGGCGCCTGCCACCATACCCAGCTAATTTTTGTCTTTTTACTAGAGACAGAGTTTCACCATGTTGGCCATCTCGATCTCTTGACCTTGTGATCCGCCCGCCTCGGCCTCCCAAAGTGCTGGGATTGCAGGCATGAGCCACCAGGCCCGGCCACCGGCCTGCTTCCTTTTTTAAATAGTGTAATTGAACTCTCGTTCTAAGTTCCATAAAAGCATGTCCTATCTTATCTTTACACTTGCCTCAGAAAACCTTCAAATATGTTTGATGTTGAAGAAAGAAAACTAATAAACAAATGAAAGATTATAACTTAACTGCTCTGAAAATGTTCAGTTGCAATTTGAAGATCATTAGGAAGCTTCCTTGGATTGAACTTGTTGCTTGTCCTTGGAACTGTGTAGTCAGATTTCCATTGAGGAGCAAATCCCCCAAATATTTGGGGGAACTTAGTCTATTACACCTCCAGTTCCTTCTATATATTTATTACAATCACTTTCTTCTGTAGATGGAGCAATGACTTCATAGAGCCTTAAACAAATATTAGCCATTGCTCTAAACAGGTGTTAATAACATGGGATGCCTAGCAGGTTAGTATCTGTCCAAGCAAATGGAACATATGTGATTGCAAAATTTCTTGTTGAAATAAAAGATATTCAGATTCCATGGTTACTATTTAATTCTGCTGCATAGCAAGTGGATATCTTTAGAAAAGTAAGTTGATTGCCAAGTATAATTATACCTAATAGTAGTCAAATTGCCTAAGAAAACCTCATAAAACTCTGGAGAGTTAATCCTGAATATAGCAGACAATTCAAGTTAGACTTCTATTGTATCAGTGATCAAACTAGCTTTATGGCATAATTCTCAAAATACATAAAATAGGCCTCTGACATTTAGTAAAACTGATGACTTTAAAGACTATGATCATACAATGATTAAGTGCAAGGTGGGTGTGTAAGGTTTGCTTTTTTCATGTGGCATTTGAATAGGAATGAAAATCCTTTCCTAGGCCTGCTGGCGTTGATTATATATGGACTTGGTTTTGAGTACAGAAAAATCTAGGTCATGAATTAGGCCTGAAATAATTTTTCTAAAATAGAGAGTATTTTGCTTTCCTACTTTCAAATAATTTTGTTCAACAAGACTAAGCTACATGCTAAAAATTAATGTTATAATCTTTCACAATGTGAACTAATCTCAGCATCTCTCGTGCTTTCTGGAATTGGGTCAAGATTTACATTGAGGCCTTTTTATGTCCTTCTGCCTCTGGATAGCAGCTTAGAGCCTGAGGCTACTCAGGCCTTATTAGCAGCATGAAATGGGGCAGACAGCAGAAAGTCTTTCCCCCAGGATCAGTGGTCACCTGTGGCTGTTTGTTTGCATGACTAGTGAATTCTAACTTTAGAATTATCCACCTGTCTTACCTCCCATATCTACATACTGTGCCTGGAAACACCAACCCTCCTGCCTTAGTTAAAAGCCCTCAATATTTTTCTTTTCTCTTTAGATCTATAGAAGCATCAAGGAACACTCTCCATCAACAATGTAAACTACACTCCTGGTCAGACCTTGACTTAAGCCTTTCCTTCCCATTCAATGCCTGCCCTGGTGTGACATTTATGGGACCCTCTACTGTGCATATCTTGCCTCCTAGTGAATTTGGAACATACAACTATTAAGAGCTGCTGTAGAATCATTCTTATCCTATGAGGTCAGGACTGGGAGTTGGTAGGTAAATTACAAAGTTAGGTCAGGCACGGTGGCTCATGCCTGCAATCCCAACACTTTGGGAGGCCGAGGTGGGCGGATCACAAGGTCAAGAGATAGAGACCATTCTGGCTAACATGATGAAACCCTGTATCTACTAAAACACACAAAAATTAGCCCGGCGTGGTGGTGGGCGCCTGTAGTCCCAGCTACTCGGGAGGCTGAGGCAGGAGAATGGCGTGAACCCGAGAGGTGGAGCTTGCAGTGAGCCGAGATCGCGCCACTGCACTCCAGCCTGGGCGACGGAGCGAGGCTCCGTCTCAAAAAAAAAAAAAAAAAAAAAAAAAATTTCTTAAGAGTGAAGTGTGTGGTATAATGATAATAATATACGGCTATCAATGATTGAGCTATTATGATGTGCCTGGCACTGTTCCAAGTACTTTACAGGATTATCCCCTCCGTTATCCTCTCATGAACACTAATTTCCACTGGGCCCCTTACTGCTGCCCAGCCACCTTACTATATTTTCCTAGTTTATTCCTATTTCCTAGAAAACTGTTTCATAACTTTATACCTCTCCTCAATCTCCCTACCCTCCAAGTCCTTATGCTGATGATGAACTTGCTTCCTATTTCACTGAGGAAAACACAGCTATGAGAAGAGCTCCTGTCACCTGGTGTGCATACCTACCTGTACCCGTACCTCCGTTCTCTGCCTGCCTTCTTGCTTCCGTGAACCAACTGCCTGCACCCCTGTCTGTGGCCAGCTCCTCTACCTGGATGGATAGATAACTTAGTAGGATAACACACTTATCCCATCCTTCCCTGCCACATACTGAAAGACTGACCTCCTTCAATTATTTCCTCTCCTCAGAGCATCATCATTTTTTCCCCTTTCTTCTTACCGTTTCCATCAACATACACATCTGCTATACTTTTTACTATATCAAAAAATTTTTAAAAACCTAAAAAACATTTTTTGGACCCCATATCCCATACCAATTATTTTCCCAATTCTTGGCTCTTCTTGATGGAGTTGTTCATACTCTCCAGTTTCTTTCCTTTCCTTCCTTTCTCTCTCAAACCCTCTGTAATTGGGCTTTCGCTCCCACTACTCCACCATAACCTTTATTTTCAAGGTAGCCAATAAACTTTGCATGACTAAATCCAGCTGTCAATTCTCTGTCCTCGTCTTGTTTGACTTACCAGCGGTATTTAACAATGCTAGTCATTCGTTCCTCCTTAAAACACATTAATCTCTTTGTGTCTAGAACTGTCTTCAGTTTTGCTCCTTCATCACCGTCTGTTCTTTCTTAGGCTCCTTTGCCAGTTGCTCCTTCTCTCTCTAATCCTTAGACATTAGAGGACCTCAGTCTGCATCACTTCTCTGTCCATAATCCCTGGATGATTTCATAGATTTAAATATATGTTTAAACTGATGGTGCCTTCATTTATATCTCCAGTTTTGATTCCTTCCTTGAATTCTAGACAAATGTCTATTCAATATCTCCATTTGCATGACAATAAGCATCTCAAGCTCAATACAGCCAGTTCTGCTGTAACATTTTAAAACTGTTAATTTCTTCCAACGCGATTGATACACTAGGGTATAATTTGAGCGTAACACCAATTTTACCTTTGCTTATGTGCAATTTTGTCTGTGAGAAATGCTAGGTGAATGCAGAAAACTGCATCCAGCTGAGCCACATAGGAATACACAAAATGCACACATGCATGCACCAACCATCAGCCACCTCACCTCGAAGTGTGTTATCCTACTAAGTTATGTCTGGCTATTCTTTTGCCTTCATGAACTTTTCTATGTAAAAACAAAAACAAAAAAAACTCTCATTCTATATCCCAAACATAGATCTAAGTGTCCTGGCTCAAAAACACCAAGCAGTGCATACAAAAGGAGAATTTTTTTTTTTTTTTTTGAGGTGGTGTCTCACTCTGTCTTCCAGGCTGGAGTGCAATGGCACGATCTCAGTTCAGTGCAGCCTCTTTCTCCC
The DNA here is from genome assembly GCF_000001405.40 of Homo sapiens. Lineage (NCBI taxonomy): Eukaryota > Metazoa > Chordata > Mammalia > Primates > Hominidae > Homo > Homo sapiens. Next base: position 191,473,658 of record NC_000002.12, read on the forward strand.
AAACTCCCAGGTTCAAGCGATTCTCCTGCCTCAGCCTCCTGAGTAGCTGCGATTACAGGCATGCACCACCATGCCTGGCTAATTTTTGTATTTTTAGTGGAGAGAGGGTTTCACCATGTTGGCCAGGCTGGTCTCAAACTCCTGACCTCAAGTGATCTGCCCACCTCAGCCTCCCAAAGTGCTGGGATTACAGGCGTGAGCCACCGCACCCAGCCTGGAGAAATATTTAAGTATCGAGGAGATGCTTGAAATAACAATGTGGGGTTTAAAAAAAAAATTGGGAGGATATAAGCAATCTTTGTTTTGCACAGCACCACATTCATTGAAACCCATGCAGATTGGAAGGAATGATGTACTCCCTTTCTAGTTGACAAATCTTAGCATGAACAAAGTTCTGATACATGTTTCTGTTAACACAGCGTCATGCAGAACAGCGTCATGCAGGATTGGCTATATGTGATATCTCCTGAGCAATGGGCATAAGGGAATTCACAGTGTGGACAATGACAGACAATGCCACAAAAATGAAATTTTAAAAATTCCATGCTTAGGACAACTTTGACAGTAAGAACAAAGACTAGAAATACAAAATAAATGGAAAGATAATTGAATGTATAGATTAAAGACCAAATAGTAAAAAGTACAGGAAAAATCTTTCTAATGAGAAGGCACTATCTATACACAAAAGACTCAAAAGGAAATCTCCAATCCTCAAATCCTGCAGAAGTGACTTTTCATGCTATTGATGCCTCGTTGCAAGATTTCAGACATTGCTACAGTTTCCAAAGCCTCCAGCTATCAGACATATGAGGAATTTGCAGAAAAATTTCCAGCAATGCAGAAGTTAAAGTAGATAGTTATACTTTGGACCAAATTTGCAATTTTGATGAAACAGGTAACTATTATAAATGCATACATTTGAGGACCTACATCTCAAAGGAAGAGCAACTTGTACGAGGATTCAAGCCTGAGAGAGCTCACTTAACTGTGATGTTCAATGCCAATTTGAACAAAGGACTGTGAGGCCACACCCATCCACATCTGGTGTTACTGAAAAAAAACTTCCTATTATTTTTCAGATAACCCTATTTCACCACTTCCCAATAACAGCCCTGCAGCCTACTTCCACACACAAACTTCAGGTCTTTATAAGGTGAGGTACCTCACTCACTGATGGTAGTATTTATGCATATCTTTACCATTTAGTATGTGTAAAACTGTATTTCTATTTGCATTAGGTTTCTTTCTTTTTTAAATGTGTCACTGAGGACATCCTTGAGTATTATGCCCTCAATGCCATTTTTTTCCCGCATAAGCCTGGTGATTTTTATTTGTAATTTTGTGGTAATATTTAGGAGCACATATTATAGCAGAACTGACTGTATATCCAAAACGATATTCCTAGTCTTTTCCCTAAAGCTTTCCTCAGCTGAGCTAACATAACTCCAAACAGTTGCTCAGACCAAAAACTTTAAGGTTATCTTTGAGTTGTATTTTTCCCTTAAACCTATATCCATTCCAGCAGCAAATCCTACAGGCTCTATTTTTAAAATATACGCAGAATCTGGCCTTTTTTCCTCACTCCCTCTACAACATCCCCCTAGCCACCACGAACTCTCTTGTGAACATCTCACCGGCCTTCTAAAGTCTCCTCACTTTACCCTTCAGCTATACCTGATCTGGTGATGTTGTTAACACCTGGCATACACTCAATCATGTGCTCAACACCTTCCAGTGGCTTCTATGTCACCCAAGATCAAGCCCAGAGTCCTTTTAGTGCTATAAGGCCTGACAGGATCTGAGTCTCCCGCTTTAGCGCCTTCCATCCCTCACCTGCTGCTTTCTTCTGCTCCCACCCCACCGGCCCTCTTGGTATTTTCTGAACATGCCAGGCTCAGTGCTGCCCCAGAGCCACTGCACTGCTGTTCCTTCTCACCGGTGTGGTCGTGCCCAGGGATCAGCATAGTCCATTCACCTCCTCCAACTTTTGCCCAAACACCAGCTTGTCAATAAAGACTTCTCTGACTACCCTATTTAGAATCACAACCCTAGTTCCCCAAGTCACAGTCCTTTCTATTTCCAGTATTACTTTATTCTTCTTTATAATGTGTATCACCACTAAACATATTATATATAGTATTTTATGTATTTGTTACTTTGTTTTCTGTCAACTGGTGGCAGTTTTAAAACATGACTGCAGATTCTTCGACAATTCTTTCATAGAGAGGTAGTTTCTATGGCCCCTTTGCTTGAATCTTGGCAGCATGGTAGGAATGACAATATGTGACTTCCGAAGCAATGCCATAAGGGGCCATGCGGTGTCTGCCTTGTGCACAGAAACACTTGTTCATAGATCCTGACTACGCTGAGGCAGCCATGCTGTGAGGAAGCCCTAGTCAAATGGAGAGGTCATATGTGGATGCCCAGTCATAGTATCAGTCAGGACTAGTCTTTAATCATGCTTCATCAGGTGCTCAAAATCTAGTGGAAAGATGGATGTATAAGTAAACAATTACAATATCAAGTGATAGATGCTACAATGAGATGTTTCCAGAAAGCTGTGGGAAATGATGGGAGAGTGTAATTAATTTTCAAAGAGGACTGTGCGGTGTTAGAAAGTAAAAACACCTCCAAATAAGGAAGAGGAACAGGCTATGACCTAAGGCTTGCTTGGACCAGTATAAGCATGCCAGGGCAAATATTTATGCAAACTTGTGGGAGTTAAGAACACAAAGTATATTGATTTCTTTATTACGGCTAGCAGATATTTTAGAATGTTAGCACAGGTCTTTGAATAAATTTTGCTTCTAAGAGAAGTTACATTTGTTCTTAATTAGATGCGGAGGAAAGTCTCTTTGAAGAGGAACTTCTACTTCACTTTTTACAGAGGCTCAGAGATGAGGTGACATTTGAGTTGCCTTGAAGGATAAGCAGGAATTTGCCAGGCAATAGATAAAGGAAAAAGAACTAGACTCTTGGCCTGCTCTTCTTTCCAACACTCAGATCGTTTTGAGGGCAGAGAAGGTCCATCCTTCTGATAACTGGAATCAACAGCTGACCAGAAGCATAAGCTGAGATGTGTAGTGAATATTGGTACTACAGGAATAAAACCACCAGGCTTAAGCAAGACTGTAGATGGAGACCAGCATGGCATTGCCCTTTTCTGGGCCTGTTTTCTCATCTGTAAAAGACAGAGGTTAAGTAAGAGATGTAGAGTAGGTTATTCTCACTCTTCAATTCTGTGATGCTAGGACTTCCCTAAATGTGATTCTCTGAAGGTTAAATAGTCTCCACTCCCTCAACTATTCCTCATACGATGTTTTCCAAGATTATGTACCACACATGTGCCTTCCGTTGCGTGGATTCTACTTTGTCAACGTCCACTTCAAAACATAGCATACAGCACTGTGATGCCCAGAATGAATGTAATACTCCAGACATGCACCCGCCAGAGGGCAGACTCTGAGGCAATATCCTTTACCTAGATATTGTACTTCAATTGGTGCAGCACAAAGCTTCATGAGTTGTTTTCCAGTCACACCATAGGTTCAAAGCCTTGTTTGCATGAACTCTTAATCTATCCATGTATTGTTAATTGATCTATCCTATGTATTGTTGATACAGGAGTTAAGAAAGAATTACTTCGGCAGATAGCAAGGGCATGTGAGTCCTCAGTAAGGCTTTTCTTTTTAATGAAATGCAGCCCCAAATCATTTCTAACAGAACAGCCTGCAAGCTGTGAGCTTGCATGGACGAATGCTGGCAGGAACTAAGGACTAGACATTTTCTTTTTTTTATTTTTGGAGACGGAGTCTCGCTCTGTCACCCAGGCTGGAATGCAGTGGCGCGATCTCGGCTCACTGCAAGCTCCGCTTCCTAGGTTCAAGCCATTCTCCTGCCTCAGCCTCCTGAGTAGCTGGGACTACAGGCGCCCGCCACCACGCCCAACTAATTTTTTTTTTTTTTGTATTTTTAGTAGAGACGAGATTTCACCGTGTTAGCCAGGATGGTCTGGATCTCCTGGCCTTATGATCCGCCCACCTTGGCCTCCCAAAGTGCTGGGATTACAGGCGTGAGCCACCGCGCCAGGCCAGGACCAGATATTTTCAAGATGGCGGCTCCATCTTCCCTTCTCTGCCCAGCCCGGTGTGCTGTAAGGAGCAGACAAGATGGCACTGATCAACTTGCATAGGAAGATTAGGGTGGGACAACTAGCCTTCCCCACGTGCTATGTAAACATCATACCTAATCAAACTAATCTATGAGTCCTATGAAAATCGGACATCCCCTCCTCAAACTGGACTATGAAACTCGGCATATTCGCCATCAGCAGGCCCCTTCCACTTGGAGACCTCTCTTGGGCACCCCGCTTTCTCAGCATGAGGAAGCTTTCTCTCTCTCTCTTCTTCTTTGTCTATTAAACTTTCTGCTTCTAAACCCACTCCTTGTGTGTGTCCGTGTCCTAAATGTTCCTGGCACGCGAAGACAAAGCCCAAGGTATATGCCCCAGACAACAAAGCCGCTTCATTGTAAGTTTATGCAATTGATTGAACCTAAATGGAAGACCTGATACTTGTTCATGTAAAATTTATCTTAATATTCACAGAAGTATCTAGCATAGTCAATAAGTATTTGTTGAATTGAATAGATTTTCATTTTGCTTTGGGCTGTCAATACAACTTTAGAAAAGCTTTCTGAATTTTTATTAATTTAATATTTTATAATACTTAAATCTTTCTACTCTAAAAAGTGATTTAAGAACCTTGATTCAGCATTCCCTCTCAGCTGTGTGATTTCCACAAATCAGACAGATATCGTATTTCTGTACCCATAAGGAATGTGACCTAGAAAAGGCATTGACCTGGGGTTTGCCACCAGCTTTCTCCATTAATAAGTTATGTCCTGCTAATAACAGTGTTAAATGTAAAGGTCACAAAGCACACTAAAATCGAAAAACAGAATCTTCAATGTGCAGATTTTCAAACATAAAAATAATAACATGGTCATTTCATTGAAAGATTCACCAGTGCAAATCCTACATGGAATAGGAGATGTAAAATTCCCTGAACCACTCGGAAAGTGTGACCACGCTGACAGGCTTGAATCTCAAATTTTAATTAAGGCCATCTTGCTTTTTGTGAAGAATTTTAAAAGCTGTTCTAAATTGGATTGTTCGGGGTGGTTTCCATGCACTCACAAGGATAACACCGGCAGCTGAATAGAAAACTCTAAGAACCAGGAGGCTCATACACTGCACTGATACCGATTCTCCTTTTTTTACCCCAGAAGCCACGCCCAGCCTTCAAGCATCTGTCCGTACATCATTACACAGCGCCTTCCCTTCCCCCTTAGCAGATAGAAGGTTATAAAGAGGTGGTGCCAAGAGGGACAAAAGATTCTCATAATTGTATTTTCCAGCAATTTTTTTCTTTTAATTCTGTGCTCTTCAAAAACTACAGGAGTGACTGCATGTAAATAGACCTCTCTGATGGATGGCTGATTGCCATTGACTCTTTGCAAATTTAATCCATTAAGTGCCTCCTATAGAAAGAGAATACAATGCCCTACAATGCAGAGGGTCAACCTTAGAAAATAAAACACAACCTGAATGGGGCAGTGCAAGAAGAGAAATCCACACAGCCTCTGATGGTAAAAAGCTCTTTGTTGTTTACTTATTTTATTATTTCAGAAGGAAAGCTAAATCAGGAGTCTGATGCTTGTGCTAATCTTTTTCTTTCCTTTTTTCCCCTCCCTCAGGAAGGAAGCCATTCAGGCAACAATCAGGCTCTTATCTTGGGCTTCTTATCATTAACCAGAGGAGCCTGTGCTGGAAATGAAATTCAGAGGCACGGCCAGGAAAGGCTGTTTCCCTAATTGAGCGGCTGCCTTTTGAAATCTTGTCTCCCCAGCGGAGCCTGGAGCTGGCTAGGTCTCCCTGGCCAAGATCACTCATTGTGTAATCTCTCACACACCAGGAGCAGATGCTCCTCGACTGGAGCTTTTATGAAAGGCCTTTAATAAGGCTTCTCAACCTGCCACACGTTGGGCAGCCAGAGGGAGGGGCAGTTTTCAGAAAAGCCTCTGATCAAGGAGTTCAAGACTCTAGACGCGTTTGGGCTTTGCCGTCAGATGTACTTCAGTCAAGATTCTGCAGTTTGGGGGAATTCTCAGCACCCTGAGGGGACTTCCCATTTCATCCCCTCCCTTGCTTTCCCCTGCCTTGCCTTCACAGGGTTGTGGTCAAGTTTAAATGGCATTGTGTATAGAAAGGACTTGACGCAGATTAAGGGTGTAGTAAATAATATTACAATAAATGTATTCTGTTGACTTACTGGGGTCCTATCATTCTCCATCATCCATTGCTGGTCTCTATCCCTTGGCTAACATTCTCCCTGCTTCCCTGGTGAATCTGATACTCAATCTTGGCTCTACGAGTGCTCAGTTTTAAGAACAAGGACTCTGAGCCCTGGGTATGGAAATTGCCTTTCTTTGCCTGGGCAGATAGACCCTGGGTAGGGAAGAAGGTAGGATTTGGGTATTTCAGGAAATTACCAATGCCTGGCACTCCCAGACTGACATCTCAGGGAGAAATGAGGCACACCAACATGGCCTTACATGATAGAGGCCCCCACCACCTCTCAAAATCTATCTCCCACCCTTTTCCTACTGGCTTACTACTCTCCAATCACATTGTCCTATTTGCTCTTCTCTAGACCCTCTGTGAATGTTCCTGCCTCAAGGCCTTCGCCTGTGCTGTTTCCCCTGCCTGGAAAGTCCTTTCTCCATACTCTCACCTGGCTGGCTGCTTGTTCTCATACAGTCTCTGCTCTCATATCAGCAAAGCCTTCCTTGGACACTATCTAAAGTAGCCCTCTTCTTCCATGTAATCTCAGTCACCCTGCTTTACATTCTACAGAGCACCTATTACTATCCAAAATTATGCTACTTATTAATTTGCTTGTGTGTAGAATAATTAGGGCAAAGTCTCTGTCTTGTTCTTTGCTAATGCCCAGTACAGTGCCTGAAACATAATACACATTCAATAAATATTGTTTGGATATTTAAAGAAAATGACAGAACAACCACCAAAAAACATGTAAGCAATATGAGCAATTAGATAAAAATACAAGGACTAGGGAGGCTTGGGGAAAATGATGGGTTTGTGCTGATAAGAAGAATCAAAAGGGTAATCCGGAAATAAAAGATGTCAAAGGAAAGACATGTAGACTAGAATGACTAAGGCAAGTTTAGGTGACAGTATGAAGATTGACCTGGCTAGAGCACAACTGCTCTTTTGAAAAAGAAAAAAAGATTCAGGGACGGTGATAGTGGTGGTTGTTGTTGTGGTGAACTCAGGACTGCCATGTGTATATGTTGTGTGTTGTTGCTTCTTGCTACACAAAAAGGATAACATAGAAAGTGGTGTCATTTACATTGGAAAGTCTTCAGCCATTGTTTCTTTTTCTTTCTTTTTATTGAAACAGGATCTCACTCTGTCACCCAGGCTGGAATGCAGTGTTAATCATAGCTCACTGCAGCCTCTAACTCCTGGGATCAAACAGTCCTCCTGTCTCAGCCTCCTGAGTAGCTGGGACTACAGTCATGTACCTCCATGCCTGGCTAATTTGGGTATGTTTTGTAGAGATGGGACCTTGCTATGTTGCCCAGGCTGATCTTGAACTCATTGCCTCAAGTGATCCTCCCACCTCAACCTCCTAAAGTGTTGAGATTACAAGCATGAACCACTGTGCCCAGGCTCATTATTTCTTAGAATATAATTTTCTGTTCTTGTCTCTTTCTTCTTTTTCTGGCACACCCATTATACATATGTTGGTGTTCTGTTCATTTCTCTTTATTCAATCTCTGTTCTTCATATTACACAGTCTCTATCCATCTAGTGTGATGATTATTTCTTCTACTAGCTCAAATCTACTGCTAACCCTCTCTCGTCAATATTTTGTTTTAGTTATTGTACTTTTCAACTCCAGAATTTTCATTTAGTTCTTTTTTTATAATTTCTATCTCTTTATTGATATTCTCGATTTGATGAGACATTGTCATCATACCTTCCTTCACTTCTTTAAGCATGGCTTCCTTTAGTTCTTTGAACGTCTTTATAATAGTTGCTTTGAAGTCTTCATCTGTTAAGTCCAACATCTGGGCTCTATCACAGGCAGTTCCTGTTGCCTGCTTTTTTTTTTCCTTTGTATGAGTCACTCTTTCCTCTTTCTTTGTCTATCATGTAATTTTTTGCTGAAAATTATTTTAGGTAATATACTGTAACAATTCTGGGCATTGATTCCCCTTACTCATCTTTGGAGCTTGCTTTTGTTGTTTGCTTGTTTGTTTTATGACTTGGCTAGACTGTTTTAGTGTAGTCTATTTCCCCCAGAGTGTGAAGCCTTTGGTGATGTTCCTCAGATGGCGCAGGCTTGGATGTATACACAATCACCTTGGGATGACAGTGGTTCTAGCAGGACTCTCTTTGTCTCTTTTCCTGATCTTTCTGTTAACCTGTCTACCTCAATTGGTATCACACTCAACTGTTAGGTTACATTAATTACTGGCTGACTGTGCTATTGTTTTATGACAATCTTTTGGAGCATAAATTGCTCAGCAGTCTGATTCAATTAAATTCAGGCCCTTTGGCAGGGATAGTTTTAAGTTTTTTTAAATAATCCCAAGAAGGCTCTCTTTAGCTGTCTCTTTCCTTGGTGAGCTAGGTGGTCTATTGTTTAGCTTGTTGCTCTATATTGAAAAGAGCTATTGTTTTCAAGAGCACCCTAAGCCTTGAACTTGCCTATATTTTGTTTCATTTAAAGTCCAGTTCTTTGGGAAGAGCTATAGGGCCTCATTTTCTTATGGACTTCCTCTTTCCCTGGTCAAAATCTCTAAGCAAATATTCTGGGTGCTGGGTGGGGCAACAGCCTCTGATCTTCCTGGCTTGCATGTTCCAGGATAGAACACCCATATTCCCTATGAGTGAGCTGAATTGAGAGTAATCAGGTCTCAGTATTCCTGGCCTTCCATGCTTGAGATAGAGCCTCTGTCCTGTGAGTGAGTGACAGAAAACAGTCCCCAGTGTCTCAACTGCACTCATCAGGAATTTAGTTTCTTTAATCCAGGGTAAGAAGAGATAAGAAATGCTGGTGGCCTTTCTTTCCTGGTGAGATATGGCAGCCCTGATGGGGAGCTGAGGGGAGAGGGAGCTCCATCTTCTTGGCCACACCTTCCAGAGGAAAGCTTTCATCAACTGAGCTACAAGAGGAAAGATGGGGAGAAGGAGTATAATGCTGGTTGTGAGAGGGAGTTGGCTATGCTTCAAATTGAGGGAAAAGAGAGAAAGGAACAAGTTAGGCAGATACCTAGGACAAGTCCATGGTAGAATTCCATTTTTTCTGACGAAAGAACAGCCTGAAAGATCAGGCTGCAAGCATAGATAAGGAGGCAAGGTCTACCATAAAGATGCCTTCTGTGTAACCAGCAAGGGTCATGTATACGTGGTAGGCTTCAGTGAGTACATTCCTTTCCTTTTTTGGATATACTTAGATAAGGGAGTTTGCACAGGGGTGCAGGGAGGTTTGCTTGAAACATGACTAAGAGGAGTAACACAGAACCAGGCACATCTGCAATTGAGAATTCTACCCCCTTACACATGCACAGTAGTGGAGTGACCTAAGCTAAGAGTCTACATATGCACTAAAAGGACAGGGAGGAGCTTTCAGGAATTTGCGCCTGATGTAAATGAAACACTAGTCCTAACTGGTTTTTTGCACCTTATGTAAATGAAATATCTTGCCCTACAATCCTGTTTATAAAAGCCCTTGTATTTGACTGTAGAACAGTAATCCTCGTTTTGGTCCCCTCTTCGCTGCGGAGAGTTTTCTCCTTTTGCCTTGTTAAACTTTAGCTCCAACCTCACCCTTGCGTCCTCACTCCTTAATTTTCTTGGTCATGAGACAAAGAACTCTGGGTCCTACTTCAAACAACAAAACTGAAACATTGTGGGGCATTGGCAGAGCTACTACAAAATGTCATAGAATCTCTATGTTCTTGAAATTAAATTTTAGTAGGTTTTCCTAAATATTTCTTCATTTGCTATAGCTTATAGGACAACTTCCAGAGATTTTAAATGTTGTCGTTTTTAAATAGTTTCCTCCAATTTTGCTTGTTTCTTTGGGGAGTGAGTCTATGGCACTCCTCATGCTGCCATACTGAAGTCATGGGCCACATTCACATTGTAGGCATAGTAGATTTGTATGTTGATAATTGTAAATGCTTTATGGTAGATGGCCTTGAGATGGCTTATTCTAACAAACACTGTATGTTCCAATAATTTTCCATCAAATGGAAGTCAAGTATCTTGAGGAAAGCTGTGTCTTTTTCTAATTTGCACAAAACCTCCCTTGGGTCAAGTCTTGGCCCTGGTGGTGAAGGTTAGGGGGATGGGAATGTAACACTGGTTAGAGGTGGCGGTAGGCATGGCCATAAGTCAGTGGTAGGGCTGCTATGTTTGGTTGTGCAGTTGTGAAACTATAGGGTCATCATAGATTTATATTTATTATTACAATTATGCTGAATGTCTCCTGTTTACTCCTCCTGATCCACTTCTACACTTCTCTACCCTTCTTTGTTTCTCAAGAACTTGCCCTGTATGAACTGTCTCCATGGGCTATCTTGCTCTCTGACTTCTGGTTGGATTCAGAGAAGATGAGAGGGCAAAAGAAATTTGAGGTGGGAGTATTTCTCCCCCTAATTCTCTCTTTGCTGGGTCACCATGGTTTGGCCACATGCCTCTACTTAATGTCATAGTTCTCGTCAAACAGCCCTTTTCTTACAGTTACCTTTCTCTGGATTGTGGTGACTGTGCCCTGCCCTTGAATCTTCATGCCTAGTGGGTGATAATGGTTTCCAACTGTTACAAGTCCTGAGGTACTATACCCCCATTATTTCTTTCTCTAAATCCTGCCCATAGCTTTGTAAGTAGTTCTTTTATTAAACTGTCCTTAAATTACCCAACTTAACATCATCTGTTTCCTGATGAGACCCTGGCTGATAGCAACAACTCTGCTGCAGATGGCAGTCAAATATCTTGAGGACAAGATGCCTTTTTCTGCCTTGCACTTGAACTAGCCATCCTGGGAGTGGTGGAGGGAGGTTGTAGAATAGTGGTGGTGATGGTTGGGGATGGTAGAGCTAATAAAATGGTTTTGAATGCCAGAATAAGACTAAGATGTACAATAGGCAAGACAGAGTGATGCACATGTGGACAACACTCTTTGAGAAAGATTACTCTGGCAGCTTTGTGAAAAACAGACTGGGTTAAGGATGGCTTACGAAAAAAAGGCCAACTGGGAAACTGCTGCTGTATCCTTAGAACAAAGAGTAAGGGCCTAAACTAGCAAAGGAGCCCTGGGAGAGAAAGGAAGTATTGGAAAGACTCAGTACAAGGAAGAAGCATAACTTCCTGGCAGCTTATTTTGGGAATAGCAGGAAAGGCAAAGAACAAGAATAACACATTATGATAGTACATGTTGCCAAACTAGAGAGTGGAGGAAGATGATAGAAATACTAGTAATGAGGATAATTAATTGCAGCTTATATTTATCAAATGTTTCCTGAATTATGACATCAGAGTTCTAAGAGCTTCACAAATATTAACTCACTTAATCTTCCCTTTGATTTTGTGACGTAGATCTCAACATTTTACCAATGAGGAAACAGGCACAAAAAGCTCCAGTTACTTACCTAGAGTCACCTGTGATGTAAGTTAGTGAGTAATTGAGCTGAGGTTCACTCCCCAGAGCCTGAACCCTTCTGCTTCTCAAGATATAAAAGATATGGCTCAAGGGCCAGGGAACAGTTGTCCCCAGATCAACTTTCCAAATTTATCTTTACCCCAGGTGCCCACCACTATGATCATAATTAACTTCTTGCTATTTCCACACTTACTACATCCTTTTCCTTCTCTTACTGAAATAGCCTCAGCTTGCTTGCCCACCTCATAGTAATAATAATAGCCAGCATTTATTGAGCATTAATTATGGGCTGTCACAGTTTTATGTGCTTGATGTGTATGCACTAATTAATCTTCATGACAACATTATAAGATGGGTATTACTAGTAGTAATAGTAGTATTCTCATCCATTAGAAGGCAAGCTATAGGGAAAAGGAATATTTATCTGTTTTATTCACCATAATGCTGTGTGGTATATTGTAATGGTCAGCAAAGATTTTTCAAATGAATGAACTTTACAGATGTGGAAACTGAGGCACAGTTGGCCTAAAATGACACAATTAATAAAGAGTAGGGCCCTGCTTGGGCCAGACTCTGGCTTCATAGCCTGTGTAGTATCACTAACTCATACCAACTCAGCCCTTAACACCAGCACAAATGTCACCTCTCCTGGGAAATTGGAAGGAAAATGGATACTCTGAGAAAACCTTCCCACTCCTCTCCATTTCCCTTGGGATGTCTTGGATGAAGACATCTTTAATATCTTGCTGTGTCTTTAAATCCCATACAGCACCCTTGTGGTTTTCCTCACTTCTCTTTGGCCCTCACTCTCATTCTTTTTGGTGCTTCGATCCTCTCAGGCACTAATTTTGGATTCCCAGGATCATGCTCCCACCCTCAGCCTTGCCCTTTATCTCCCTTGGCCAAATTTTAGTAATAACGCTGTCCATGCAGCCACTTCCCTCCATTCCCCGGGGCCCATTGTGCTTGCTCTGCAGAAGATACCACTTGGGTTTCCATTTCTATCCAATCCCCAAAGCTCTTTTTATAGTCTGCAAATTGTGTTGCTTCTTCTCGGGCTTTGAAATTAGGGAGTGTAGGCTGACCTGGTTCTAGTACTTTGAAAGTAGGGCTGGCACCACCTCCTTGATTTATCATGTGGTAGCAACAGGGAGGGGACCATCAGTGAATACTTATTAGACATCTAGTAGTACAGCAAGGAGCTAAGGTGAGCATACCTGTGGGGGTGAAGGACTGCCCTTAGAGGTTTGCTGATATTGCAAAGCCTTGTTGCTTTGAACCCATACCTTAACATTTAGCAAAGGGAAAATGCCAAAAGGACAAGTAGCCTCAGCAGACTTCCCAGATAAAAGTAGATTGTATCAATGACTGTATTCTGTTCAGCACTGCATTCACTAGACTTAATGGACCATGAGGAGCTCTGGATCCAACAACTGATAATAATAGCTAAAATCAAAAATCTAGATGTTTCCAGTTGGAGAATTAGGAATTCATTTCTAGAGCCATGAGCTTATGAGGAAATACTATGTGATATTTCATAAATCACATATACTATTTTCTCTTTGGGAAGAAACCAGTTCCTAGGAAGCTAGGTATGGAAGGCAAATTGCCTTTCAAGGTCTCGTGTCAATTCCTGGCTTTAATGGGCTTGTGACTCATAACCACAGAGACTTCAGTCTAGGCCCACGCAGCAGCTTGGAGCTGGGAATGGAGGTTATTACTGCAGATGACTAAACAGCATCCAGCTGAGGTAGCAGAATCTGGTGCTGCTAATGAGAAAAGATGACTACTGCCTTTTCTTTTCCACATACCAGAGGTTTTCTCTGGTGGAGTTTCATTTTCTGCATGAAATGGCAGACTCGCCTCCCCAGACATAAAGTTGCCACAGATGTAGAATTATATAATGTTCAAACTAGAAAGTTCCCTAGAAATCATCTCCTCCATCTTCTCAACTTGTATATAGGGAAACTGAGGCAGAGAGACCAGGTAACACTTGATTTTACATAATTTCCTAATTAAGGCCTGGATTGTGTTTCTGAATCCAGCGTTTTTGCCATGGAAGCTACAAGAGTGTCTCCATGGGCCTTCTGGTAGTCTGAAGTAGCGTAATTGGAGAGGACAGAATATTATTTTGTGATTGACACTGTATTGACACTCCTTTTGAGGTTTGCCACATTCTGATAACCATAGCTACTGGGAAAGACAATGTCTTCATGCCATTTTGGATAAAAATAGGTGGTCAAAGACCAGTGAGCTGAGGAGCCTGTGGAGCTGTATAGAGCTTAGGCTTGACTGGTCATGTTGGTCAGAGGGGCTTCACACATATTTCATGTTTTCAGTCTGCCAAGTACTCTGTGTGGCAGATTGTGCTGTCAAAGTATCTAAGCTGGGGACTGTTTTCCAAAGTCCTTTTTCTTGCAGGAGTCAGGTTAGAGATGGCCAGAATGGAATTTGCATGAGATTTGAAAGGCAAAAGAGAGGCAGTGGCTGTTCCTTTCTGAAAATCTTTTCAGGGTCATATGTGGTGACAGACAGACAAAACTTGTCCAAACTCCCCTCTGTGTCCAGTTCTTCCAGACTGCTGGCCCTGCTGAACAATAGCAGCTCCAAGCCCACTAGATATTGGGCTGTACCACTAGATATTGTAGGCCAGTATCTAGTGGCAGGCTGGGAGCTGCTGATACAATGATTTGTAACCTCACCATGAATCCCTGCTTCACTGTCCTACTTTAGTCACGAATGTAACTAACTCCTCTTTGTGACTGGTTCATGACTCCCTCATTCTCCAACTCATCCTTACACACCTGTACTTGCTCAGCTCCTCTCACACGTGTGAAAAGTCTAATTCCTTTAAGAAGTCCTTTATCCTGCAGCACCTTAAGTGACCCTGCTCACCTAAGTGACCCCTGATGATTCATGCTGGATCTCCAGGAATGGCGAGCCCGGGGCAGTCCAATTCACTTGCCTCTCCCTGCATTTGGCAATTCACACGAAACCGATGTGGCAAAGGAGGAACCAGGAAGTGTTCTGTCTATGTGCAGGCAATATGTGTTGTCAGCACTTCCCTGGAAGATTCCTCAGTTGAACAAAGAATGTTTCCGACTCTGACAGCAAAGGGCAGTCAAGGGGGCTGGGGAAAACCTGAGAGCGGTGTATTCTAGCGGGCCTGCCCACCAGGACAATGCTTCCGTCATCCCAAAGCCTTTCCTAAGCCTTTGCAATGCCCCTCCACCTGAAGTCCTCTTCCACTCCTCATCTCCCACAAAAGAACTGAGCTGTACCATAAGATTTTTGGTACCTTTCTGTCTAATTGATCTGCATAGCTGAAGACTGGCTTCCTTAATATATTTTACAGTTCCTATTTCCAGTCCCTTCTGGGACCAGATAAGTTGTGAAAATCAATCTTGAAAGGACTATGATTAACTGAACTTTTTTAACCCCTATAAAATATATGATTTGTAGCTTCTCACATTATTATTTCCCACCCCGCCCCCCACCCCCACATCATTTAAAAACATGAACTGACAGTGGTAAAAAGTTAGAATATCATTTGAACGAACTTTCCAATGCCCAAGGCAAAAAAGCCCCCAGATTCGAGCTGAACTCTAAATGGTTGAGGAAGGATACAACTACATCTGACAGCTGGAACATCACTTTTTTTTTTTTTTAAATAAAAATTTCCCTCTTTTCTTCTTTTTGGGCAATGCAAATTTTCCTTTTAAATTGTGCATTGATTTTTATGTTTTTGAATAGCGAAGTCAGCAGTTCCCAAGAACCCTGATATGATATGCAGGCTGTTAAACAGATGTTACAGCAAGAAAAAATCTCTGGTCAAATAAAGTGTGGGAAATACTGGCTTTGTTCAAAAAAAGAGTTACAGAGTGGCGCCTTGTCTCAGGAGCTTTGCTAGGCACTGAACAAAATACAGCTAGTCCCAGTCCACATGAGGCTCACAGTCTACTAGAACACAGCTAAGCAAGCTTCCTTACTGCAAGATTCCTGAGAGTATCTAATATACTGATGTGAATTGTGAATACCAAGGGGAAACGCTGTGCCACATTTTCCAAACTGATTTATTTGCCAAGCTTCTTCTCTCTCTTTTCAAGCTTACAAGTAGGACAAGTTATTCTTAGGGTATCTGTTTATGAAAAGCTGACCTAAATCAAATAAAATCCTGAACCTAACTAATTTATAAGAAAGCATTTCTAAAGAGCAGCGTTAGAACTCTTGTCTGAGTTGAATCTTACATCATTTTAAAAAATGCAATAAAAGACGCCATTCATTTTACATAAAATGAGCTAAGAGCAGTGACATATTTGTTAGAAATCTATGCAATTAGCAATCTATGCAAAGACGGATTTTTATCTTCTTGTAACTAAGTGGGACAAATGCTTAATGTATCTGCTGTAGTGTTGACAATTCACAAAGCTGTAAAATAATGAGATAATTCTTGAATTAGGGCTGTGTTTATGCTTTTCTACATTCTAGCATGAAAGGTTGATTAATTACAACTTGATAGTATGCAGTACAGGAAAACATCTGAGTTTCTGGATTGTTTTTTGGGAATGATAATCCAAGTGTTTGCCTATGTCTATTCAAGGATTATCATCTCTGGTAGCTTTGAAAAAAAGGGGAGCTTGTCCCATTTCTACCCCAGGGTCAGTCCAAACCTGCCCACTTCTCTGGTGTCCCCTGCCTTTGCCTCTAACTCATACCCCCACTCACCTGAGTCCTGGGACCCCCGTAGATTCTGGTATCTTTCCTTAATAGCATGCAGCTATTATTACCATCCTCAGCAGAGTGGCAATACAGGAAACGCTGCCATGTTCAATTTCATTCAGATCCTTAGGCCAGGCATGATGGCTCAGGCCTGTAATCCCAGCACTTTGGGAGACGGAGGTGGGCAGATCACCTGAGGTCAGGAGTTGAAGACCAGCCTAACCAACATGGCAAAACCCCATCTCTACTAAAAATACAAAAACTTAGCCAGGCTTGGTGGTGGGCTCCTGTGGTCCCAGGTACTCAGGAGGCTGAGGCAGGAGAATTGCTTGAACCCAGGAGGCAGAGGTTGCAGTGAGCTGAGATCACACTATTGCACTCCCGCCTGGGCGACAAAGCGAGACTCTGTCTCAAAAAAAAAAAAAATCAGCCAGGTGTGGTGGCTCATGCCTGTAATCTCAGCACTTTGGGAGGCCAAGACAGGTGGATCGTGAGGTCAAGAGATCGAGACAATCCTGCCTAACATGGTGAAACCCCATCTCTACTAAAAATACAAAAAAATTAGCCAGGCGTGGTGGCGGGCGCCTGTAGTCCCAGCTACTTGGGAGGCTGAGGCAGGAGAATGGCGTGAAACCGGGAGATGGAGCTTGCAGTGAGCCTAGGTCGCACCACTGCATTCCAGCCTGGGTGACAGAGTGAGACTCCGTCTCAAAAAAAAAAAAAAAAAGAAAAAATTCATTCAGATCCTGTCAAATCTTGGATTTCCCACTATGCTCTCTGGGGTAAAAGACACTTTTTTTATTTTTTAATTTTTCTTAAGGATTAGGGTAACCAAGGATGGAAATGAAATTTAGTTATTACTCTCTTAAAATTTCTTAGTCATTTCTTCATGGAGAACATCTAATCTCCTCAAAGTCCTGGATTACCTGTGTCGTCATTGTCCTCTTCCTCCTCTTCTTTTTCTTCCTCTCTCTCTCTCTCTTCCTCTCTCTCTCTGTCCCTCTGCCACTCTTTCTTTTTAAAGTCAGGCATATTGGAGGATAATTTATATATGGTTAAAATTCACTTTTTAGTGTACAGCAGCTTTATGAATTTTGACAAAAGCTCCATTTGTATAACCATCACTGCAATCAAGACATAGAATATTTGTTACCGCTCCTGCTGCCCCCCTCAAATTCCCTTGTGCTCCTTTCTAGCAGCACTTATCTTATCCCCAGCCCTTACCTACCCCGATCTGTTTTCCATCCCTAATATTTGCCTTTTTGAGAATTTAATAAAAACATTATTTTTAACCCATAAAAAAGGAGTTAACAAGGAATCATGTATTACGTAGTTTTATTTCCTAAGCATAATGAATTTGAGACTCCTGTCATGTTGCACACATTGGTGATTTGTTCATTCTTATTGCTGAACAGTATTTTATTGTAGGACTATATCACAGTTGTTTTTTAAAAATCCATGTGCCAGTTGAAAGACATTTGAGCTGTTTTTTATTTTTGGTATTTATGAATAAAACCACTATAAACATATGTATACTAATTTTCATGTGAATGTAAGTCTTCATTTCTCTTGGATAAATAACTAGGAATGAAATTGCTGAAATATGAGGTAAGTGTATGTTTAACTTTATAAGAAACTGACAAATGATTTTTAAAGTGGTGGTACCACATTGCATTCCCACCAATCATGTATGAAATTTTCAGTTAATCCACATCCTCATCGGTATTTGACATTGCCCAGTTTTTGAAAAGCAATTCTGAAGAATATGTAGTGGGGGCTGGCCATGGTGTCTCACACTATAATCCCAGCATTTTGGGAGGCTGAGGCAGGAGGATTTCTTGAGGCCAGGAGTTTGAGACCAGCCTGGGAAACATAACAAGAACCTCTCTCTCTCTCTCTCTATATATATATATATATGTTATATATATATCATACACACATATATATGTATATACACACATACACACATATAAAACAAGAATACATAGTGATATCTCATTGAGGTTTTCATTTGCCTTTAAGTTGCCCTACCCTACTGACTAATAGTGTTGCAAATCTTTTCATGTGCTTATATGCCACCCATGTATCTTTGGTGAAGTGTTTGTTCAAATCTTTCACCCATTTTTAAAATAAATTGGGTGCTTTGTTTTCTTATTATTGAGTTTTGAAGATTCTTTGTAAATTCTAGGTATAAACATTTCATCGGACATGTATTTTAATTTTATAGCTATTTTTCCCATTCTGTGCCTTGTCTATTCATTTCCTTAATTGTGTCTTTCAAAGAGTAGAAGTTTTACATTTTGATTAGTTCTAATTAATCAATATTTTCTTTTATGGATTGTGCTTTTAGTGTGATATCTGAAGACGTTTTGCCTAACTCAAGGTCACAAAAATTTTCTTCTATAAATTTTATAGTTTTTGTTTTAACATTTAATTTAAATCTATTTTTGTGTGTGATGTGAGGTATGTGCCAATTCATACATTCCTGTATGAATGTCAGATTGTCCCACCACAATTTATTGAAAATATGATTCTTTCCCTATGAAATTACTATGGTCAATTACAATCAATTGACCATGTATATGTGGCTGTGTTTCTGGACTCTCTCTTCTGTTCTAGTGGTCTCTCCTTTTACTAATATAACATAGTTTAGATTAGTGTTGTTTCATAGGAAGTCTTAAAAATCAAGTAATGTAAGACCTTACAACTTTGTCCTTTTTCAAAATTGTGTTGGCTATTCTACCTTCTTGGCTTTTCTGTATACATTTTAGTATCAGCTTGTCTGTTTCTATAAAATATCCTGTTGTGATTTTGATTTTAGTTGAATCATTAGATTAATTTGTGGATAATTAGTAACAACGTTGAGTCTTTGAATCTCTGAGCACAGCATCTCTCTTCATTTACTTAAGTCTTCTTTGGTTACTTTCATCAATGCTTTTTAGTTTCCAGTATGCAAATATTCCATATATTTTATTAGATTTATGGCTAAGTATTTAATGTTTTTAATACTACTATGCATGGTACATTTAAAAAATTCAACTTCTAATTGTTTACTATTATTATATAGAAATAAATCTGATTTTTCTGTATTGACTTTGTATCCTAAAACTTTGTTACACTCATTCATTATTTTTTTCCAACTTCCATCCATGCTTGAATCCTTGAATTAGCATTCTGTTAGATCTATTCATTGATGGCCAGTTTTTTGTTTTGGTGACAGTGTCTGAATTTCTTTTCATAGTTATTTTAAATTTCCTGTCTGATAGTATGTGCCTGGTTTTGTTAATTATTTTATCTCATGGTTTGTTTTCTCTTGTAACTTTTTTTTTTAAATTTGGGATATGACATATAGAATGGGAAAGACTGAGTTAAATGGAATTTATGCCTAAAAATGAGCATGCCTCTTCAACTGGTAGGTCATTCACATGGGGAATTGAATCAATCTAAGAGTTTGAGCTGGGTTGGGTTTTATTGTTGCTGTGGTTACCTTAGGGTACCACCAACTTTAAATTCCTTTAGTATTATCTTGTGCTTAGGGTAGAGACTGAGTGGCTGGAGATAAAATGGGAGAGTTCGCCAATCCCCTCGTAGGATGTGTGATAGGGATGTGGCTCATCTGTTTGGCCACCATGCACTCAAACCCCTTATGGGAGGGGAGCATACAGACAGGCAGGTGCAGAAGCTGGGGTGAGTGCTTTTGGAGCTCCGGCCCCACAGTAGCATCTAGGAGTGGGTGCTTGTGGTTCCCAAAGCCCCAGTGGGTGTGTTACAATGCTCTTTTAGCTCTGCTATCTGCAGACAGCCTAAGTGTTAACTGGCTCAGTGCCTTCTTGGTACCCAGGTTCTTGTCCGGCGTACAGGATGAATCAGGTCACACAGGCAAATTGAAGGATGGTAAATGTGAGGGATTTTATTGCTGGATGGAGGTGGCTCACCACAGGATGGATGGGGAGCTGGAAAGGAGATGGAATGGGAAGATGATCTTCCGCTGGAGTTCAGTTGTCTTGCAGCTGATCTCCTCTCTGATCATCCCCATCTGAACTCCTCTCAACATTCAGGTGCTCCTTCTCTTCTCTTTTCTTCTCTTCTCTGCTGTGCTGCTCTTCCACTCTTCTGCGCTGCTCTTCCACTCTTCTGCTCATGGAACCTGGGGTTTAGGGTTTATATGGGTACAAGATAGGGGGACGTGGTTGGGTGTGAAAGCAGGAATGCCTGTTCCCATTTAGGGCCACAGGTTTCCAGGCTTGAGTGTGGGGCCTTTGCCAGGGAACCACCCTCTTCTACCCATTATTTCCCTGTCTCCTGTCTATGTTAGAGAGATTTTCTCAATGCTCTTTTTCTACCTTCAGCTTATATCTTCTTCATATATCTACACCTCAGAGTGGATCTCTCTTCATATCCTGTCTTTGCCACATCAGCAAATGGCTATGCTTACTACTCAATGCTTGTTAGCCTGATGGTGGAGGGGATCAGGGACTGGTCCTATATTGCCTTCATCCAACCTCAGTCTTAGGTAAAACCTGTTTTACTGGATCTTGGGAGTCAAAATTTTTTTCATGCTCCTGCCTCTTTACCACTGGCAGCCAAACTGCCTTGCATTTTTTAAAGGAATTATGAGGGGGAAAATTTCCTGCCACTTCCCCAGTGATAGAAGTCCTCTAACGGCCTGGGATCCGAATGCTATATTGAGGGTGTCTCTTCCCTTCTGCCACCCCAGTGGGTTTCATCTGCATCTTGGGATTGACCGGGCTACTCCTACTCACCTAGCAGCTTAAGGCTTTCTTTCCACAGAGGCGATGGCTCCAGACAGGGTTTGTGGATTTTCCCACTATGGCCGCCACTCCTCTCCTCTAGACATCCACCACAAAATGAGGTTTGCTAAGTCTCCCACCCTGCCCCCAACCTTTCTCTGAGTGCCTGGTGTGAGGTGGAGGTTTGTGGAGAGGAGACTGTGTGGGGCTACAGTCTTACCCTGTGTCCTTGGAATTCCTGGAGATCGTCAGAATTGGCATTTAGCAGGTTATTAAACACTTTAGCTTACCTGTGTGGATGGCAACCAGTTCCATTTCCTTGCTGTGTCTTGAGCCAGTGCTTGCATCCCATCTTCTTGAAGGGCTTGTTTTTCCTTATATTTTAGGTTAATTGATTTCCCTGTGCTCTCAACTAGGTTCAAGAAAATTATTATTTTGTTGCTTTTTCACTTGTTTCTTGTTGATATGGAGTGATGCTCTTCCCACCTTTCTATAAACTAGGTAGAAGTGCCTTATTCTTTCTCTCTTTATAACCTCCACACATCTTTCACTTCTTACTTGAAGCTATTGACAGAAATGCGAGTCCTTCTGATTGCATTAGGCAGAGAATTTCAGCTCTCTTTCTGTTTCATTCTCACACATTTCAGGCCATGGTTGGGTGTCCTCACTTTTCTTAACCAAAAAAAAAAAAAAAAAAAAAAAACAAAATAAAACAAGAGCATATGAAGATCTTTTATAGGACTAAAGAACTATGTACAACTTACAACAGTATGTGTTCAACTGAAAGTATAAGAAAATATACTATTTACTAAATCACTATGACACTGATTATCGTGTTGTAAGAAATCTGGAGGAAATGAGTCCCAGGGTTAATTTGAAGACCTAATGAATGACGTCCTCAATGGCACTATCTTGGAGTCACATTTCTTAGATGCAGACATCAAAATCCACTCTAGTTAATTTAAGAAGGAAAGGACCTATTATAGTAAATAGTTCATAGAATTTCTTGGAAAGCCAGGAAACAGTCTTTTTAACCAGGAACAATGCAATTAGGGCAACTGCCTCTAGGGACAATGCGCAATGAAACCACAGGGCCATTATTGATGAAGCACGCCTATAATTACCACCTACCTTGCAGCAGCTATAATTCCAGATCCCCACCTGAGCTGATTCTGAGAACCAGATTCTTTCATCCCCGTGGATGCCAGGATATCAGCCATAGTGATCACATACACAATCCAAGTCTAACACCATTAAATCTAAGGTCATATGCCTCTAGCCTGGCTGCAATAGAATTTTTGAAACGTAACTTTTAGAGTTTTGAAAGTGGGGCCACATGCTTACCTCAGGACCAGTTACTGGCAAAGGCTGTGATTCGTTCTCAAGGGCTGATATTTTCCCTCCATCAAACCGAAATTTTCTGTCCGGGTGTGGTGGCTCATGCCTGTAATGCCAGCATTTTGGGAGGCAGAGGAGAGCAGATCACTTGAGGCCAGGAGTCTGAGACCAGCTGGCCAACATGGCAAAATCCCATGTCTACTAAAAATTAGCTAGGTATAGTGGTACATGCCTGTAGTCCCAGTTACTTGGGAGGCTGAGGCATGAGAATCGCTTGAACCCTGGAGGTGGAGGTTGCAGTGAGCCGAGATCACACCACTGCACTCCAGTCTGGGTGACAGAGTGAGACTTTCAAAAAAAAAAAAAAAAAAACCTGAAATTTTCTTAGTAAGAAAGGGATGAAGAGGAAGGTTATTGGATATGCAAACACTGTTTGTTAAATTCAAATAACTGAGTGCTAACAATGCCAGACACTGTTCTAGTTGCTTGGAATACTTCAGTAAACAAAATGAAAATTATTCTTGCCCTGGAGGGACTTATATTCCCATGGTGGGGGGACAGACATTATTGATGAAGCATATGGTATTGATACATGTCATGCTAGAATGTGATAAATGATTTGGAAAAGAGAAATATTAGAGCAGGGGATTGGAAGTGTAGGGGTTGGAGATGGAGGAAGAATCAAGTTATTAAGTAGGTGCTCAGGAGGGACTTCTTGAAATGTGAGATCTCAGCAAAGGCTTGAAGGAGGAAAGGAAGAGAGCCGCATGACTATGTGAGGAGCAGCTCTCCAGGCTCTCTTGAAGGCCCTACGGGAGGAGTGCCCTGGCATATGAAAGGGACAGTAAGGAGGTCACTGTAGCTAGAGAGGAGCAAATGAGGGGAGATAGGAGATGAGCTCAGGGAAGGAGTGAGGAGCAGGATTATGTGGGGCCTGTGGCTCTTTGAAGGACTCTAGTTTTTAAACTGAATGAAATGGAGAGTCACTGCAGGCTTTTGAGCAGGAGAGGAACATAATCTGAATGTTAACAGGATCACTCTGACTGCCGTGTTGCCAATAGATGGTTGGAGGCAAGGGAAGAAACAGGGGCACCTGTTAGGAAACAAATGCAGAGACAAAGATGATAAGACCAGGGAGAGAAAGTGGAGGGTGGCGAGCCGTGGTTGAGCTTTGCATGTGTTGTTAAGGCAGGGCCAGCAGATACGCTGAGGGGGAGGGATGTGAGCTGGGAAAGAAAGAGCACAGGTTTTTGTTGTGAACAACGGAAAGGGTGGGGCTGTCAACAACTGTCATCAACTGGGATGGGAAAGCTGTGGCTGGAACAGATTTGGGGGAGATGGTGACTAGAGTTCAATTTCGGAGAGGCAAGCTAAGAGGTATCTTATAGGCAGTTGGGTAAGCTTACTATTTGGGTGAAAAGTATGGGTTATAGATATAAATGATCTAGAAACAGTAGCAGCTGGTGCCAGCTTTTCTTTTAAATAAGAGGAGCATTTTTTTTTCTGCCTGGTACAAGGCCTCCAAACTAAGAAAATCATTTGATACTTTCCAAAAGCAACTGTGCTTTCAGACATTGAAACACATTTTTATTTTCTTGAGAGATCTAATCAAGATAAAATAACAAAGAATTGTTAACAGCATTAAAGATCCGTAATATATTTGTTCTTTATTCTTTGGTCTTCCATCTGAGTTTTGAGGGGAGGCAGGATGTTGTAGTATTAAGGGTGTGAGCTCTGGCATGAGACAGAGCAGGGTTTGAGTCCAGGTTCCACCGTGTAATAGCTGTGTGGCCTTGGCAAATTATTTAACTTCTATCAACTTCAAGGTCAGGAGTATTTATAGCACCTACCGTCATTAATGTTTTTTAAATACTATTTTTACCTAGCACCTATCAGTATGCCTGGCAATTCATTCATTCAGCAGATAATGATGCCTACCTATCATGTGCCAGGCATTGTGCTAGGTAATGAATATACAACTATAAATAACACAGACTATCCTTGGCCTTCTGGAAATTACCATTTAGGAAGCAAGCAATTTTTCAAAGAAGAAACTGGAATGTTCAGTAAGCTTGTGAGAACCTGCTCACTCTCACTGATGTTTGGGGGAGGGTGGATGCAAATTAAACTCACAGTGAGATATCACTTCACATCCATTAGCATGGGAAAAAAAGTAATAATTCCAAAGTTTGTTGAGGGCAATGGTGGAAACAAGAGGTCTTTTTCAGTGAAGGTAGGAATTCAAATTGTGCAACCACCTCAAAGATCAACTTGACAATATTAGTGAAGTGGAAAACACATGTCCTCTACAACCCAAAATTTCCACTGCAGGACTGTGCACCGGAGAAACTCTACACATGCACTCAGGGTGACATGCACAGGATATTCACAGCAGCACTTGTAGTGGTAGCAAAAAAGTGGAAGCAACCTAAATGTCCACCAGTGGGGGATTCAAACAACCGAATAATATTCAGAGGTTAAAAATGAATGAACTACATAGGTCAATGTGGAACAATTTCTAAAAATACAACAAAAAGTAAGTTGGAAAATATAATATTCTCTGTCTGATTAAAACATCACACAAAATAGTGTATTATTATACAGTAAAACATTAAAACATACAAGGAAAGGAGGAAAAAGATGAATACAACTGGAACAAGGAGGGAAGGTTTAGCTGCATCTGTGATGATTTATTTCTTAAAAAAAAGAAACAAACATGACAAAATGTGTCTATTAAATCCAAAGACTTACACAAGTGGCTGATATGTATTTTTCTGTATGATTAAAATATTTCATAACCAAACATTAAAAACTCCTTTTTTCTGTGGTAAAATATATATAATGTGAAATTTACTATTTTAACCATTTTAAGTGTACAGTTCAGTAGTATTAAAGCACATTCACATTGTTGTACACTATCACTATAATCCATCTCCAGAACTTCTTTCATCTTCCTAAACTAAATCTCTGTATCCATTAAGCACTATCTCCCTGATATGGTTTGGCTGTGTGTCCCCACCCAACTCTCATCTTGTAGCTCCCATAATTCTCACGTGTTGTGGGAGGGACCCGGTGGGGGATAATTAAATCACGAGGGCGGGTCTTCCCTGTGCTGTTCTCATGATAGTGAGTGAGTCTCATGAGATCTGATGGTTTTTAAAAGCGGAAGTTTCCCTGCATAAGCTCTCTTTGCCTGCTGTCTCCATGTAAGATGTGATGTGCTCCTCCTTGCCTTCCACCATGATTGTGAGGCCTCCCTGGCCATGTGGAGCTGTAAGTCCAATAAACCTCTTTCTTTTGTAAATTGCCCAGTCTCAGGTATGTCTTTATCAGCAGCGTGAAAATGGACTAATACATTCCCCATTCCTCCCTCTTTCCAGACCCTGGCAACAACCATTCTACTTTCTGTCTGTATGAATTCAACTACTCTGCATATCTTGAATAAGTGGAATCATACTATATTTGCCCTTTTGTGACTGTTTTATTCACTTAGCATAATATCCTCAAAGTTCATCCACGTTGTATCATGTGTTAGAATTTCCTTCCTTCTTAAGGCTGAATAATATAACATTGAATGTATATGTACAAACAGATTTTGTTTATCCATTTATCTGTTGACAGACACTGCTTCTTCCTTTTGGGTGACATAATTTCACATTTTGTGTGACAAAATTAAACAATTCAAATAAAAATAAAGTAAAATGACAGGAAAATTATAGAGGCAAAAATAAAATGTGTGTCGCATATGTGAATGTGGTGTGTTGAGTTTTTCACAGTTGAGGAGGAGTCTCCTTGTCCCTCACATGGCATGGTGGCATGGACCATTCACGCCAGCAGGCTGTATCCCCTGTCAGAGGCAGGGCTGGCTGTGGGTGGCAGCTGCACTCTGCTACCTGGGCTTCTGCATCTGCTCCTCCTTGAGCCGCTGCTCCCACAACATGCGATGTTCTGGCTTAAGCCGAACAGCTTCCTTCTTCGTTCTTGTTGAAACTGGCAGAAACCAAGAAAGAAAGCAGTCTCAGGCAATTGGCAAGTAGTAAGTATTGGGACTAAGAAGTATTTGGAGCCCTTGTGCTGGCAAGCCAATTGCATTGAGGCAGCCCCAGTCCCACTCAATTCTTGCTCACATTCCCCATGCCTTTTGGCATCATGCCTCATCACTACTGCTCCCCTAAGTGCTTCCAGATGCCCTCCATCAGGGGCTTCTCAGACTGAGAGCATTAGACTGCTGCCTCGCTACCAACGCTACTCAGAACCACAGTGTATTATATAAGACAGAGAAAAGCAGAGCTGCCCTGTGGGGTTAAGGGGCGGGGGCAGAGTAGATATGAGGCTGGGTATCCAAACCCCAGTGCAGCTCCAGGGAAGCCCCATTTGAAAATAGCTGCATAAGGCTAGTGATTAGAAACCCCAGCTCTAAAGCACAGGGAGGAAGAGGAGGATTGTAATCTGGAGAGGGTCAAGCTCTTCTAGGCAAGGCCAACCAGCTATTGTGAGTAAAGTAACTGTGTGTGTGTGTGTGTGTGAGTGAAGCAGGTGATATCGAACTGCTGGAGCTCCCCCTGCATTGCCAGAGCAGTTTTTTTTAGATATGTCCTCCAGACCCTTAGGGCTCCTCAGGGCACAATTTGAAAATCACAGACTTGTCTAGTCTCTTTTAATCCTGATACTCTGCAGACTGTTATCATCCCCACACAACGAAAGGTGAACCTGAGGCCAAAGCCCCACAGGTAGGAAGTGGCTGAGTCAGGAATGCTCCTTCCAAAGACAACTTTATTATCCTTCAGTAGAGACGCATACACTGCAGCAGCTTGAAGTAGGGAGGCTTCTGGAAACTGTGGGGATGAACCAAAAAGGAATCCTTTCCCATGCTGGGGAAGCCCACTCTGGCACAGAAACAAAGCAAATTATAGCTGTTGCGGAAACAGGCCAAACACGGCTGGCTGAGCCAGAAGTGGGGTTATTGCTCATCTCCTGGGATCCCATTGTGTGTAGGTCTCTTGTCCTCCCCACACCAAGCTCCGGGTCTCCTCACCCCCGTGCCAGCTGGGAGGCCCATAGGCTGCCAGGCATCTTGTAGAAACACACCAGAGCAGCCGCAGCTTCAGCTCTTCCCTCCCTGCCTTCCCTCCTGCCCCAGGGTGAAGGAGAGGGGGCTGGCCATGGGAGAGACCAGAAAACGAAGGGGAGAAATGGAAGCTGGTTTCCACAGAAAGAGATGGTTGGTGGGACCCGTGTCATATGTCAAGTTGGAGGAGCAAAGGCCAGTTGGGAGATGGCTGTGGCCTTTGTTGAAAGGTCTGCCTGGGAGCCAAGTTTCAATTTCTGGCTCCCTTTAGACAGGACCGGTTTCTCTAATAGCTCATTGAAAGGTGAGAGAAAAAGGAAAGAGCACACAAACTGACCCCTTTAAAAATATGGCAAAACCTAAAATGTCTTTGGAAATTTCAAGAAGTCCTTGAACAGAATCATAGTTTCTTTTTTTTTTTTCTTTCCCTGAGGAAATTCAGCATGGACCTGTCTCCCTCTTGTGGAATTAATTTTGCCTCTTGGTTGTACAGTGTTTAGTAAAATAAGAGGAAAACTTATGGGGACTTCCTGTTACCTTGTTTCTCCATTGTCTTTCTTTGTGCAAGAAAAGACAGCAGTATTGTAATTATCAAAGAAAAAGCTTTAATTTTCTGAAATGAACAAGCATTTAGAAATAAACTTTTAATCTAACACTTTATAGTAACAAAATTCTGCCTGTAAAATCTAGTGCTTAAAGATTTAGTTTTACTTAATTCTTCAACGTTAGACAGAATATCGTCTCCATTTTATGGTTAAGTGTCAACAAAAAGAGTCAAATTCTGTAAAATATTTGAAGACATTTATTCTGAGTCAAATATGAGTGGCCATGGCCCATGACACAGCCCTCAGGAGGTCCTGAGAACATGTGCCCAAGGTGGTCGGGGTGCAGCTTGGGTTCCATACATTTTTTGGGAGGCAAGAGACTTCAATCAAACACATTTAAGAAATACACTGGTTTGGTCCAGAAAGGCGGAACAACTCAAAGGTGGTGAGGGTTGGGGGGGCGGTCCAGTTTATAGGTAGATTTTAAAATTTTCTGGTTGACAATTGGTTGAGCTTATCTAGACCTGGGATCAACAGAAAGGAAATGTCTGGGTTGTAATAAGAGGTTGTGGAGATCAAAGTTTTATCATGCAGATGAAGCCTCCAGGTAGCCGGCTTCAGAGAGAATGAATTGTAAGTGCTTTTTTTGTTTTTTTGGTTTTTTTTTTGAGATGGAGTCTCGGAGTCTCACTCTGCTGCCCAGGTTGGAGTGCAGTGGCCCGATCTGGGCTCAACGCAACCTCTGCCTCCCAGGTCCTGCCTCAGCCTCCCGAGTAGCTGGGACTACAGGAGAAAGCCACCATGCCCGGCTAATTTTTTTTTGTATTTTTAGTAGAGACGAGGTTTCACTATGTTGGCCAGGTTGGTCTCGAGTGCCTGACCTCATGATCTGCCTGCCTCAGCCTCCCAAAGTGCTGGGATGACAGGTGTGAGCCACCGTGCCTGGCCTGTAAATGCTTCTTATCAGACTTAAGGTCTACATTGATGTCGATGCCAGTGAGCTATAATGAATGCTGTCCAACCCTCACTTCCTGTCCTGGCCTAAACCAGTCTCTCAGGTTAAATTTTAAGAGCACCGTGGCCAAGAAGGAAGTCCATTCAGATGGTTGGGGGGACTTAGAATTTTATTTTTGGTTTACATAAGGAAGGTAAAAGAAGGACCATGACAAAACTAAATTTATTTTTCTTTAGCCAAACTCCAAAGTTCTTTGCAGAATTGTTAGCAACAATGACACAAGACAACAACAGCTTGTTACAAAAGGTAGCTAGTCGGGCATCAGCAGGGCAGGAGAGGGCATCTCCCACTCACCAGGAATGTCAGGTGACCATTGGATGATGGTCAGGCAGTTGTCACAGTACCTCTCTAATATAATAATTGGTTGCAGCCAGCGCCAGGGAGAGGCAGTTTCCCAGTACATAAAAACCCCTGAAACTGGTAATGGGCAGCTTTCAGAAATTGGGCACGTGGTCTCGAGCATGCACGTTAAGAGGCAAAATGGTGGAGTATGACCTTCCCGGCATTCCACTGGAAAAGGGAGGAAAGCCTCAGGTGAGCATGCATACAACTCCAGTAAACACACCACGCGCTCACCTCCTAGGCACCAGTAGGCTACCTCGCATGTGGGTGGCTCACCTTAAGGGAAGAATCAAGGGAAAAAGGGATCACAACACCGGAAGTGAAATGCATATGAAATGCTAGGTTCAAGATCAAATGGGTCAGTTGACCTCCAAGTTGCCACTTGAGTCTCTTCCAAGTGTACTTTCCTTTCTTCTCTAAAGCTTTTCAGTAAACTTCCGCTCCTGCTCTGAAACTTGCTTCAGTCTCTTTTTCTGCCTTATGCCCCTCAGTTGAATTCTTTCTTTTGAGGAGGCAAGAATTGAGGTTGCTACAGACCCATAGGGATTTGCCACCTGTAACTCAGATAACTTCCACCAGTAACAAGCTGATATTTATTAGCATTTGCTTTTCGCAAAGCATTAGGCCAAGCACTTCACCTAAATTATTGATGTGGCTCTGATGAGTGGAGGAACACCAGGGCTCTTGTCTCACATCAAATTAGATAAGACACAAACACACGTGGAGTGGTTTTAAGGAGCGGAGAATTTAATAGGCAAGAAGGAGTAAGAAGGAAGGGAGAAGGAAAAAGCTCCCCTGTACAGAGACAGAGGGAGGGGGACTCCAAAGCCAAGAGAGGGAACCCCACTTGCCACGGAAACCAACCAGGTATATGAAGAGGCTGGAGGAGGCGATGTTTGATTTGCGTAGGGCTCAGGGGGTTGGTTTGACAAGGCATGTCATTCACATAGCCCGTGAAAAAAATGGCCCTCGTACCCTAGCCTTTTAATATGCAAATGCAGGGCACCATGATGTTCTACACATGTGGGGATAGATGGGGGCAGCCATGTTTCCAGGCACATGTGGGGCAAGGGCAAGAAGGCTGCAGGAATCACCATGTTGGGTGGACTCAGTTTCTAACGGCTGGCATTTGCTTATTAAAGGTTGCCAGACTGGCCATGTTGGGTGGACCCAGTTTCTTTTTTTTTTTTTGAGACGGAGTCTCGTTCTTGCCCAGGCTGGAGTTCAGTGGCACGATATCGGCTCACTGCAAGCTCCACCTCCCAGGTTCACGCCATTCTCCTGCCTCAGCCTCCCCAGTAGCTGGGACTACAGGCACCTGCCACGACGCCTGGCTAATTTTTTCTATTTTTTAACAGAGATGGGGTTTCACCATGTTAGCCAGGATGGTCTAGATCTCCTGACCTTGTGATCAGCCCGTCTCGGCCTCCCAAAGTGCTGGGGTTACAGGCGTGAGCCACCGCGCCTGGCCGGGTGGACCCAGTTTCTAATGGCCAGCATTTGTATATCAAAGGTTGCCGGCCTGGCTCTAAGAGCTGGGGCTTTACAAGAAACTTTTCCAAAGATGCTTTAAAAAATGAAAACTTTCCAAGGACGCTTTTTCCTCTCTATTTGCCTAAAATAATTTCTTAATAACTCCTACAACATTATCTTACTCTTTGCAATAAAATTACTGTCTAATTTTACTAGGAAACTGAGGCTTAAAGAGGTTAAGCAACTTGTTTAAGGTCACATAACCAATTGCTGAGGTTTAAGTTGGATTAATATCAATGATCCTAAATGGAGACTTAGGAACAAAGAATAACAGAAGCACGTATTAAATTGCTCTCTCAAATTCTGGCCTTCAGGAGATGAGCTGAGAGAGATGTAAATAATCCATAGGGTATTTTTTTTTTCCTTCTGTGACATTTTGAAAGATAATCAGCCTATATGTGGGGTGGATCATATTTCATAATTATTTGCAAGGTTAAATTAAACATTTAAACAGAATACTTTTGATAACACAGAGAAATTACTCGTGCTATGAGATGGGCATCGGGACTCCACTGTTAGGAGGTATGGAAAATGCCTCTTGTCAGGATTGCTCCATTACTGCTTCTAGCCACACCCATCTCATTGGGTGCGGGTTGGTAGTAGGACAGATATTACAAACCAGCATGATCAGGACATGACAAAACTTCATTGCTGATCCTAAAACCCCTGGGCTGGACAACAAGAAAGGATAGGGCAACAGAGGCACTTTTGAAACAAGTCGGTCTTTTAAATATTTACTATGGTGTCTTTGTCAATTTCCTATAAAATGTCATTCTGCTATTTTTGAACCAAATTTAGGTCTGCATACAAGACAGAATAAATAGATGCTGTTAGTGACCTCCATCAGACTGTGGAACCTTGACTGCTTTGGTGATTCTTTACCCCATAAATTTGGCTGTGAGTCAAGGGGAGCCATTCTTGTGACATCACCAACTCATCTTCTCTGTATCACCCTTCTTCTTCTGGGTACTGTTTGGTACAATGGAGAAGAAAGCACAGGGTCCAGTTGTTGATTTTTCTGAGCCAAAATAGCTGTTATTAATTGCCAGGAAGGAAACGTAAACAGAGCAATTCCAGAGGGGTTGGTGAAAGAGGCATCTTTAAGCATGTAGATGAAAATGAAAGCCTCGGCCAGGCGTGGTGGCTCAAGCCTGTAAGCCCAGCACTTTGGGAGGCTGAGGTGGGTGGATCACTTGAGGTCAGGAGTTTGAGATCAGCCTGGCCAACTTGGTGAAATCTCATCTCTACTAAAAATACAAAAAAATTAGCCGGGCGTGGTAGTGCGTGCCTATAATCCCAGCTACTCAGGAGGCTGAGGCAGGAGAATTGCTTGAACCTGGGAGACGGAGGTTGCACTGAGCCGAGATGGCGCCACTGCACTCCAGCCTGGGCAATAGAGTGAGACTCTGTCTCAAAAAAAAAAAAAAAAAAAGGAAAGAAAAAAAAGAAAATGGCATCCCCAGAGATAGAAGTTCACATTGATTCAGTATAAATATTGTGTTAAAGGGGTTTAGTTTTAGTCAATGGCTTGAACATAGCATATCAGGAAGATGCTTTTGGCACAAGAAGCCAAAAAATCCAAACTCACCTGGTTTAATAAGAAGGCCAATTTATTTTTCCTAAGAAAAAATAAGTGCTCAGGCAGCTGGTTTATTTAATTCAGAGGTGAAAGGATGTCATGAAGGATTCCATTTTTTTGTGTGTGTGTGTTCACTCTGCCATCTCATCTTGTCAGTGTCATCCCCTCGCTTGCCATACTCATAGATACAGGACAGCTGGCACAGCCCTAGGTGTTATGTGCAGACATGAAAAAGTCTAGAAGAAGAAGGGAGTCTCTCTTCTTTGAGCTTTTTTTTTTTCTTTCAAGAGTAAAGAAACCACTTTTTAACAACCCCCCAAACCCCGAGCAAATATTTGCTCATAGCCTATTGGTCAGAACTGGATCACATGCACATGCTTAATATGTGCCAGCAGGGAAGACTGCACCACCACAGTTGGCTTAGACCAATCAAGGTGTATCCCTGAATCTTGATTCAGGGGAGGGGAGTAGCCTCAGGAATGAATGCCTCTGACGTTATTTTTTAAAAGGAGCTGGGTGGGGGATGGCCATTGTGTTGGCAACCAAAAGTACCTGTTATATGGTTTGGGATATGTGTTGTGGGAAGTCAGGGACCCCGAACAGAGGGACTGGCTGAAGCCATGGCAGAAGAACATAAATTGTGAAGATTTCATGGACATTTATTAGTTCCCCAAATTAATACTTTTATAATTTCTTACACCTGTCTTTACTGCAATCTCTGAACATAAATTGTGAAGATTTCATGGACATTTATCACTTCCCAAACAATACTCTTATAATTTCCTATGCCTGTCTTTACTTTAATCTCTTAATCCTGTCATCTTTGTAAGCTGAGGACGTATGTCGCCTCAGGACCCTGTGATGATTGCGTTAACTGCACAAATTGTTCATAAAGCATGTGTGTTTGAACAATATGAAATCTGGGCACCTTGAAAAAAGAACAGGATAACAGTGATGCTCAGGGAATAAGGGAGATAACTATTAGGTCTGACTGCCTGGGAGCTGGGCAGGACAGTCATATTTCTCTTATTACTGAAAACGGGTAAGAGAAATATCACTGAATTCTTTCCCCAGTAAGGAATATTAATAATTAACAGCCCTGGGAAAAGAATGCATTCCTGGGGGAGCCTCTAAAATGGCTGCTCTGGGAGTGTCTGCCTTATGCAGTTGTAGATAGGGATGAAACACGCCCTGGTCTCCTGCAGCACCCCCAGGCTTGCTAGGATTAGGAAATTCCAGCCTGGCGAATTCTAGTCAGACCAGTTCTCTGCTCTTGAACTCTGTTTCCTGTTAAGATGTTTATCAATGACAATGCGTGCACAGTGGGACATGAAACTTCATAAGCAATTCTAGTTTCGCCCTGGCCTTGTGACCTTGCCCTGCCCATTTGCCTTGTGATATTTTATTGCCCTTGAAGCATGTGATCTCTGTGACCCACACCCTATTCGTACACTCCCTCCCCTTTGAAAATTGCTAATAAAAACTTGCTGGTTTTATGGTTCAGGGGGCATCACGGAACCTGCTGACATGTGATGTCTCCCTCGGACACCCAGCTTTAAAATTTCTCTCTTTTGTACTCTTTCCCTTTATTTCTCAGACCAGCCGACACTTAGAGAAAATAGAAAAGAACCTACATTGAAATATTGGGGGCTGGTTTCCCCAATATCTGGCACCCTGATAGATATGTGAGTACATGTACATATGTTTTCTTTTTTGAAAGGTCATTTCTTTTGGGGATCCTATTTATAATCTAGACCCCTTCTCAACAATTTGGAATGTAACTTGGCAGAAATAACCACCCGCAACACCCTATAGGAATTTTGAATGAAACACCTCTTAGTTAAAAAAAAAAAAAGAAAGAACAGAAAAGAAAAGAAACAAACCTCGTCAGAGTACAACTTTCTTGGCATTAGGAAATTATAAAGAATAAACAGTGTTTATTACTGATACTTTACATTCATTCTAACAATGGGCCTTCCCCAAGCAACTTTGCCAGCAGTCTCCAGACCAAAAAACAGAAGAAAGCCCATTTCATCTTTATTCCAAAATACATGTTTTAAATAATGTTCTCTAACTATAAAAGTAGTTATGTAATCCAAAAAACGAATATTTATCACACTACATATGTGTGCATGTATGCATGTGTGTGTGTGTTTGTGGAGAAAGAGGGAGGGAGAAGGGGGCAGAGGAAGTGGGGGAGGGGACAAAGTGGGGGAAGATGGTATATTGTTTAGGAAAAGTGCTTGATAAGTCTCTGGTATACAGACAATGAAGCTCCAGGGCACATTTAGAAGGAAACAACAGAGACAGTGCAATTGCCCTCCACGTGAAATGAACAGGAGTGTAGCTTTGGGAAGAGAAGAGAAGGGAGAAAAGAGAGACAATAAGAGGAGAGGAGAGCAGAGCAGCCAGGAAGAAAGCTACTGCTTGAATTCAATACGAGAGATTCCTACAGTAGGGCAGTTAGAGAACTTTTACAAACAATTTCATTTGAACTTGTGTTCCTGATATGTGATCTTCTTGGACACCCTAACTCTGTGTTGTCTAGCTTCATACCCTAAGGCTTCATGTGTTTGGGGAAAATAAAAAATGGCTGAATTCCATGCCTGCATCGAGGTGGAGGCAGGGGGTCGAGAAGTGCCATGGGTGATGACGTTTGCATGAGATCCAGTTTAATAGAAGAAACCTGACACCACAAGTGACAGTGACAAAGTACATCTCAGGATTCACAGGAATTTTGGAGAGGACCTCAAGCTCCCCATAAAATTTGGAAAGGTGTGAAAACAATTGTATTTAAATCTTAAAGGCAGGCGGTATCAGCTGATACCTGGGTTGCATTGATACAATTAAAAATAAATACCATGTCACTGAGCAGCTTTATGTACTTCCCCCCACATATCATAAGCATTTTCATGTTCTTGAAAATATATTCTATCTGAATCTGAATTCTTAAAAACTGTACTATGATTTATATCCTGTTCCCATTCAAAAACATAAAATGAAATTTTATAGGCCTGCTAATTTGGATGATAATGGAAGATATTTGTGCAGTTGTTATAAATTCATTTGGGTAGGTTTGGACAAGTATTTAATTTTTATTGTGTACCTATAAATAACTAAATGCTGAAATAGCCAATGAGTTGTCCTCTTGAATTTTAAGTAGTAAAATTGCATAAAATATGCCAAAACCTAAAAATAAATGTAATGTGCTGAGTTGAATTGATGTGGACAATTAAAACAGATTTGTTTGGTTGTTTTCCTTCTTCAAAATTGATTTTCCTCTTACTCCTGCATTATTCTTCAACTCTTGGATGTAAGAGTGAAGACACAGACTGAGTTTTCCTTATGCCATGAGGCTAGCTTACCCCTTTTTAAATTTTAATTAAAACAGATTTTATGGGTACATAGTAGGTGTATACATTTATGGAGTATGTCAGAGATTTTGATACAGGCATAAAATGTGTAATAATCACATCAGGGTCAATGGGGTATGTAGCTTACTTCTTTGTTTTTTCAAAACTGAGTATGGATGAATTTTCCTAACATACAAAGTTTTCATTTTTTTTTTATTTTTTTTTTTTGAGACGGAGTCTCGCTCTGTCACCCAGGCTGGAGTGCAGTGGCGCAATCTCAGCTTACTGCAACCTCTGCCTCCCGGGTTCATGCCATTCTCCTGCCTCAGCCTCCCGAGTAGCTGGGACTACAGGTGCCCGCCACTACGCCCGGCTAATTTTTTTGTATTTTTAGTAGAGACGGGGGTTTCACTGCATTAGCCAGGATGGTCTCGATCTCCTGACCTCGTG
Source organism: Homo sapiens (assembly GCF_000001405.40). Lineage (NCBI taxonomy): Eukaryota > Metazoa > Chordata > Mammalia > Primates > Hominidae > Homo > Homo sapiens. Next base: position 191,510,110 of record NC_000002.12, read on the forward strand.
ATCTGCCCGCCTCGGCCTCCCAAAGTGCTGGGATTACAGGCGTGAGCCACTGTGCCCGGCCTCTTCATTTGTTTTTAAGACAAAATATTGATCTTGAATATCAGCTGTTAATACAAGCAGATTCATGGACCTGTGATAGCAGGTATGAAAGCATCGAGCACAGCACTTGGCTCTTAACCAGGAGCTGAAGACTTGCTTCTCCCTTTCCTTTCTTCCCGTGACCTCTTCTGACATGTCCAGTTCGAAATTGCAATTTTTCTAACTTTGAGATTTAAGAAATTTTCTTAAACTTTATAAAAGAACAAATACAGACAACTGAAAACAAATTAACGCTTGGCTTTTTTTTTTTTTTTTTTTTTGAGACAGTGTCTCACTCTGCTGCCCAGGCTTGCCTAGGCTGAAGTGCAGTGGCGCGATCTCGGCACACTGCAACCTCCGCCTCCCAGGTTCAAGTGATTCTCCTGCCTCAGCCGCCTGAGTAGCTGGGATTACAGGCATGCGCCGCCATGCCCAGCTAATTGTTGTATTTTTAGTAGAGACGGGGTTTTTCCGTGTTGGCCAGGCTGTTCTCAAACTCCTGACCTCAGGTGATCTGCTCGCCTCGGCCTTCCAAAGTGCTGGGGTTACAGGCATGAGCCACCGCCCCTGGCCTAACACTTGACTTTTAAGGGGCCAATATCACTGTGATTCTAAAATTTAAGGAGATGTTAATGCCGGCCTCTGCAACTACACTTGGAAGATCCTTCCCAGGTAAGTGTTGTAACCAAATGTCTTCCACCTGTGGGTTAGAGACGCCCAGAGATTCTCTGGAAGGTATAGGGTGTCAGGGAATTATATGGGAATCAAATAGGTTTTGTAGTTGTGTGTATGTATGACTACCTGTTAAATATGTATAGATGCTATTGTAATTAATAAAATAAAATTCATTGAAAAGTATTGCTAAATTAATAGTAGCTGTTCATTTCTAGAAATTTCTTCAGTCAGTGAAATACTAGAAATAAAACTATTACTATGTGGCTGTGATCATCTCTTTTTATGTTTAAGAAAGGAGCTGGGCACAGTGGCTCACACCTGTAATCCCAGCACTTCGGGAGGCCAAGGTGGGAGGATAACTTGAGCCTAGGAGTTTGAGACCTGCCTGGACCACAAAGCAAGACCCAGTCTCCTCTCCCACTCTGCTGCCACCTACAATAAATTAAAAATTAGCTGGACTTGGCAGCATGCACCTACAGTCCCAGCTACTCTGGAGCCTGAGGCAGGAGGATCACTTGAGCCCAGGAGCTTGAGGTTATAATGCAATATGATCACACCATTTCTCTCCAGCCTGGGCAACAGAGGAAGACCCTGTCTCAAAAACAAACAAACAACAATACAGAAAACAATAAATGTTTATATAATAGCAAAAAAAAAAAAAAAAAAAATCCAAAACCCTAACAGTAGGGGGCTGGTAAATAAAAGACTGTACATTTTTTGCTGGGCAAAGTGGTTCACGCCTGTAAACCCAGCACTTTGGGAGGCTGAGGAAGGTGGATCACCTGAGGTCAGGAGTTCGAGACCAGCCTGACCAGCTGAGTAAAACCCCGTCTCTACTAAAAATACAAAAATTAGCCAGGCATGGTGGCAGGTGCCTGTAATCCCAGCTACTTAGTAGGCTAAGGGAGGGGAATCGCTTCAACCCAGGAGGTTGCAGTGAGCCGAGATTGCGCCACTGCACTCCAGCCTGGGAAACAAGAGTGAGACTTTTTTTTTTTTTTGAGACAAGAGTGAAATTCTTGTCTCAAAAAAAAAAAGTACATTTTTATAATTGAAATATTAGGCAGCCATTAAAAACTGTGTTGTAAGGTCAAATATCGAAAAACAAGGAAATATGTTAGCAGAATATTATTTATGGAAAAAAGCAGGTTGTAAATCAGTATCATGGCATATATGGGTAGATATCTAACAAATATGTATGTGTGTATATATATATATATCACATAGAATAAAAGGATGTCATAAGGGTATTGTTTGTCTCTGGGTAGTAGAAGTAGAGTTTTTTTCCTTTTCATTTATTTTCATGTTCTAACTGTCCTATAACTTCAGTTACAAGACAAAATTTAAATTTTAAGGGCCATCTTATGAAAGACTTTGCTATTATCCTATAAATAAATCAGTGTTTGTGTCCGTTGACCTTTTCAACCCACTAAAAAATGCTAAGGTTGTTTAATATTTTGGATGTGTGAGATGACACTGATGAGCTTTTGCTGGAAGCCCTCTCCCTCACCCTGTCTTCTGTGGCAGTCCAGTTAATGATGTGACTTGATGCGCTGTTACCATAACCCTGGAGAGAAAGCGCAGCTGGGCACTTCTTTCTCAGGAACAAGAGCGGCCTTCCCTAATGGCTGTAAGAAGATGTGGAGTCATCTAAGAGAAGTGTTGAGATAAAGAAACATCCTCTCTTACTCTAAACAACAATGGGTGCCTATACGGGTATGGGTAGCATGTATGTGCGGTGTCTTTCAGTATGGAAAATTGTAATTAGAGACACTGTTGCTCTGGGTGATAGTGAGCCATTACTGCCCTTTTCCCAAGCTTGCAGATGGACAGAATTACGTTGCCTTAATAATGAGACACTTAAGTGCCAGCTGTCATACAGCATGGCAGCCCTACATGCTAACAAAGCCTTCATTAAATGGTTTGCTCCCAATAATTTGCCTGCTCTTTTTGCCTTTCTAGCAACTGACAACTTGGCCCCTCCACCCCTCCTTCCAGACCTTCCGTGGACACCCTTAATCACTGCAAGAGCAGCCTGTGCCGTGCTTGGTGAGATGGTAATTTTTTTAATCCTACATGTCTTCATATTATTTTTATGCCCTGTTTCAAAAGTTTTTAAACGAGGTTGGTAGCTAACATTCTGAGCTATCATTCATTCCGTGGCAAAATAATAATTGCTAATTTTCTTCTTCAGAGAACCAGAGCTTTATCAGGAATAACATTATGCAAATCACTATGCAAATGCCAACCAGAAAAGTACAGTATCTGGAAAAAAAGTTCAGATAAAACCTTCAGAACACATCCTAAGTTGGCTGGAAAAAAGAACTGAACATTTTAAACTATAAGGTCACCATGGTAGCAAAGGGAATTTATTACTAATAAGAATTTTGCAAGAAAGCTCTGCACTTAAAATAAAAGAGGTAGGGCATGCCTTCATATTTATTCTAGCTTAATTTATTTATGACATTATGGTTGTCTTTGCCAACTGTTAAGTCCCCTTGGGGTGGGACTCTTCGTTGTTTGTGTGGTGTCTAATGGTTCAAAATGCTTCATGTTCAAACTTCTGAGCTTAAAAAAAATCCTCTATTTTTTCTACTTTCTATATATTTTCTTATCATTAGTATTTTAAACTTTCTCATGCTGAATCTTGTTGGAAGAAAGTTCATGGAAATACTATAGAGAAAAATGCTCAATTCTTTCAAAACATAACTTTTAAGGTATTGGTAAAGAAATTGTGTCTTTTGGGGAGGCCGAGGCAGGCAGATCACGAGGTCAGGAGTTCGAGACCAGCCTGGCCAACATGGTGAAACCCCGTCTCTACTAAAAATACAAAAATTAGCTGGGCATGGTGGTGGGTGCCTGTAATCCCAGCTACTTGGGAGGCTGAGGCAGGAGAATCATCTGAACCCGGGAGGCGGAGGTTGCAGTGAGCTGAGATCATGCCATTGTACTCCAGCCTGGGCGACAGGGTGAGACTCACAAAAAAAAAAAAAAAAAAAAAAGAAAAGAAAAAAGAAAAAAACAAATTGTGTCTTTAAAAACTATACATTATTCCTCAGGACACACCCCTTGAAACACCTGGAAAGAAGCCTGGTTTCAGCATAAAAGGAACTCCAACACTGTTTATTTCACGTGTGAGATATGCGTATATTCAATGACCAAATAAAGGAAAAGTTATTATTTAGTAAGCTTTTTGGTAATAAACAGGAACTTTTAAATTTTATTCTGTCTTTTTAAAAGACCAATTATTTAAATTTAAGAGAAGAGTATTTGAAAGGCCTTCACTTTAAAATTTACATAAGTAAAATATATACCCAAATCTGACCAATATGATAGCCAGAGGAAAACAAAACCCAAAGGCCTGCCAGGCATGGTGGCTCATGCCTGTAATTCGAGCACTTTGGGAGGCCGAGGCGGGCGGATCACCTGAGGTCAGCAGTTTGAGACCAGCCTGGCCAACAAGGTGAAACCCCATCTCCACTAAAAATACAAAAATTAGTCTGGCGTGGTGGCACATGCCTGTAGTCCCAGCTACTTGGGAGGCTGAGGCAGGAGAATCGCTTGAACCTGGGAAGTGGAGGTTGCAGTGAGCCAAGATTGCACCACTGCTCTACAGCATGGGCGAGTGAGACTTCGTCTCAAAAAAAAAAAAAAAAAAAAAAAAAAAAAGGAAAAAACCCAAAACAAACAAACAAAAACAAAATCCGAAGGTCTTTTTGCTTTAATATCTCACTTGCCCTGACCTCAAATCCCCAACATAAAATCCCTTTCTATGATGCAAATCTTCTGTCAGAAGGTGTGGACATACTGCACTAGAGTCAATCAAGCTGGGCTGCCCACATCTGAATCATGGGGTGCTTACTGAAAAACGCAGATCCTTGGGCCCCACCCAGCTCTACCGAGTCAGGACCACTATGTCTGTGTGGCCTGAGATTTGCATTTTCAGCAGAGTCAGCACTCTAAAGTGCTAATATTATACCATGAAAAATTAGGAAGGGCTAATTTATGAGTTCCCTTATAGAGGCCCCTTCAGGAAGGAGACAAAGAAGAGTTTTATAACGGGAGGGTAGGGGTGGTGGCAGGGGGCGATGGGCCTCAGGGAGAGTTCAGAGATGGAAAGGGGATCAAACATGGAAAAGATAGAAGGTGGAAGCTCTTGAAGAAAACTTCAGCGACTTAACTCCTTTGTCCAAGGCTAGACAGCCACAGAACTTCCTGGGGTGATAGAGCTCTGTACCCCACATCCCCAGGCTTTGGTGTCTCATGACACTGAACAGAACCCCAGCTACTACCTACATTAATTAACAACTGTGAGCCTCAGTTTTCCCATATGAACTGGGTATAAAGTAGAGTTTTGATGAGGATTAAAAGTAACTCAACCAGGAAGATAATTTAACATGATGGTTAAGGGTGTGGTTTTGGAGTTGGGCTTCCAGGCTTCATGTCCCAGCTCCAGCATTTACTACTTGTGTGACCTTGGCAGGTTATTTAAACTGTTTGCACCTCAGTTTCCTCATCTATTTACTGATGCTAAAAAAATTAATATATAGCCCTTTTTTATATAATAAAAAAATTAATATATAGCTAAAAAAATTAATATATAGCAGTTGGGGGGAGTAGGGGTTAAATGAGAAAATACATGTTACAAATCTGTAACAGTACCTAGCATATAATGAGCAAGTCAATAAATGTTACCACCTCTCATCATTATTTCATATATAAAGCAGCTGGCACCTGGTGGGAATTTAATAAATGATAGCTATTATTAGTAGAAATAATCACTCCTGGCTTCAAGACAGGCCAAAACCCTATTACATAATCCTGGCTGAGTCCCCATGCCTTGTTCGTAGTCTGTCATAACAGTGCCATTGAGGTTATTTGGGATAACATGTGGTTAGGACAGTTATTGTGCAGTGGTATATGCACATATAACTGAGCAGAGAGGTTTCTGAATGTTTTATGAAGGTGTGTGGGTGGAGGGGTCGAGTGCCCTGGGGAAGCTGCAGGAGCCTCTCTCCCTCCTTCTGCTTGGAGAACCTGGCAGCTGTCGCAACAGCAACAGCAGAGAGATGGACCTTTTGGAAAGTAATGGACACACTAGAAAAATATTTGAAAATCCATGACCTGTACTTATTTGATTCAAAGCCTATCATAGGAAAAGCCTATCACATTCCCTCAGGAATCTGTTGTTGTTATTTGCCTGCTCACCACAGCAAAGACTACTTCTTTTTCAAGACTTGAAACAATTATAATATATGTATATTTTTTTCTGATGGGCACTGTGTTTTAAGCTCTCTGTTCTTAAAATTTACAAATTTGTATTTGCTGCCCAGTTCTTTATTCTTTGTTGCCACATAAATCCTGCAATCTTGGTAGAAAAATAAAGAATACAGGAGAGCTGTTTGACCTTTGCTCCTTGCTGGGCATTGGTGTCATTTATAGTTATTAGAGTGGGGACAGAACGGAACTCATTGATGACTGAGCGGGTGGGGAGAGAAGGAGGAATGGCAAGCGGGGAAGGGAAAGGAGAGGGAGGAGAACACAGATTACTACAAGAATCTCATGTTGTGCTTTCACTTTGGGCAAGTATAACACTAGTAGTCCTTTGTGGGAGCTCGAAAAGGCACATGGGGGAAATAAGTCTCTGGAATAAACAGTATGACCTTGGCTGCATGGCTCTACTAACTTGGTTTTGCAGAACTGAGATAAATGGATACTAGTGAATTTGCATCAATTCCATTTAAGGCTTTAAAAAGACATATGGATAACATTATTGGCTACAGACCCTTAAGAAAACTAAGGTAAGTTCCTCTCAAGGCTCAAGCTAAGTCTTGTAGCGGGTAAAAATAGAAAGCCTTAGGCTGAAAAGCTGAAGGTCTCTATGTTACCATTGCTGAACCATTGGTTTACTGGGCAGTAGGGCTGGGGATCAATCTAAAAACCTGTCAAGCATGGTTCTTTTTAAAAATAAAACAAGGCCAGGTGCGGTGGCTCACGCCTATAATCCCAGCACTTTGGGAGGCTGAGACAGGTGGATCACTTGAGGTTAGGAGTTCAAGGCCAGCCTGGCCAACATGGTGAAACCCCATCTCACCTAAAACTACGAAAACTAACCTGGCATGGTGGTGTGCGCCTGTAATCCCAGCTACTAGGGAGGCTGAGGCAGGAGAATTGCTTGAACCCAGGCGGTGGAGGTTGCAGTGAGCCAAGATCGCACCACTGCACTCCAGCCTGGGTGACAGAGTGAGACTCCATCTAAAAATAAAATAAAAATAAATAAATAAACACATAAGTAAAACAGACAGCCTGCTTGTTCTCATGGAATACATGACAACAGTAAGCAAACGTAAAAATGCACAGCATAAACCACAAAAATTTTAATTAATAAAAAATGTAGTAAGAGAGGAAGTAAGAAGACTTGCTGTCAGTGTAAATATTCTAAAAACAGTGCTTCTTTAGATCAGGCTAAAATTAATGTCACTACTAAAGTTTCAGACAACTTAGTAATTTGGGCTAAGAAATATTTATTGAGCACCTACTTTGTGCTGGATACTGTGCTATACCATGGGTATATAGTGATAAACAAGGAGATAGAGGCTGGCTTCAATGTAAGGACCTTACACTCTAGTGGGAAAGATTAAAAAACAAACAAACAATGATGCAAATGCAGGACCCATAATGCAAGAGTACATGGCACTTAATAGGTGTCACTTTGGGAGCCCTCTACTGATAGCTACAGAGAGTGTAAGCTGTTTTCGAAGAATTAATGATCAGAGAGATCATCTTGAAGACAGCATTTAAGTTGGACCTTAAAGGAAGCTTAAAACTTCAACAAAGATGTGGAGGGGAAGTTCTTCTCAAATGAGGCACAGCAATGGTGGATACCTCTGCTTAGCTGGGCTGCAGGGTGTGTTTATGAGAGAAGTGAGATGCCAGCTGGTGTTACATTGAGTGGTTTGGACTTCATGGAGAAATACTGAGCCACCAATATTTTTGAGCAAGAAAGTGACGTGATCAAAGAGATAATTTAGGAAGCATAATCTGGTCGAGTTGGGCAGAAGGATTGTCAGGAAGGGGGTTGGAGGCTGGAGATCAAACAAAAGGGTGAAGTCAGAGGCTCAGTGGGAATGATCCAGTCCAAATAGGATATAATCCATTGAAACAGAAATGAAAGAAACTGTTAATAGTCAAGTTTTATGGTTTAGAAACTAAGATGTTAGTAAAGAAAGTATTTGATTACCAGCTTGACAGTGTCTAGGTAGCTTTGCTACATTCTGAGACTACAAACTGCTTGCTCCAATCAACTCAGTAAAAATAACTGCATTTCTAATATTTTTATTGTTCAACTAGATCCTCTGTGACAGCATCTAAGGGGAGCATAAACCAAAACCTAAAAATACATGCATACCATTTAGTCTGTTTTAGGAACATTTTTGTACTTGTGTGTGTGTGTGTGTGTGTGTGTGTATTCAGTAATTTCTGGGCGAGGAGCTTAGGTAGAACAAATCAATTTGAAAATGGCAATGTTAGCCTTGCCAAGGTTGGCTTTTTAAGAAGATTATGAACCATTATTTGGGAGGTTATTCTATTTTTTTTCCTGAAGTACAACTTCTTATTCCCGAGGAAAAATATTAAACATTCTGATAATGAATTATGTGACAGACGAGACTTACAGCAAGCTGTTCTGCAATTCGTGCCACAGGAGAGTGCTGTTACCTGTGAACAGTCTGACAGACTACAGGAAGAACTTGGCTTAAGTCTCTCAAAGAAAGAAAGAAAGAAAGAGAAATTGGAAAATGAAGTTTGAGATACTGGCTTTAACTTACGATAATAATGGGTATTCAAAATGGAAAAGAAAACTTGGAATTTTGAGAGGTGTGGAAGGGAGAGTTTAAGCATATGATACAGGCTACTTCAATATATATCATTCCTTATTCATTGATGCTGTTGTTCCCCTCTTTTCTCTACAAAGAGTTACAAACAAGAGAAAAATTAAAGAATTGACAACCAGGGCTTAGCCACTTGGTCATAGTCCATTGTGCGAGCATATGCTCCATATAATATTTATGAAGGATGATATTTGTAATTGGTAGGAAAATGATCTAGGGTGCTGCTATGAATTAGAAGGTGCATGTAATTAGGGATCTATTTCCCTGAGCAATTATCATTTTACAGGTAAAGGTCTGGTCTGTAATCTGAGGTCATTAACTCTTAAATACAATGCTGCTAAAGAAGTCTTCAGAGTTTTCACTCTCAAAGAGGCTGTCTTGAATCCTTCAATTTAAATACGGCTTTCCTCCCATTGTGCTCTTTTTTTTTCTTTTTTATGTGTCAGATGTACTCTCTTTTCTAGAAAAGAATTATCTATTACTCATACTATTTGCTTAACTCTCTCTTTTCCAGTTAGTTGATAAGTTTCATGAGGCTCTATATCTAGTCATCTAGCTGCGACCTCCTCTCTGAGCTTCATATTTCTTTTCTTTTCTTTTCTTTTTTTTTTTTTGAGACAGAGTTTTGTTCTTGTTGCCCAGGCTGGAGTGCAATGGCACAATCTTGGCTCTCCGCAACCTCCCCCTGCCGGGCTCAACAATTCTCCTGCCTCAGCCTCCCGAGTAGCTGGGATTATAGGCACCTGCCACCACGCCCGGCTAATTTTGTATTTTTAGTAGAGAAGGGGTTTCTCCATATTGGTCAGGCTGGTCTGGAACGCCCGATCTCAGGTGATCCGCCCGCCTCAGCCTCCCAAAGTGCTGTGATTATAGGTGTGAGCCACCACACCCGGCCTGAGCTTCATATTCTACATCCAGCTGCCAACTCAACTTTTCCACTTGGATATTTAATAATCACCTCAAATTTATCATGGCCCAAACAACCCCTCACCCCAAGCAAACCTGCCTCTCCCGCAGACTTCTCAGCTGCAAACCCAGTAGCCATCACTGACTGCTCTGTCCTTCACACGCTATGGCTAGCCCATCAAGAAAGAAGTCCCTGTCACTCCAACCTTCAAATATGCACTGAGTCTACCTGCTTCCCATCATTTCCACTGCTACAATCCTAGTACAACCACCATTTTATCTCTGCCATTACCTTTGCACTTGCCTCCTTGGCAGAGGGATACTTTAAAAGGGGAATCAGTTCAAACAGAGGGATACTTTAAAAGGGGAATCAGTTCAAACCATTTCCCTGCTTAAAAAACTCCAGTGGCTTCCTATTACAGTCAGAGTAAATTCTAAGCCCCTTACCCAGTCTGCCAAGACTCTGTGGTATCTGACAGCATCTGTCACTTTCTCCTTTATTCACTTCGGTGGGCCAGTTGTAATAGCCTTCTTTTAGATTCTTAGAGAAGCACAGAGCCCTTGCAAGCTTCTTTGTAGAACTTTCTCCAGATCTAGTCTGCCTTATTTGCCATAGTATCTCCAGTACTAGAAAGAGTGGCTAGAATGTGGGAGACACCAGGCCGGGCACGGTGGCTCACCCTGTAATCCCACCACTTTGGGAGGGTGAGGTGGGCGGATCACCTGTGGTCAGGAGTTCAAGACCAGCCTGACCAATGTGGAGAAACCCTGTCTCTACTAAAAATACAAAATTAGCCAGGCATGGTGGTGCATGCCTGTAATCCCAGCTACTCAGGAGGCTGAGGCAGGAGAATTGCTTGAACCCGGGAGGCAGAGGTTGCGGTGAGCCCAGATCACGCCATTGCACTCCAGCCTGGGCAACAAGAACAAAACTCCTTCTCAAAAAAAAAAAAAAAAAAATGTGGGGGACATCAGTACTTGTTGGCTAGAGGAATGAATAAAATTAGCATTGTGGAAGTCAAATATTATAGTCAAAGTATTATCAAGACCAGGGCAAATCCAGATCACCTAGAAAACTGAGAAAAATGGAAGAAGGAGATGTTATATATATGAGAAGAGATATATATATATGAGAAGGTTTATACAGAAGATATGTCTTAATATGATAGGAATCCATTGTATTCTAGAGATTATGTTATCATAAGAAACAATATACTAACAGTTTTCATAATTCTTTAATGATAATACTGAAACATTCCTTAAGACAAGAAGAGGTAATATTTAAAAGTACATTCTAAGTCCATTTGTGCCTGATTTTTGCGTAGACGACTCATAATAACAAGTATTTTGCATATAAATTTGAATGTGGGAAAAGTATAGGGGCATTGCAAATGAGAAATGTGACTATTCAGTGAACGTTTGAATGCGTACTGATGTAAATGGTGACAGCATACAAGACCACTTTCCAAATCAAGCCCCAAGTCAAATGCCTTTTTAAATGAAATTAAATGTAAACAAAATACTAGTTGCAATGTTGGACAACAAAATTATATAATTAATCTTCCACCTTAGGCTATTTCTTTGTCAATAGCACAATCTTCTACTCTTTCACAAAGGTCTGACAATTGACTTCTTCTATGGTTGAAGAAGGCCTGTTACCAAATGAGCAAGCCTATTTATTGTAGAATTTAATTCAACTTTCTTGCTTGCCCATTAAGAAACACATACAGAAAACTTTCATAAAGAAACCTTTTAACTTTTCTTCCCTAAGGATTGCTATTAAAAAGCACACCAAAGCAAGGAAGATTTGAGCTATTTTAAAATATGTAACCCATAGTAATGAATTAATTACCATATAATACTTAAAGCTTTGATTATTCGTACATGAGAGCTTCCATTATTAATGATTGCTTATGAAATTAATCTTTCTAATTTCCATTATGATTCAAATTAACTTGATTAGTTGGTCTCATGATTCACATTTCTATCAACCTCTACTTTTAATTTCTGAAGCATGAAATGACATAAAATGTCTTTGGGGGGAAAAGCACTTAAAATTAAGATTTTACTTTGATGTAGTAAGTAAATGAATTGAATTAGATGAATAGCAATTGAACTTTGTTTTCATTCACACACTGTCCTCTGGTGTTTAAATGTCTACATTGCATGTTAAAATGAGAACCCAAGATCAAATGCAAAAAGTTAATAGCTTCTTGCACTTAGGAAGGTCCGTTTAACTTTGTGTTTGGTCTAATAATTGTCTGCCCTATCAAGATTGTGAGTAAATGGATAAAAAATTCAAATGACTTGATAAAAACTAAGCTCAGTGCTTTCTAATAATACAAACTGCAGGTTTATAGAACATATATTTATGCTGACAGGATACAGACTACCTTTTTAAAAGTGCACATGGAGATTTCTTTTAAAGTGAAATCATTCAGTACTAAAGAGTTCACTTCATTTCCCCCCTACATTTTCTCACTTAAGACTCTTCACTAGAGGTTTTGACAAAGGAGAATTTAGTGATGGTCTAGTGCAGCCATCAGGAGCAATTAGGCCCTGAATCAGGGCTTCGTGCTCATTTTGGAATTCTGTAATCCTAGCAAATATTTCCCAATTGCTTTAATTTGATCATTTTTTCCAACACCTTCTCTCTCTTGATTTAAATTGAAACCAGAGTTAAAATTTTCTTAATGTTTTTTGTTTCAATTTAGTTTACAATTTATATATGTGTGTGTGTATATATACACACACACATATACACACATATACATATGTACATATAAATACACACACACACACACACACACACACACATATACCTTACATGTCTCATTTTAAATCTTTTGGATTGGCTGGAGTCTGGGCTTGTGGATTTCATTGTTTTTTAATTTTTTGAGCAGTCTTTTGCCCCATTGTCTTCTAAGTGATGACTGTAATCATGCTGCCTTTTCAAATGTCATGAATCTAATTTTATTTGTTTAGTAGAGTTGACTGAGGAAGCCTGGTGAGGTCCATGACCAGGGTCTGGAAAATGATAAATGTTAGCCTCAGGGAATTTATCATTTTATGACAATATGTTCACTGAGGGAAAGTCATTCCAAGTAATTAGCATGATGCCGTCAGGGAAAAGCTACTTTTTGAGAGCAATGATTTTTTTTTTGCAGGTAAACGTATTTATCTGAAGCTGGAAGAACACTTTCAGACATAATGGGAGCATTCCCTCATGGAGCATGAGGGTGGCCTAAATGACCTTGTAAGTGATTGTTGACACGAGGAGTCTGTGACCCAGAATATGGTTTTATAAATTTCCCACCGCAGGGCACTGATGAACGACACCCAGCAAAACCTGGACACGTGATCTCCAAAACATGGGAAATTTACGCTTGGAGTGATTTATGCCCAGGAAAATTAGGACTAGCAATCATTTGATGCTGGTTCTTGGAGGACCTTAAAGGATTTAAACACTGAAAAATGAATGCATCATACAGGTCACTGCCTCAATATATTACAGCCCTGAAAATTACACTGGGATGTTCTGTTTTTGAAGTCTCATGAGGGCAGAGGGCATCCCTGGCTTTGCCCACTATCAAATTCACTGCACCTAGCAAAATGTCTGGCATGTAATAAGCATTCAATAAACATTTGTTGGAGGACTGGATAGTGAAATTTGGCATGGTAAACCAAAACTATTCAGATTATAATATTTTAAACTTTCCACTATTGATTATCTATCTTTTGTCTGTCTGTCCATCCATCCATCCATCCATCCATCCATCCATCCATCCATCCTTATATCTAGAAAAAAGACTACTCTGAAATTTGTGAGAACTAATATGAATGGCTTCATTTTTTATAAATAAAGGACTTACACCGGTCAGGCGCAGTGGCTCATGCCTGTAATTCCAGCACTTTGGGAGGCCGAGGCGGGCAGATAGCTTGAGCTCAGAAGTTTGAGGCCAGCCTGGCCAACAGGGTGAAACCTTGACTCTACTAAAAACACAAAAATTAGCTGGGTGTGGTGTCTTAAGCCTGTAATTTCAGCTACTCAGGAGGCTGAGGCAGGAGAATCATTTGAACCCGGGAGGCAGTGTTTGCAGTGAGCTGAAATCGCTCCACTGCACTCTGGCATGGGTGACAGGGAGAGACTCCATCTCAAACAAACAAACAAGCAAGCAAACAAACAAACAAACAAAAAACTTACTAAAGTCTTTAGCTAAAGACTCAACAAAGAAGTTTAAGAACAATGCCTGCTGCCTGACTGGCATGGATGAAGTCACTGTGGCTTGAGGTCTGGTCCTCAGCTTGACAGATTCAGATCCTGGATTTTGTGGCTCAATTGCTGATGTTACTATTACCTCAAAAATTTGCTATTACTACCAATAATAGGTTTTTGTTTGTTTGTTTTTTTTTTTTTTTTTTTTTTTTTGAGACAGGATCTCACTCTGTCACCTAGACTAGAGGGCAGTGGTGTGACTGTAGCTCACTGTAACCTTGAATTCCTGGGCTCAAGTGATCCTCCTGCCTCAGCCTCCTGAATAGCTAGGACTACAGTTGCATGCTACCATGCCCGACTAATTTTTAAAAAATTATTTGTAGAGATGAGGTCTCACTGTGGTTACCCAGGCTGGTCATGAACTCCTGGCCTCAAGTGATTCTCCTGCCTTGGCCTCCCAAAATGCTGGGACTACAGATGTGAGCCACAATATCCACCTAATAGGTACCATTTATTAGGGGTTTAATAATCTGCCAGGCTCAGTGTCTTAAATCTATCACCTTATTTTATCCTCACAACAACTTCCTGTGATCAATTTTATCATTGCTATTTTTTTTTTTTTTTTTGAGATGGAGTTTCACTGTTGTTGCCCAGGCTGGAGTGCAATGGTGTGATCTTGGCTTACTGCAACCTCTGCCTCCCGGGTTCAAGCAATTCTCCAGCCTCAGCCTCCCAAGTAGCTGGGATTACAGGCATGTGCCACCATGCCTGGCTAATTTTGTATTTTTAGTAGAGATGGGGTTTCACCATGTTGGTCAGGCTGGCCTTGAACTCCTGACCTCAGGTGATCCTCCCACCTTGGCCTCCCAAAGTGCTGGGATTACAGGCATGAGCCACCGCACCCGGCCATCATTGCTCTCATTTTTATAGATGAAGAAACTGAAGTTCACAATGGTTAAGTAATTTGCTCTAAATTACACAGCTATACTGAAATAAAAACAAGAAAGCCAATCTTACAATAAAAAGAATAGAACTTAGGTATTACAATAAAGACATTTTAAGAAATACTTTCAATATAGTCAGAGAAAAAGAAACACCAATTCAAGGTTACAAAAATTGTAGTTTAGCTTAAATATCCAGTCTTCTCAGTGTGTCTCTGTGACTACAAACCCAAAAATCTACTTCATGAATGTGAAGCCCCGGTTCAGTGGCTACCTCTGCCTCTCGATAAGTCGTGGGATATTAACTGTTTCGGAAAAGGCAGCCCTGAATCTTCCTTCGCTACTGGAAGGCCACTGACTGCTTCCCTGTCACTGCTGTAACTTCTCAGTCCTTTATTCTGGCCAGACTGGGTATGGACCCCAATCTTTGATTAGCTTTAGCAACACTGTGGAGAGTAACATGAGTTGGATAATGTGGCTTGCCAGATACTGTTTGCATGCTTGAGCTTGGAGCCATCAGTAGGAATGTGGTGTAGATTCAGTCTGGGCCTGTCTCTTTGTTCAACTTTCCTTAACTCTTACTATTTAGGAGGACGCTAAGCACTCTAACCCCAGGCTTATTGTATTAGGAACCCCCTGGGTTTGGGTTCAAGTATCTTTATTTAAAAGCTTCCCTAAAAGACTCTTATTTTTTATTTTTTTATTTTTTAGACAGAGTCTCGCTCTGTCACCCAGGTTGGAGTACAGTGGCACAGTCTTGGCTCACTGCAACCTCCGCCTCCTGGATTCAAGTGATTCTCCAGCCTCAGCCTCCCAGTAGCTGGGATTGCAGGCGTGTGCCACCACGCCCAGCTAATTTTTATATTTTTTAGTAGAGATGGGGTTTCGCCATGTTGGCCAGGCTGGTCTCGAATTCCTGACCTCAGTTGATCTACCTGCCTCAGCCTCCCAAAGTGCTAGGATTACAGGCGTGAGCCTCCGCGCCTGGCCAAGAGACGATTATTCTAAGTGAGGTAACTCAGGAATGGAAAAACCAAACATCGTATCTTCTTGCTGTTATGTGGGAGCTAAGCTATGAGGATGCAAAAGTATAAGAATGATACAACGGACTTTGGGGACTTGGGGGCAAGGGTGGAAGGGGGACTATAAAAGACTACAAATGGGATACAGTGTATATTCCGTGGGTGATGGGTGTACCAAAATCTCACAAATCACCACTGAAGAACTTACTTATGTAACCAAATACCATCTGTACCCCAATAACCTATGGAAAAAAATTTTTCAGAAAAAAAAATGAAAGCTCCCTCAAGGATTCAGAGCAACTAGATTGTGGAAACACAAGTTAAAAACCTTGAAATCCAGGCCTGAAAGAGTGAGGTCAAGGGACAGAGTGGGGAGAGAGCAAAGGTGTCCCCTGCAACACCACCACCCCTGCCTAAGACATACCCAGTTACCTAACAGACACCTTCCTCTTTCTGTGATGACTGACACCAGGAGGCTCCCTCCCTCCAGGGAGACCAGACTAACCAAGACCTAAAGTCATCTTTACTCACAACACCATTCATACAAACACTTCTTTGGGAGAAAATCATACAATGACCGTCATCATAATAGTCACTGACCACTTACTCTGTGCCTGGCATAGTCTAAGTGCTTACAGATATTATCTCAATTAATAGACTATATATGTATCTATATTGATATATATGATTGTATACATAGATTATTATACAGAGATACACGGATTATGTAGATATAATAACTTATGTGAGGTCAGGGTAGGGTTTTGGGTAGGGAGAGAAGTTGTTTTGAGACACTAAATAATGAAAAATAACACTATTTCCTTGTTTGTTTCCTTTTTATGTGCCTCCCACTACACTTTGAGAATAGTGAGCTCAGGGACCATGTCTGTCTTACTCACTGCTCTATACCATGTGCATATTGCAGTGCACGGCACACTGGAGGCCCAAAGATATGTATCAAATGCATGAATAAAAGGGAACTAAAATGCTGATAAAAAGTGTACTTTTACACTGATAAAAAGTGTATTTTTTGTGAGAAAACCTAAATGGGAAACCAGATTACATTCAGATTCAGAGCAAAGAAGGTTATTTGGAAGATACTGTTGGCTGGTAGCACCACACAATGATGCCATCCATCTCTTTGACCATTTCTGCTAAGAGGGATTGTGATCAGCGCACCCTCTTTCCTGAACATAAATGTGTTTTTGTTTTGTTTTTAAATAACAACTTTATTTACATACTACACAATCTACCCCTTTAAATTGTACAATTCAGTGGTTTTAATATATTCACAAAGTGACACACCCATCACCACTCTCTAATTCCAGAACGTTTTCATCACCCCAAAAAGTACCCCTTAGCAGTCGCTTCTTATTTGCCCTTCCCCTCAGCCCTTGGCAACTACTAATCTCCTTATTGTCTCTATGGATTTGCCTATTTTGAACACTTCATATAAATAAAATTATATATGTTCTTTTTTGTCTGGCTTCTTTTTGAACTTAGCATAATGTGTTCCAGATTCATTCATGTTGCAGCATGAATCAGTACTCCATTTCTTTTTATTCCCATGTACTATTCCATCATATTGACATACTGCATGTTGTTTATCCACTCTTGAGTTGATGGACATTTGAGTTGTTTCCAATTTTCAGCTACCATGAATAGTGCTGCTAAGAACATTCATTCACATATGAGTTTTTGTGTGGACATGTATTTTCATTTCATTTCTAGACATGGAATTGCTGGGTCACATGTAAAACTATAGGAACTATCAGACTGTTTGGTAGAGTGCCTACATCTTCTTAACAATCCCATCAGCAATGTATGAGTGTCCAATTTCTCCACATACTTTTTTTTTTTTTTTTTTTTGAGACAGAGTTTCGGTCTTGCCACCCAGGCTGGAGTGCAACGCCATGATCTCCGCTCACTGCAACCTCTGCCTCCCGGGTTCAAGCAATACTCCTGCCTCAGCCTCCCAAGTAGCTGGGATTACAGGCATATGCCACCACGCCCAGCTAATTTTTGTATTTTTACTAGAGATGGGGTTTTGCCATGTTGGCCAGGCTGGTCTCAAACTCCTGACCTTAAGTGATCCGCCCACCTCAGCCTCCCAAAGTGCTTGGATTACAGGCATGAGCCACCTTGCCCAGCCACCATATACTCTTCATTACTTGTTATTATCTTTTTAATTTCAGCCATCCTAGTGGTATCTCATAGTGGTTTTATTTACATTTCTCTAATAAGTAATGGCATTGAACATCTTTTCATGTGATTATTGGCCACTTATATCTTCTTTGAAAAAACATCTATTAAATCTTTCATCCTTGGCCAGGCGTGGTGGCTCACCCTGTAATCTCAGCACTCTGGGAGGCCGAGGCAGGCAGATCATGAGGTCAGGAGTTCGAGGCCAGCCTGGCCAACATGGTGAAACCCCGTATCTACTAAAAATACAAAAAATTAGCCGGGCATGGTGGTGGACACCTGTAATCCCAGCTACTTGGGAGGCTGAGGCAGCAGAATCACTTGAACCCGGGAGGTGGAGGTTGCAGTGAGCCAAGATCGTGCCATTGCACTCCAGCCCGAGCGACAGTGCAAGACTCTGTCTCAAAAAAAAGTCCTTCATCCATTTTGTAGTTGTATTATTTGTCTTTTTATTGTTGAGTTGTAAGTGTTCCTTATATATTCTGAATGCGTTATTGAGTTTATGATTGCAAATACTTTTCCCCATCTTATGCATTGTCTTTTCACTTTCTTGGTGGTATCCTTTGAAGCATGAAAGTTTTAAATTTTGATGGTGTCAAATTAATTAAGCTTTTCTACTGTTACTTGTACTTTTGGTATTGTTCTTAAGAAACCATTGCCTAATCCAAAGTCAAAAAAATTTACGCTTATGTTTTCTTTGGAAAGTTGTATCATTTTAGCTTGTACATTTAGGCCTATGATTGATTTTGAGTAGATTTTTATATATGGTATAAACAAAAGTGGTTAAACTCACGGAATTCTTTCTTGCTGAAACTTCCAGGCTCAAAGTGGACCTTTTTTTTTTTTTCTTTTTTTCAGTTTACCTGATCTTTCTTCAGATCTGCAAATCTCTTTTACAAAGTCTTAATTACTCAATTTCTTTGTTCTGCTCTTCTGGTATGTTGACAGAGAAGTAGGCTGATTACTTCTGGAGATTGATAACTATGTTCATCATGTGTTGACTCTTTGAGAGAAAATGTAGTTCCAGGTTCTTTGGGGTGGGGTTAAGGGTGGGATGATCTAACAATAATGGTTTCCTATATGCTTACCATATAGAACAGATGGTTTCAAACTTTTGGGTATGGTGAGAGTTTGTAAGTTTGTAATGGTAGAATATATAGCTTTGCCTGAACTAAATTGAAAGCTATAACCAAGAAAATAAATATCTTGGTAGCTCTTCACTTTTTGGGATCTTAGAATAAAATTTGGTCTTAATGTTAACTCAAAGTTGTGGCTGAAGTTTAACAGGACAGCATTTAACATTTGCAGAAATGTGTCTGCTTTCTAACTAGGTTACAAATTTGCTCTTGAGGATAACTCAAGGTGAAGACTTGCAGGTCTGGGCTTCCCCAGGCCCTTTGGTGGCAAAGATAAGCCATGAGCTCTTGTTAATTGGTCCCTGGATTTTAATCTTCAGATATAGAAGCCAACAGTTCATTGCAGAGAATTCTCATTTGGCAACTGAGTTTTCCCAAGTCAACAAAGCATAAGGTCATTAGTTCTCAGAAGATAGCACATCTATTTAATGAAGTCTTATTTGTTGGAAGTGGCTAGAGATCAGGGCCCAAATGAGCTTTTTTTCTTTTTTCTTTTTCTTTTTTTGAGATGGAATCTTACTCTGTCGCTCAGGCTGGAGAGCAGTGGTGTGATCTTGGCTCACTGCAACCTCCGCCTCCGGGTGCAAGCAATTCTCTGCCTCAGCCTCTCGAACAGCTGGGATTACAGGCACCCGCCACCACGGCCGGCTAATTTTTTGTATTTTTAGTAGAGTTGGGGTTTCACCATCTTGGCCAGGCTGGTTTTGAACTCCTGACCTCGTGATCCACCTGCCTCAGCCTCCCAAAGTGCTGGGATTACAGGCGTGAGCCACCGTGCCCAGCCAAATGAACTCATTTTCTAATCACTATACTTGACTAACACACAATGGCATGGTGGTTTTCCCTAGGTCTAACAATCAGTGAGAAGAATACATTTTTTTTCCAACTAGCATTAAAAATAAGTTTTCCAAACTGAAGAGAAGACTTCTGCCATCATTATTTTATGTTGCAGTATCCATATTTGTGTTCTCATTAAAAAATTCTTGTTGTCCTCTCTTACATAAACAGAGATGAATACATTCAAAGCAGGAGTATGCAACAAGATACATGGTTCAGAACATAGGAACTGAAAAACACAGTTTTGATGGATCGTTGCTACATCTGGTTATAGACAACTGATTCACAATTAATTGGGCCATGGAGCAAAGTGAGATTATATCTAGAAAATTTTCAACCCTTATTTTAATTCGTCACTTAATTTTAAAAATTTCAGCTTGTGCGTGGATTTGCCATAAAACCAATGATGCAAAAGCTTCATTTGCCATAGCCCTTTCCAGGCCCTGTATCAAATTTTGCTTTTGTAATTTATGTTATTTTCCTTAAAAGGAGTCTTCAAAAATGTATGGGTTTTAGGTTTCACCCTTGCCTGAGTTAGTTAGCTACATCTCACTTCTTTATATAGGCTATTTTTAAAATGCATGCACAAGTGGTTAAAAGCAGATGATTTGTAAAATGAGTTATTTCTTCAAGTTCTATAAAGCGATAGCAAGAAAGAAAACCCTAGATTTCTGTATCATCTATCTTACAAAAAAAAACCCTCCAGTTATCTGTTTTTTCTTACCCTTTTTTGTTTCAAACCACAGTGTTTCACTGAGCAGCTGAGGTCTCATGTGTTTAGTGGCTGGAAAATGTGGTTCATGTTCTTGACTTGGTAGGGCTCATGGAGAAGTGTGTTAGTCTGTTCTTGCATTGCTATAAAGAAATACCCAAGACTGGGTAATTTATAAAGAAAAGAGGTTTTATTGGCTGATGGTTCTGCAGGCTTTATAGAAAGCATGGTGCTGGCATCTGCTTAGCTGCTAGGGAGGCCCCAGGAAGCTTACAATATGGCAGAAGGTGAAGGAGGAGTAGCAGGCTTGTCACATGGCCAGAGCAGGAGCAAGAGAGTGAGAGTTGGTGGAGGAGGTGCCCCACACTTTTAAATGACCAGATCTCATGAGAACTCACTCACTATCATGAAGACAGCACGAAGCCATGAGGGATCCACTCCCATGATCCAAACATCTCCCACCAGGCCCTACCTCCAGCACTGGGGATTACAACTCAACACGAGATTTGGGCTTCAGATATCTAAACTATATCAAGAAGCCAGTTCTACTTTACTTGGTGGTTCTCCAGACCATGCTGTATAAGAAGCTCTGTCAGGAAGATGGATTTGGCTTACCCAAATGCCACATTCTGCTTCGGCTGTAGCTTCCTCATGTGTAAAATACACATAAATTACTTTCCTACTTCAGAGATGTCAGGTGAAATGCAACAGAATAGGTGCTCTTAGGAAAACAAGATGATTTAGAAATTAAGGAACTTCTGTGTAAGCTCTGTGAGTGTTCGACTATGTCTGTCTAGCCCCCAACCTTAGTACAGGGCCCTGGATATAGTAGGTGCTCCATAAATATTTGTGACATGAATGATTGATTGCTGTAGTAGGCTTTGATTTCTTTCATTGCCCTCATGTATTAGTTAAGGTACTGCTAGCTGTTTCAATAGTAACCCCTGCAATCTCGATGACATAATACAAATGAAATCTGTTTCTTGCTTATAGACAGTCCACCTGTGGGAGGAAGGCAGATGGAAGAGGAAATCAATGAGGGTCCTAGGCTGACAGAGACTCTGCCATCTTCAGCAGATGGCTTCCAATATGACCATGAGTGGGCATCAGTGTCAGGTGTCTGAAGCAGAAAGCGAGAGCATGGAGAATTCCACAGATGATATACAGAAGATTGCATAGAGGCCTGGAGAGAGGGTGCACCCTTCCCCTCACATTCCACTGGGAAGAATTCAGTCACTTCGCTTCAACCTACCGCAAGGGAGGCTGGGAAATGAGGGCTCTGGCTGGTTAGCTGCTGCCCAGGGACATCTTTACAACATGGAAGGGCAGCATATGGGTGGCAGCTGGCCTTCTCTGCTGCTCTAGAATACAGAACCTAACGAGAGAAAGAGAGAAAGAGAGAGAGAGAGAGAAGGAAGAGAGAGAGAGAGAGAGAGAGAAGAGGAAAGGGATGGATGATCCAAGGCAGAAATTATGTGGCATGTGATGAGAGAGGAACAAGGACAAAAAGAGTGTCCAGGACATCAGTTAGAGAGATGAATGGAAGCACAATAAGGATGCAAGTAAAAATAGAAGCAATTAATGTGAGAAATGTCCTTTGATCCTTTTGTACAAAAACAAAGCAGCATGCTTCAAACCTCCCTCTGTGTATGTCTTGCCTAAATTTTTCTCCTCGGACTCAACCTTCCATTCATTTTCTATGCTTCACTCTGCCAGAGAGACTATGAAAGCCTTTCAAAAGTAGTTTTCAGTCCTGACTTTGAGTAAGAATGCTACGCAATACTAAATCTTCAACACTCTACTTATTCCAGTTTTCCCTTAATGATGTTACCCTGAGGAACTTTATGGCTAGGAAAAAAAATTACAAGTGTCACATACTTTTTTTTTTTGAGACAGAGTTTCATTCTGTTGCCCAGGCTGGAGTGCAATGGCGCGATCTTGGCTCACTGCAGCCTCTGCCTCCCAGGTTCAAGCAATTCTCCTGCCTCAGCCTCCCAAGTAGCTGGGATTACAGGCATGTGCCACCACGCCCGGCTGATTTTTGTATTTTTAGTAGAGATGGGGTTTGACCATGTTGGTCAGGCTGGTCTCGAACTCCTGACCTCAAGTGATCTGCCCACCTTGGCCTACTAAAGTGCTGGGATTACAGGCATGAGCCACCACACCTGGCCCAAGTATCACATAATTTTTTTTTAAAACAAAAACAAAAACAAAAAAACAGCTTGTCATCCATTAGCTATATATATATTCAAATGCTGATTAAATTGCTGATGTATTTTTTTTTGGTTAAGTGTTATTCTGTCAGTGACCCAAGAGTCTCAGAAATAAAGTGAATTTCTAAAGAGAGAGTCCTCACACCCAGAATGAAGGCGGAAGGCTACTTCTGGAAATAAAATTGTGCAGATGTAGTTGCAAGTGAGTCAGCCTCAGTGAGAAACAAATTGTTTGAACAATAGACTTAATTAACTTGTGTTTATGTCTTCCATCATGGCAGGTGTAAAGTCCCAGGGCACCTGCGGATACACCTGAGCTAGAGCCTAGAGTTGCTTCTAGAAGAGAGTGAAAAATGACTGAAGCGTTAAATAAGACCATGATGGTATGGTAGCTCTCCCCTGCTGCCTGCGGGTAAGGCTCCAAAGGGAAGAGAAATATAGGACTGAGTTCCTGGAGCTTTGTCTACTATATTTCTTTTAACTTGAAAAGAGCATTTAGCACTAACAGAAGTGCAGTTTGGGTTGGCTTATAACGAGGATCCTCTCTATTGGGGGATGTATGCTGCTTCTAAATAAGAAAGAGGAGTGTCAGGAAGGTGAGTCTAACTGGCAAGAACAGGGGTCCAAATCAAATCAATCCCTTTCTCACATCTAACCTGATGGAGAGAAATCCCTTGCTTGTACAATGATGCATATTTGGGGAAATGCTTGAGGTGCTTCATCTCAGGTTTAGTTCTCTATAAAAAGAATTAAATGTTTCTCTTTTTGGAAATATTTCTGTCGTAATTTGGGCCTGCCTTCATTAAATGCTCTTTTTCTTAGACTTTTTTTTTTTTAGTGTTTATTGTAATGTGTATTAAATATGGCAATAAAATGCCTGGAGATAAACAGTACAGAGCATAAACATAACTTCTTGTCTAGTTGTGTGTTCAAGGTTGGCTTCATCCACTAATGATTGGGTTATGAAACTCACTTGGGTTTTTTTACTATTTAAAAAACTCAATCTACTTATTATTCATCTTACTGATGAGGCCAACTGCATTCAGTGTCAATGATGCAATACTCACTTGGTAGAGAAATAGCTTCCTTCCTGAATTCTTATTTTTGGTCTGAAAGTTTGCTGCCAATTTATAACATAGTTTTAGAGAGAAAAATATAATTGATAGGTAGAACTCTTTGAAGATTCAGGTGAATCCAAGGTGAAGAGAATAATTGAACATATTGTAGCTGTATTACTTTTATTTAAGACTGATTAAAATGCTGATATAGAATGTGTGTGTATTTTTGTACATAATTTATTCATTTCTCAATATCTCATCAACAATTATGGAGCACTTTCTCTATGACCAGCATGCTGGGGGCTGGCAGTACAAGGAGAATAAGATGGCCACAAGGAGGTGGGAGTAGAAGGAGATCTGATCTGGTAAGATGATCAGTTCGATCATTTTTGGAATATATTCACTAAATGTGACCTTGGGAAGAGATTTCATGAAGTTCTCTTACATTGTTGCAGGTTACTGTTGGCTTTTATACATTGAGCCTTTTAGCTGTTACAGCATATATGACACGTATACAAACTCATTCAGTCGAATTCCTCAAACTGCTATTGAACTACCTTTGTGCTAGAAGCAGTGATACGATGTGAAAGAACACTTGGTCTTCTTCAGGAGTTGCTTGAGGCAGAGAGTCATGCAAACGATAAGTTATATGGAAATAGCTTAAGCACCAAGCATGAAGGAAGCATAGATGAAGTCAGGTGATCTGTGCTGCCTGGAGAGAGCTCTTGAGATGAGGGGCCATTTGAAGTGAGCTTTAAACGTTGAGTGTGAGCAAAGAAGAGAGAAATGGGCAAGCCAGGTAGAGGGAACAGCAAAAAGGAAAGAACCTGAGGCAAGAAAAGGCATGGACCATTTAGAAAACAGTGGGAGACTCTGTGTGGCCAGATCAATGAATTCGTGGCAGTTAATGGTTGGGCATGAGGGCAGAGAAGCCAACTGGGAACAGTGTGGGCATGCCACTTTGAGGAATATTCCAGAGGATTTTAAGCAGGGAAATGAAGTTCTTATGTGTGGGAGGAAAAGTATGGTGGTAAGTGGGCTGTACATTGTGGAGGGGAGAGACTGAGGATAGCAAGGTTTTCTAGCCCTTTATAAAAGAGGTGCTGGGAGCCTAGACTGCAGAATTGGAATGAAGAACCAAGTTGCTACAGATAAGGAACTGGACTGGGCTTGAGGCAAATAAACCTTTAAACCAGTTTAGTTGAAAGGATAAGGTTCTGGGGGTTTACAAAGGCATCAATAACAAGGAAACAAAGTACTAGAGGAGGCTCAGGTTAGTTAGGAACCAGTTAGTTTGAGATGGGGGGAGTTGATTTAATGAAAGTGTCTTGGCTAAAGTATTGGAGTGTAAGGACAAGCCACAGATATAACACATTGATAATTGAGAACTTTGCTCAAAATAAATTATCCCACTGATGTTGTTTTCACTATCGAATACAGAGGTGAATATCTGTCAAAATGGCCTGGCAACCCTGCTTTGGTGGGGCAGCTTATTTAATATTATGAAAATTAACTATTCATTACTTTCCAATTTCAATCCCATTACGCATTGCATAACCCAACTGGGCTAAGGGGTCCAAGGTCTACGTTCTCTACCAATTCTACTACCACAAACAGTTATCTTGAGAAAGCAAACTTTCAACTTTCCTTCAATAAAATGATTGCTATTGTATATCAATCAGTAGAGCTTGCATGTCTGTTCTCTCCCATTGCTCAAAATGAGCACATAGTCTACTACATCATTTGTCTAAAGGATGGGCTTAGTTAGAAGTTATAAGGACTGCTAAATTTTGGAGCATTTGCTAAGAGAAAATGCTCAGGACTATCTTGTTTTTCTCTTCATTATAATGACTATTGGATTCTCTCAATTCTACTCACTTTTTAGATTTGTCATTACGGGAAACTAAAGCCATACACTTGTCTTGGCATATTGTTAGTGCCCTTTTGACAATACTTGACAGTAATCCAACTCCAAATAGTTTAAATCTTTTTTTTTTAAAAAAAGGGAATTTATTCCTCAAAAAATTTGGAAGTCAAGAAGGATGTTGCAGGTTGGTTTCTTCCAGAAGCAGACACACAGATGGAGTTAGGAGTGCAAACGTTTTCTTGGGTAGTAACACTAGTGAAAGGAAAAGGGAGGAAGCAGAGTGGGCAGAAGAGGCCACCAGTCTGCAAAACAGATCCCACAGTCTCTGCTAGCACCACATGGGGCTCTGAAGGAGCTCTGCATTGGGTGGGAATGGCTAGGACCGTGATTCCTGAACTGCGCTGCCTGACTCTCCAGGGTGCCAGGGAAAACACTCAGGGGCACTGCAGGGTATTTTTAATTTTCCAGGGAAACACGGTAACGTATGTCAGGCACTGCACAAACTACTACTGTTTACTCGTTTGGACCTAACTATTTAAAAAAGGGAACTATAGGCATTTCTTTTGACTTCTGGGGTGCCATGAAAAAATTACTGAGCACTAAGAGTGCCATGAACTGAGAAAGCTTGAGGATCTCTGGACTAGGCCTTGTTTCTTGGGACCCTCAAAAAGAATCTGACCTTGGTTATCAGAGCCTTGCTCAGTCATGGGCTGGGGCAGCCTCAGAAGAGTGTGACCTCAATCTAAAGGCTGGTGGCCCATGAAGCTAATAGCTGGAGGCTGTCTCTACCAACTACAGCCAAGCACACTCCTCAAAGGTGGAAAGCAGGTCCTTTCTTGAAGGGGGATCTGATTCCATGGTGGATCTTGAAGGGTGATCTGTTACATGGTGGTCTGACTTCAGGTGTGCTGTATCTAGGGACTCACTCCTCTTGGTTTCATTCTCTCTGAGTACAGGATGGGCTTTCTGCACCCTTTGAAGAAGATGAGTTTTGGCAGTCTTTCCCCAACTGAAAGATAAGGCTCTTCTCTTTGACTTCAAATTGTGATTGGCCTGGCTTGGGTGGCATGCCCAGTTCTGGGCTAATTGCTGTGTAGGAAACGATTGTTGGGGCTGGTTGCCGTCACATGCTCCTTTCCAGGTATTTCCATGCCAGGATTTTTCCCATCGTTCGGGTCTGTGCTCCACTATCAGTTCTTCAGTATCCCACAGGTGGTTTACAGCTGCCATCTTGCTTTATTTTCTTCCTGTTACTCATTGTTAAAAAGCATACTATTGACTTTTCGCTCTGTGTTATTGTCCACCTCTTCCAGTAGAATCTAAGCTCCATGTAGGCAGAGAGGCTGCTGGTCTTGCTCACTGCTGAAGCCCCAGTGCCAAGACAATGCACTCAATAGATATCTGTGGAAAACTGAGTGAGAATCCATTCCTATGGCCAGGGGAGCATGGCACCATAGTACTCAGAAGGAGCCAATCAGAATCATTTCCTGCATGGTCAGGGTGTGTGGGGAGCAATTCTCCCAAGGAAGTGAAGATTTTAGGCAGAAGAAAACAATGAACAGCTGGTTGTTCTAGGTTGGAGGCAGTCTTGTTTTTCATCCAGCTGAGGCTGGACCTCACCATGGGATGTGGCCCAGACATTCAGATTAGAATCAGTTCCTTTGATATAAGTAGACACAGTCATCAGTGGAATTATTAGAGAACTGCAATTGGTAATTCCAAATGATTTTATGGAGGCTGAGGAGCTGTTATGCAGTTCTAATATCTGTGATCCCCCAGAGCCCTCCCACTCTTTGACAACTTATTTCCAATGCACAGATGGTTTCTATGGGTCTTAAGATGACTATTAAGTCACTAGGCCCAGGCTTACAAATAAGCTTTTATGTGTCAAGCCTTGCATTTTACTTGTGAACTGCTTCTTATTTGGATGATAAAAAGCAATTTCAGTAGCACTTAACAAAATTGGTTTGTGACCAGACAAGGACCCAGGGCTCCACTTGCAGAGTTGGGAAGTATGACTCTTCTCGCCTCAGCAATTCCAGAAAGTTCTCATGTTTTAAATTCAGTCGGGACCTTCAGTCACCCATTGCTTCTGAGCCTGAAGGTGGGCAGGTTACCTGCACCTTAAACAAGGCTTGTGGAACCTCTTCATGTAAGTCACTGAAAGAATTATTAGACAACCAAAAGGTGGAGTTCTGCTTGAAAAATGTGCCAGATGTCTGATCTGGCCTGCTTATTCACATATTTTCATCCACCCTACTTATAGAGCCACGTTTATTCATGCTCGCATTTGCATACTATTCTCAAGTTCCATTTGCATATTTAAAACTTATTATTATTTTAAATAGGCATGTTTACTTGATTGTCAACCTCATCAGAGCAGATCTCATCCTTTCTTACTTTCGTGAACTGGAACATAACAGAAAGAGCCCTGCACAGACATCACATCAACTCTGCCACCAACTCATTGCACGATGTTGGAAGTCTCATGCCCTCCTTTATCTCCATTTTCTTACCTGTAAAACGAAGGAGAGGGAAAGGCCCTTGGAGCTGCTGTGAGTCTAAAAACCCTGTACCTCATCCACAGTAGGTGCCATCATAGGGAGCCTCTTGCCAGCACTGCCTGGAGGAGGGATCCCCTTCCCCAGGCAGTTTTCTTCATCCAGCCTGTGAGTCTCTATTCCCAGCACTAGTCTCAGATAAAAGCTGCTCTGGAAGCTGATAGGGCAATGACAGTCTCCTTGCTAGGGGAGGGGGACTTTTGCCTCACTCTTCTTATTGTCCCCAAGGGAAGCAACCATGATAAATGCAAAACAGGCACAAGGGTCGTCTGCTCAGCTGGTGACACCAGACCGCGCTTTCTGTTGAGCCTAGCCAGTGACACTCACGCTGCCTGGGGGACTGGTTGGGGAGGGGATCTATTTTTCTCTGAGTTGATAGACAGTAAATCCCATTCCTGGTTTACAGTAGCTCAGGGCCAAGGGAACCCTGCCGTTTAGTAGGAAACAGACCTAGGGTACACTGACCAGCCTCCTGAGAGGAAATAGCCCACATGAAGGAAGGGCAGGGCAGTTTGTGACTTTAGTTTTCACTTGAATGGGAGGCTAATTAACATAAAATTAATTTTATTGTGGCTATCAAACAGCCTAGAGTTCATATGCTATAAAAAAATTATAGTAATTAGTGCATCCAGCCAGCACAACAATACAAATATTCAGTGGCATTTGTGATTTCCAACAGAGCATTTGCTACCTGGGCAATTCTCCTTCTGAGTATCTGTTTCTCAAGAATATGGTTTTTAATAGCTTTGACTTGACATTTATATCTTGAGCAAAACTGAAATGGGCAGCTAAAGACTAATTATGCTAAATATTCTAACAAGCATAATTACCGTTGTTCCAGCAGGGGGCACCGAAGGCAATGTCTCAGTGTGTCTTTTTCTTTTTTCTTTTCTTCTTTTTTTTTTCTTTTTTATCCCCCAAGCTGCTGCTTTTAGGCTTATTTAATGGAAGCTGATTGCCCTATCCTAATGATTCTTTTTTTGCATAATCTACACTGCAATAACCTACAAGCATTTTTATTTTAGCATAATTTCAAATTTTGGTTTTTGCTCTGTTAGATTCTTTCTGTTCAGAGAACAAAGAGATTACCAAAAAAAAAAAAAAAAAAAAAAAGAAGCAAAATCTTGGCCTAAGCTCAAGTCCTGGAGGTTTTTGAGCAGAAGCTCCTGACTTGTTCTAAGGACCGCATGTGACACTGTGCCTTGACTGGTGTTGGAGTTCATTGTGGAGGAGAGGAGGACGTGCACACATATCTCTGGCAAATTTGGTTTCTATCCAGTCAACAGTAAAATTGAGAAATGAGCTTTTCACTAGCAAATGGTAATTATAATGAAAAACTCCCAACCTTACACAGTACACAGGAGAAAAACAGACCGCACTGTTATTTCCTGATTTCCTGCAAATCACAGTTGGCAGCATTTGACGGCACAAGTCAAGGACCTTATAGGCAAGATTACCTAGAAAATCCTTTGCTTCAGAAGCCAAAAACCTTTAAGTCTTCAGTATTTAAATGCAGCTGTATTGCTGATTAGATGTCAGAACTAGAGCACACTGAAGTGCCCTATTTAGTGATTAACTCAATGGACCAATTTTGCTTTCAGATATTATACTTCCATGGAGGAAAAATTTGCATACAGATTTAGAAACAGGACTATCTTCTTTCTGGGTTATGCAGGGACTGGGGGATGCAAAATGTGTGAGTGCCACCATAATCCTCATTCCACAATTGTCTTGTCTCTAACTGAATCTCTTAGTGAATCATCTTTATCACCAAGAATATGACATAGCCACAGGGATGTTGCTAGGAACAAATCATTTCTTGTTTTTCAGTGCTTTATCGATTAATGTATCTTCACTCTCTCTGCTATGTAGGAGCCAGCACTCAGAGAGAGAGCTTACAACTCTGTACCACATATTAAAATCTTTGGCTATATGTAAGGTTCCCTAGTGTAAATTTTATTTATTTATTTGAGACAGGGTCTCACACCATTGCCCAGGCTGGAGTTCAGCGGTCTGATCTCGGCTCACTACAGCCTTGACCTCCAGGGCTCAGGTCATTCTCCCACTTCAGCTTCCTGAGTGGTGGGGACTACAGGCATGCACCACTATGCCCGGCTAATTTTTTGTATTTTTTTGTAAAGATGGGGTTTCCCCATGTGGCCCAGGCAGGTCTCCAGAGCTCAGATGATCCACCTGCCTTGGCCTCCCGAAGTGCTAGGACTACAGGAGTGAGCCACCGAATGCTGCCTTAGTGCAAATTCATATGTGACTTTTTTTTCTGCTTGTGCTTATAATGAATCTGTCTAGTGCCTCATGTGTTTTGGATATAATCTGAGGACTCCCCAACATATAGAGAAATTCCTGCAATTCTCAGCTTAAATTCTTCCTCCTTCCCTGATCTCCAGGCATGGGTAGCTAGGGTCTCCGCTGCCATCCCACAGCACTGTGGGTGGCTGAGGGCCAGGGAATAGGTGTGAAGTGGTTTCACTATAAAGCACAGCCTGCCTCAGCCTACAGGGGCAGCTGATAGTGCTACACAGAACATGTCTCTGTGACTTTGGAGACTTATCCTCAATTTGGAAATTGCACTTCTGACTAAGAAGACTGAGCAGAATATAGGAAGAACCCCCACGCCAAAAACAAAACAAAACAAAACAAAAACAAAAACAAAAAAACCCCAAAACCAAAAAAAAAAAAACAAAACAAAAAACAAAAAACTCGAAGTGCTAAGCTCTAAACCCCTGGACATATAAAAATCCACAATAAGTGATAAGCACAGGGCATTTATGACGGGCATTAGAGGAAAGCGAATACAGTTGATGAAGACTGTAGATAAAATCTGAACTGTGAGCACCTGCAGACACAGAGAATATGCTGCAGTGACTAAAGAGGGGTCTGATACAAGGAAATGATCTCCAAGTGCCCACTGGTGAGGGACCAGAGCAGCAGCCTTGCTCCTAACGTGCAGGGTCCAGGGCAAGAGAACAACGGGCGGCCCACGTACCATATGACTACATGTTACAAAATCAGTATCAGGTCTACAACTTGGTAGATAAAATATGCTCTAACTCCCCACCTTGACACATGTAATTTTATTTTATCTTATTTTATTTTATTTTATTTGAGATGGAGTCTCGCTCTGTTGCCCAGGCTGGAGTGCAGTGGTGTGATCTCAGCTCACTGCAACCTCTGCCTCCTGGGTTCAAGTGATTCTCCTGCCTCAGCCTCCTGAGTAGCTGGGACTACAGGTGCATGCCACCACGCCTAGCTAATTTTTGTATCTTTAATAGAGACAGGGTTTCGCCATGTTGGCCAGGCTGGTCTTGAACTCCTGACCTCAGGTGATCTGCCAGCCTCAGCCTCCCAAAGTGCTGGGATTACAGGCATGAGCCACCACGCCTGGCCAGACACATGTAATTTTAGAAAGTCCTGGAAGGTCAGGTTCAAATCACGACCTCTCATATTCCTCAGGCCTAAAACCTACTCTTTTTCTTATCCCTCCAGGCTTCCTCCTGTACAGAGAATGCTGACCAGTAAACAAAGTGTAGATCTGTTGCTCAATGGGTTCCCCAATATTTTCTTACTTGAATTACTCTTTCTCATCCCCATCAAGCAGGCTGGAGGCCCACAAAATATCCAAGTAGGAGGCAGCAAAATGAGGGCTGCTTCCAAAGGCTGAAAAGTGCAGTGCTGAGCATGACTGGGTCTTTTTCCCAAGTTCATTCGTGAGATCCACTACTCCTTTGCAGCAGTAAGTGCAGGGGGCAGGACCTGACCTGGGGGGTGGAAATTTTTTCCCCTCTCTGGAAATTCCAGCAGTGATCTTTAAGTCATATCTTACTAAAATACTTGGAAGAAACTTTGAAAGCAATAGTTACCTGGTCAGGCACAGTGGCTCACTCCTGTAATCCCAACACTTTGGGAGGCTGAGGCGGGTGGATCACCTGAAGTCAGGAGTTTGAGACCAGCCTGGGCAACGTGGTGAAACCCCGTCTCTACTAAAAATACAGAAGTTAGCCAGGTGTGGTGGTGCGCACCTGTAATCCCAGCTGCTCATTAGGCTAACAGCAGGAGAATTGCTTGAACCTGGGAGGCGAAGGTTGCAGTGAGCTGAGATGTTGCCACTGCCCTCCAGCCTGGGCAACAGAGCGAGACTCCATCCCAAAAATAAAATAAAATGAAAGCAATAGTTACCTAATGTCTTTAAGAACCATATGTAGCTCAGTCTGCATATTTTTGTCCTGCAACTGCAAGCAAAATATTTAAAAAATAACAATCTCTTTCTAATGGTTTGTGCTCCATAATAATATGATTTCAGGTCCTTTTTCCAGCCATGACACTCTCCTTCTGCCTGCTTCCATCGAAGGCTTTATACTATTTTTACAGCAACTTGCAGTCTACCACTTGCTTCAGCTCTTCCATGGCATGTCATCAACTGATAGACTAATGAGAAATTACTGTAATTACAACTATAGACTCATTACATAGGTCTCTCTTTTTTTTTTTTTTTGAGACAGGGTCTCACTCTGTTGCCCCATGTGGGGTGCAGTGGTGAGATCATGGCTCACTGCAGCCTCGACCTCCTGGGCTCAGGTGATCCTCCCACCTTAGTCTCCTGAGTAGCCAAGACTACAGGCACCTGCGACCACACTTGGCTATTTTTTTGTATTTTTTGCAGAGACAGGGTTTCATCATGTGGCCCAGGTTGGTCTCAAACTCCTGGGCTCAAGCAGTCCACCCACCTCAGCCTCCCAAAGAGCTAGGTAGGATTACAGGTGTGAGCCACCACACCTGGCCTACATAGATTTTAATCATTAAACTACATATAGCAAAGGGTACCGAAATAAGACATAAAATAGAAAACTTGCTTTTCTTCATTTTGAGTTGATTACTTATTGCTTTTCATGAAACTCTAGAGGCCAGCAGTTTCCTCCTACTTCTCTTGAGATCAAATTATCTCTCTGATTAGGAAACTCAGTGTGATAGATAAAATATCTTTTCATGACATTTATTTTTTTAGAAAGTACCTTGTAAATTAAAGGCCCCTCTTCCTAGGTGCTCACCCTTTGTGCTTTGCTAGCTTGATTGACATTTACGCTTTTACAGCTATTCAGTATTTCTCGTTATTTTGCCCAGGACCTACAGTGTCCTGAGAAGAAACCAGTAATTTAGAAGGTAAGCATTCAAGATAAAGTATTATTGCCAAATTGTAAAAAGTTGGGATGCATTTCTACTTTTTTTTTTAACATCAAAAAAGGGCCTGAAAGAAGTAAATTTCCCTTCCAAAATTGACACATAAATCTGTTTTTGCTTTTGCTCAAAATGATGAAATAATCTAGAGAAGGCAAAAATAAATAAGTTCTCACAGTGGCAATACTCGAGGTCATTGTAGAGATCTGAAGTCATTGTTGCTTTAACCTTGGCTTGGGGCATTAGTGTGACTCTTAGCTAAGCCATAAGATTCCCAGCTCTTTTATTCCTCAGATATTTAGCAATTTTACACCTCATGCAAATATGTACCCTGGAGGAAAGTTGCTCTCCAGTAAATGTTCCTTTACAGTATTGGATTTGGCTTTGGCTCCTGTGGAGCAGTTTTTACCAGCTTTACAAACAGATCACAACTCTTTAAGCTCATGCTGCAGGCTTTTTTTCGTATTTGTGATGCCTGCCTGCTTTGCCTAACCAAAACACGCCACTCAGCCCCTCAGTCGCATCCACCCACCCGCCACGTTCTTGCCTTCACAGGGTCACCAGCAGCTGAAGAGTTTGGGTTCAGCTATTGGCATTGTGCAGTGAAAACTGACTTGAACTGAAGACTCAGCCTTGTTGGTTAGGCTTTAAGAGATATATGAAAGTCAGGAATTCTGCTTTATTTGCTTTACATTATGAGGGATTTCTACTTAGAAGACCAAGATGAAAATAGGTCAGTTTGTGGAAGTAAGATTTTCTCATACGCTGGCTTCAGAAGAAACTAGGTTTTCATGAATGCTGAAGCTCGTCTTTTGCAGTGGGCGGTGTTGTTCTTTTCCGCTCCTCATTTCTTCTTTGTTCTTTTTGTTTATGCCTCTACCCCTCTTGTTTCCTGGATGGAACTTCCTCTCTCCAGGAGGAAAAATGAAGAGGCACTTATTACCTGAATTCTTACTAGCTGTGTGACTTTGGGCAAGATACTCAACCTGTCCAAGTGTCAGATTTCTTATGTGTAGAATAAATGTAATGATGTAGTTTATGAGGAGATGATGAGCATTAAGTATAATGCTTGTAAAGCACTTGGCATAGGGCCCAGCACTTGGTAAACAGCTAATAAATAGTAGCTTTTAGCATAATGAAAATGGTAGTATAAGCCAGTGAGATATTAGTTTACTCACTTGCTATTTAGCTGGTAGTTACCTGGTACAGGTGTCATGGAAATTCTTAGGAAATTGGCCATTCTGCCTGAGGGGGTTGGTCTCATTGGCTGAGGGAGGTAGTCATAGCTCAGGCCTGTGAGTCTTGTCTCCTAAAGGTAGTTTGTAGTTTTCTATTGGAGAATTGCCTTCAGCAGCTTC
The DNA here is from genome assembly GCF_000001405.40 of Homo sapiens. Lineage (NCBI taxonomy): Eukaryota > Metazoa > Chordata > Mammalia > Primates > Hominidae > Homo > Homo sapiens. The sequence continues at coordinate 191,544,971 of NC_000002.12, forward strand.
CTTAGCTGAAGCCCAGTCCTTTGGGCCTGCTGAGGAAGAAGACCTCAGCTGACTACCCCTCATGGTGCTATCTTCCCTCACTTTTCAATTTTACCTCTGAAGTAATGGTTCTTACTCTTTCTACAGCAAGGGAACATTCTCCATTGTTGCTTCATCTTCACTGAAGATTCAGCCAAGTGCTTTCTCTATCTTGTACAGTTTGCTAGATGACCATCCTTTCATTTTCTTTCCCCTATGCCAGTTCCCAAAATGTGGTCCCGAACAGCAGCATCTTTATCATTTGGAAATTTGTTAAATATGCACATGCTTGGGTCACATCCCACATGTAGTGAATCAGAAACTCTTAGGTGGGGCCCAGCTGAGTTTTAAAATCCCTCCTTGTGATTCCAATGCTCACTAATGTGTAAGAACTATTGCTCTATGTTTTTAGATTCAGACTTTTTTCCTGACATACTTCTCTAAGATTTGTCCTGTGAAGCTCATTGCAGTGACATATATAAAGTCAAGGACTATTATCTGTCAAAAGCATGCATTGTCCAGTCAGTCTTGTCTAGTGACTCACTAGGCTGAGGAGGATCCCATCTGGCAGGGGTTCCCATTGGGCCACTGTCCACCCAGGCTTGGACTCTACTTACTTCTGTCATCACTGGCTTTTTGTCTTTCCTTAGCATCTTAGCCACCCACGTTCTTTGGGTCACTCAAATCCTCTCTCTCAGGAACTCAGTTATTTCAGAATGAACCCAGTGATGCTTCAAATATGCCACAATGACCTTTCGGCCTTTCCTGATCAAATCTGTCCAGATCCTCTTTACACTGGAATTACTCCAATTTTCAAGGTGTGTCCCAATCACTCCAATTATGGATGTCACTTGCAGCTTCAAGAGGGTCTCATTAGTGTTTTCCAGGGTCCTGAGTCCTTTGCCCCATGGGGGTTACTCTGGTCAGCTCCAGACACGTGGCTTCCTTTTCAGCTCTCTTCGGGCCCCAAGAAACCCTCTTTCCTAGTCTCATCTCTAAGATGGTGGGACCTGTGAAAATATTCCTCTGACCTCCTTATCTGTCTAGCCCAGCCTCCAAGATCTCATTTTTCTTTTTTTTGTTTTTGTTTTGAGATGGAGTCTCGCCCTGTCACCCAGACTGAAGTGCAGTGGTGCTATCTCAACTCACTGCAAGCTCCGCCTCCCGGGTTCACACCATTCTCCTGCCTCAGCCTCCCCAGTAACTAGGACTACAGGTGCCCACCACCACACCCTGCTAATTTTTTTGGATTTTTAGTAGAGACGGGGTTTCACCGTGTTAGCCAGGTTGGTCTCGATCTCCTGACCTCATAATCCACCTGCCTCGGCCTCCCAAAGTGCTGGGATTACAGGTGTGAGCCACTGCACCGGCCCTCATTTTTCTTTGAGTATGTGTCCAAGATCTCAACCTCTCCCAAAGAAAACAATGCTCTTCCCCCCAGTTTTCTTCTATTCTTGCCCTGATAGGAAGACTCACATGTGTTTTTTTTTTTTCCCAACATTTAATTTTAGAAAATTTCAAACCCACAGAAAAGTGGATAGACTAGCACAATGAAAGATTTTACACCTTCTTCTGCATTCACCAGTTGCCAGCATTTTGCCACATGGGCTTTATCTTTTTCACTACACACACACACACACACACACACACAAACACACTTTTTTACTCTGAACTATTTGAAAGTAGACACCATGACACTACTGCTAAACATTTCAGCTTGTATTTCCTAAGAATAAGGACATTCTCTTATATAACCACAATATCACTATTATATGTAAAATATAGTTATATATCATAGATGTTATTTACTATATATAGTCCCTAGTCAAATCACTCCGAATACCCCAATACTTGTATGTTATCATGTCTTTTTAGTCACTTTTAATCCGGAATAGCTCCCCCCACCACCTTTTGAAAAATGTTTTAAATTTTGTCTTTTATACGGTGGCATTTTTGAAGAGTGCAGGCCAGTTGGTTATAGACTCTCCCAATTGGAATTTGCCTGATTATTTCCTCATGATTAGATCCAGGTTAAACACTTTTTGCCAGAATACTCCAAAAATGATATTGTGTTCTTTTCATACCCACATTTTGTTGCAATCTGGTGAAATTCAGGTTACAGAAGCAAAGGAGGATATGTTAGAATCCCAGAATCATAGAGCAGGAAAGAGCCTCATAGTCTGACCAAACCATACCATGTTACAAATGAGCACACTGAAGCATGAAGAAATCAAAGAGTGGTCCCACAGTATAGCCAGTGGCAGTCAGCTGTTGCTGGTGCACCATCTACTAAACTCTCCTAAAATGTCAGCATTCACTTTCTTCAGCTTTTCAGGACCCTAGAGAGAGTATGAGATAAACATGGGATCCATGGGGTAGTTGACATATTTATACAGACGCCAGAGTGTGTTATTACGAAGCTTTTCCTTTCCCCTGCTTTGAAGTCTGGCAAATTCCCCTAGCGACCTCTCCGAGAGATACTCAAGAAGCAGCTAATGCCTGTTTTCAAAAGAAAAGACAAGTTTTATGTAGAGATTGGCCTTCCAGCCAGCTCCAGAAACACTTCTAGGTTAAGAGAAGCAGCAGCCCAGCACTTCTGAGCTATTTGTGTGATCTAAAAGGCAGGTGTCTTTCCATTGACCTGTTTTCAGTGCTATAATCCCATTACCTTGACATTATCCTCTGGAGTTTTGCTTTGTTTGGGAATTTTAAATTCCTTTATTTGTAACAGATCAAAAGCTATCTGGCACACACCCTGCATTTGGATGCAGGCTCTTTGATGGATCTTGCAGCCTTCCCTAATGCACACGTTCGCATATTTCCCAGATAACCACTCATGGTCTGCCCACTGCCCCCAATTTAAAATAGAAAACCTATTCATAGACCTTTCAAATTCTGTCTCTCAGAGATTAATTGGGACCAGGTGCGGTGACTCATGCCTGTAATCCCAGCACTTTGGGAGGGCGAGGCAGGTGGATCACCTGAGGTCAGGAGTTCGAGACCAGCCTGACCAACATGGTGAAACCCCATCTCTACTAAAAAAATACAAAAATTAGCCAGGTGTGGTGGTGTGCACCTGTAGTCCCAGATACTCGGGAGGCTGAGACAGAAGAATTGCTTGAACCCGGGAGGCAGAGGTTGCAGTGAGCCGAGATTGTGCCACTGCACTCCAGCCTGGGTGACAGAGTGAGACTCCGTCTCAAAAAAAAAAAAAAAAAAAAAGAGAGAGAGAGAGAGAGATTAATTGGTAACTTTGTCAATGAATAGAAAGACGTGACTTTGAAATGTATTTTTGTGAGACCACATTGCTTTATGCTGTGGAGTGGGGTATCTCTAACAGTCACTTCCACTCAGATTCCTGCAAAACCGTCCTAGCGCACTGGCATGCTACATCGTCTAGGTGGGGGGCTGCATCCATAATCTCATCTTTACAACTGTTTTTACAGATCAGACAGTGGAACAGCTGAGACCGAGAACTGTGATGGGTGATTTGAAGAGCTTGGAGCAAGGGTTGGTAAACTATGGTCCTCGGACCAAATCTGCCACCTCCTGATTTACTTTTTATTTTTATTTATTGAGATGGGGTCTTCCTCTGTTGTCCAGACTGGAGCACAGTGGCACAATCACAGCTCACTGCAGCCTCTACTTCCCAGGCTCAAGCAATCCTTCAGCCTCAGCCTCCTGTCTCAGCCTCCCGTCTCAGCCTCCTGATTAGCTGGGACCACAGGCATGTGCCATCCCATCTGGCTAATTTTTTGTTTTTATTTTTTGGTAGAAACATGGTCTCACACCAGACACAGGGCTCATGCCTGTAATTCCAGCACTTTGGGAGGCCGAGGCAGGCAGGTCACCTGAGGTCAGGAGTTCAAGACCAGCCTGACCAACATGGAGAAACCCTGTCTCTACTAAAAATACAAAATTAGCTGGGTGTGGTGGCACATGCCTGTAATGCCAGCTACTCGGGAGGCTGAGGCGGGAGAATTGCTTGAATCCAGGAGGCAGAGTTTGTGGTGAGCCGAGATCGCGCCACTGCACTCCAGCCTGGGCAACAAGATTGAAACTCCATCTCAAAAAAAAAAAAAAAGAAAGAAAGAAACAGGGTCTCACTATACTGCCCAGGCTGGTCTTGAACTCCTGGGCCCAAGCTATCCTTCCCTACTTCGCCCTCCCAAAGTGCTGGGACTACAGGCGTGAACCACCACACCTGGCCACACCTCTTGTTTTTTTTTTTTTTTGAGACAGAGTCTCACTCTGTCACCCAGGCTGGAGTGCAGTGGCATGATCTCGGCTCACTGCAACCTCTGCCTCCTGGGTTCAAGCGATTCTCCTGCCTCAGCCTCCCATGTAGCTGGGATTATAGGCGCCCGCCACTACGCCTGGCTAATTTTTTGTGTTTTTTAGTAGAGACGGGGTTTCACCATGTTAGCCAGGATGGTCTTGACACACCTCTTGTTTTTGTACAGTCTACTACTAGAATGGTTTCTGCATTTTTAAATAGTTGAAAAAGATGAAAAAAGAATATTTCATAATGTGAAAATTATATGAAATTCAGATTTTATTGTACATAAATATTACTGGAACACACCCATGCTTATTCATTTACATATTGTCTGTGATTACTTTTGCATGACAGAGGCAGAGTTGAGTAGTTGCTACAGATATTACATGGCCCACAGAGCTGAAAATAGAGACCTTTCCTTCAGTCATTCATCAAATACCCATTTGGCACTTTTTGTGCACCAGGCACTCTGCAGAGCATAGGAGGTCAAAAGATACAGAAGAAAGCCTCCTCTCTTGGGGAGACATATCTATCAGGTGAAACACGGTGAATGTAAAAAGTGCATCAGAGCCGGGCGCGGTGGTTCACATCTGTAATCCCAGCACTTTGGGAGGCTAGGGCAGGTGGATCACCTGAGGTCAGGAGTTCGAGACCAGCCTGATCAACATGGAAAAACCCCGTTTCTACTAAAAGTACAAAATTAGACAGGCTTGGTGGCACACGCCTGCAATCCCAGCTACTGAGGAGGCTGAGGCAGGAGAATTGCTTGAACCTGGGAGGCAGAGGTTGTGGTGAGCCAAGATTGCGCCATTGTACTCCAGCCTGGGTGACAAGAGTGAAACTCTGTCTCAAAAAAAAAAAAAAAAAAAAAACAAGTGCCTCAGAAGTGCTATAGTAGAGCTGCATGAAAAGTGCCACTGGAACACAGTAGGCAACCTTTCCTGTGGGGTGGGGAAACCAGACAATCTTGACAGACAAGCCGCTGACATTTCAGCTGCAGGAGGAGTGTGTGCTCAATACCCCTACCACCTCACACAACCACTATTCTACCCTTTGTGGTGTTACCAGTCTCTTTTCTTATGCACGTTTTATACAGCTGTGCTCATCTGTCACCTGTTGTTATGAGTGGGAGGTAGTGAAGGGTTGGCATTAGTGTCAGTGTTGGGATTAAACTGCCTGGAAAGTCACTTTACCTCTGTAAGCCTCAGCTTCCTCATCTGTAAAATAACGATACAATGAAAACCTGCCTCAGAGGGTTGCTGAGAGCCTTCAATGAAACGAAGCACTTAGTGCACTTGACACGGATCCTGATGGGTAGTAAGTGCTCAGTCAAGGTCAGCTAGCATAGCCCTCCTTCTCAGTAGCAACCCACTGCCTGGCTCTTCTCCTCCATGCAGGAATTCTCTAGGTATTTGGAAGTGGGTAGAAGGGAGAGAACCAGGAACGTTAACTCCTGGCAAAGGTACTTGAAGAAATGAGAACAGCATGTGCAAGGACACCTTGGCCTTGGATCACATGGTGGTCAACATATTCAGTAGATTTTTTAAATTTATTTTTAATTTTTTTAGTTTTTGAGATGGAGTCTCACTCTGTCGCCCAGGCTGGAGTGCAGTGGTACGATCTCGGCTCACTGCAACCTCCGCTTCCCGGGTTCAAGCAATTCTCCTGCCTCAGCCTCCTAAGTAGCTGGGACTACAGGCGCATGCTACCATGCCTGGCTAATTTTTGTATTTTTAGTAGAGATGGGATTTCACCATGTTGGCCAGGTGGGTCTCGAACTCCTGACCTCAAGTGATCCACCTGCCTCGACCTCCCAAGGTGCTGGGAGTACAGGCGCAAGGCACCGCGCCCAGCCTCAGTAGATTTGACAGATTTGGTTACCTATGTTTTACTTTATTACCATGAGATTCCAGTCAGGTGAAATACATGAAAATAATTATAGTCATGCAAAAATTATGAAGAAAAAGAAAGAGAAAACCACACCATAGAAGCGGGAGTAAGAACAGTTGACGAAGATGTTGCATTCCCATTGCATTCCTGGCAACAGCTCAGAGTTTGAGGTGTAACAGATGCTCAGTAAATGTTTTCTGAATAACATTGAACAGTGTTTCAGGTAATGGAAAGAGTTTGGTACAGCAAGAACATGGGAGGGTGTGAGAAATGGTGGTAAAATATTAGGCTTGAGCCCCGCTATTGTGCCTTGTTGGGAAAGTCCTCCAATATTTATCCATCGGAACTGAGGAGGTTAAAAAAGCCAGGTCTCCAGGGGAACTTAGGAGTCAACAGGACCCAGAGCAGGTGGGGAGTTAAACCGGATAAGGTTGGAGACAAAAACAAAATTTCAATCTATTGGGAACATTTAGGAAGAGTTCTTTCACCAGAGAGGGCAGGATTTAGTTTGTGGTGCTTTAGTGACAATAGGTAAGAAGGAAGGGAACACCCCGCCCAACTTCTTTGATTATAACACTGAGACATACTAGTCAACTATGAACTTACATTTGATCAGCAAAATCCAAGAATCAGAAAAAGCTTTCATCAGAGTACCCTCTCCTGCATCACTGCTGGTTCTCTAACCCAGTCCCCAGTTTATAGTAAATTCTTGAGAGAGAAAGACGAGCTATAAAACTGCAAAGGAAAACCAAGGCCAGGCTACTTTAGATGTGAGCTGTTTGCTAGTATATTGTGTCCCCAGCCAGCATAGGTTATACTACCAAAATAAAATGAAAAGGAAACAAATATTGTGGCTGCCATCTGTGTAATACGGAATTAAATGTCTTTCTGGCTCTACAGAAGGCACCACAAGCTAGATGTCTTCATGCTCGAATATCCCAGAGGCATTTTTTTTTTATTATTATTGGTTGGAACAGCAAGAAATAAAGACTAAGATACATTTAATATTTAACTCTAAATCTTTAGTCTCCCTCATTAGTCTGACTTGCCTGCAGCCATATTGCTGTAAATTAAACAACCTAAGCTGGTATGTTGCCAAAGCGTACATCCGGTGAAATGTTAACAGTTCTTGTTCTTATGCCTGATCAAGTTAAAAACAAGAAAGTAATCTGTTTGCTATCCAGGGAGGTCATTAGAAAGGATGGTTGAAAAAAAACAAAAGCAAAAACAAAAAACTGTCAACGTATTTTGGAAGTTGGAAACTGAAAACCGGCTCTACAGCTCTAAGCTGGTCTTTGTAGAAAGCGGCTAATGGAGCTAAATATGGAAACTACTTCTTTTGATGGGGACCTCGTTACAGAAGAGTTTCAGGAAAGCTGGTTTATAGTTCCCCTATCACAATGTTGCCAAATTATCAATGCCCGGAGGAATGAGAAAATGCCTTCTGACCAGTGGAAGCCGATAAAGTAATACTTTCATTTGGAATGCCACAGAAAAGATAGCAGAAGCTAGAGTTCTCAGCTGGATAACTCACTGTGCCAGGCGCGGTGGCTCACGCCTGTAATCCCAGCACTTTGGGAGGCTGAGGCAGGCGGATCACCTGAGGTCAGGAGTTCAAGACCAGCCTGGCTAACATAGTGAAATTTCATGTCTACTTAAAAAAAAAAAAAATTAGCCAGGAGTGGTGGCACATGCCTGTAGTCCTAGCTACCTGGGAGGCTGAGGCAGGAGAATCGCTTGAATCCGGGAGGCGGAGGTTGCAGTGAGCTGAGGTCGTGCCACTGCACTCCAGCCTGAGCAACAGAGTGAGACTCTTGTCTAAAACAAAACAAAAAACAAAAAAGATAGAGAATGCACTGAGCCAGAACACAGGAACTATCCTTCATGTGAGCAACTGGCCAGAATCTTTTTTTTTTTTTTAATGTGGAAATGTGGCTTGGTCCTCTCTTCAGATTTAACTCATTTGATCAATCTTATTGATCAAGAATGGACAGTTAGCTGTCATTCTCTTCCTTCCATACTAATGACAAAAAATAAGTCCTGATTCGACAAATTATTTGATCAGCACAAACTGTTTATTAACAAAGAACAGAGGACCACACGTTGTCTTTCTCCTGCTTTCCTGTGTCTGTAATAGAGTGGCGCGAAGACAAACACATTCCTGGATCTGTCAGCTTCACCTGACTTGACTCTGGAATTCTCAGTAAGCCTATCTGCTTAAACCACAGTCTCTCAGCCTCAGTTGCTTGTTTGAATCACGGGGAGCTCTGGAAGCTCCTTGTACTCCAGCCATACTCCACACCAGTTACAGCATTATCTTTGTTGGGGGCAGGTGTGACCCAGGTATCAGTATTTTTTAATGATGCCTAAATGATTCCAGTAAGCAGCCAAGTTTAAGAATTGCTGCATTCTCAATCTTGGTGACATATTAGATTCACTTGGGGACCCAGACCAAGCTAGTCAGAATCAGAATTTTTTTAGTCCCCCAGGTGACTCTCATATGCAACCGGGGCTGATAGTTTCTGCCTTTATATAGTGATTCTCAAAGTATGATCACAGAGCTTGCATTAGGGGTACTCACTTTCCTTATTAAATATTTGGTTTCCAGCTCCACCCCAGACCTATTGAATCAGAAATAGGACTTCACTTCGTTTTGCGAGCTCTGCAGGTGATCCACATCCTCTTTAAAGCTTGAAATCCACCACCTGAAACTTCCTCTATCTCTGCTTGAAGATTCCTCAACTTCCACAAAGAAAGATTTATTCTTTTTACCTGAGGAAGACGGAGTTTATATTTCTGTGAAAGTGCAAATACAATGGCATAACATGCAAAATACATTAGGTTTGAATATGATGAACCTGATCAAGAAGAAAAAGGAATCAACCAAACAAAACCAACCAAAACAAACAAAAACAAGACATTGGGTAAAAAGAACAAGGTGCAGAACAGCTGGTATAGCATGTGCCTTTTTTAAACCATAAAAAGGAATAGTTGTATGAATATTCTGGGTAGCTGCTAGGAAGACCTTTTATAATATGTGTCATACACACATAATTCTTCTATTCAAAAATAGAGTAATTAAAAATGCAAACATTACAGAGAGAAGTCATATTAAGCCTCATTAATGTTAAAAGATAAACTGAGGCACATTAGAATATTAAGGAGTTTATTTGAGCAAACGATTCATAAATCAGGTAGCATCAGACTTCAGGTGGCTCGAGGCTCCACCAAGAGGGCAAGAGAAGGCTTTAAAAGGGTTAATTGGTGGCTCCTGAGTTTTAAAGCTGAAGTTGCATTTTCCTAGAATATGACCATTGATACTTGGGTTTCGGTTTGCTTCTGTAGGAATCCAGGGCCCTGGAGCTGGCTCAGCCTAATGGCCTCTCCATTAATTATCTTAGTTACTTATACCTAGAGTGAATCATTTTATCAAAAAAAATTTTCTGAACAGCTTTTGATTTGAGGAAGAACAAGTAGAATAAATGTCCTGAGGACTAGGGAAGCCAAAGAACGTGTGGAGGAGAGGCACAGGAAAGAATCTCAGAGCCTTGAAGTCGGCATTTGCCAACTTTACATTTTTGTTCAAGGTCAGTCTTGACCTTGATTTACATTCCCAAAGATGGAAACAAACCAGTGTGTGTTCTTCACCTGTCACCGACACTCGTTTAGAAAATAATTGGGGTCGTCCCGGCGCAGTGGCTCGTGCCTGTAATCCCAGCACTTTGAGAGGCTGAGGCAAGAGGATCGCTTGAGCCTGGGAGTTCGAGACCAGCCTGGACAACATACTGAGATCCCTGTCTCTACTAAAAATACAAAAATTAGCCAGGCGTGGTGGCGCGTGCCTGTAATCCCAACTACTGGGGTGGCTGAGGCACGAGAATCGCTTGAATCTGGGAGGCAGAGGTTGCCGTGAGCTGAGATTGTGCCCCTGTACTCCAGCCTGGGTGACAAAGCGAGACCCTGTCTCAAAAAAAAAAAAAAAAAAGAAAAGAAAAGAAAACAAGTGGGGGCGTCCTCACTTTCCCAGGCTCCCTCTAATTGTGTGTGGGGGTTGGGTGTTTAGCACTCACAAGCTTCCGCGAAATGCTGCCTCAAATTATCTTGTAGCCACCAGGTGGCAGCAGCAATCCACTTTTTGGTCTAACCTGGGAGAGGCTGAACTAGGATGGTTCTCCTTTAATTAGCGTACTGGCCATAGAATCGTGGACGTTTAGACATGAAAGAACCTTTCTCAAAAGTTCTGACAACTACAGATGTTTAAACGGAGAAAAAATAACAAACATATTAAGAACACTTCGTTGTTCACACAATAAATTTCATCTATTGAAGGGAAGAAAGGAAGTTGTAACATCTACAATGTGCTGGGCACTTTGTATGTTATCTCATTTGATTATCAGTACAACCTTGTGGGATGGATACCAATGCCTCTAATTTACCGTGGGGGAAACTCAAGTTGGGATAGGTTCAGACTTGTCTGATGTCTCAGAGAAGTAGGTAACAGAGGCATTTAAAAGTATCAGACACTAGTCAAAAGTCTTGGAGTTGAACCACAGCATGCTTTGGTGTGTGTGGGGTGGGATTGATCAGCCAAATGGCAGGATTTTGATGGTGAGGGAATATGGTTATTCTTTGAGGACCCTCTGTTTTATGGCCCAGTACTTGTGCTAGTCACAAAAAAGTAAGAGGATCAAGGGTGCCTTCTAAATTTGAACCATCTTGAATAATCAGGAGGAGCTTCTTGAAATTAGAGGAGTCTTAATCAGAGAGAGAATCATGCTCTGAAGAGGGGACAGAATGCTTATTTCTCTTTTTTCTTTTGAGACAGGGTCTCACTCTGTGGTCCAGGCCAGAGTGCAGTGGCGTGATCGTGGCTCACTGCAGCTTTGAGCTTCTGGGTTCAAGTGATCTTCCTACTTCAGCCTCCCAAGTAGCTGGGACAACAGGCATGCACCATCACGCCCAACTTATTTTTGTATTCCTTGTAGAGTCAGGGTTTCTCTGTGTTGTCCTGGCTGGTCTTGAACTCTTAGGCTCAAGCGATCCTCCTGCCTCAGCCCCTCAAGCAGTGGGATTACAGGCGTGAGCCACTGTGCCAAGCCAGAACACTTATTTTTCTAAGATAATATGAACCTGAAGTAAATGACAAATTTTAAGTCATGTAAAGTGTCAGGGGAAATATTTATTAGTGGGACGTTGCTCTATACTTGTTGCCTTCATAATTAAATAATACACTGAAGTCTCTACTTTTTAATAGTATCTCTTCCTTCTCATTAGACGAGATGAAGAAATTATCTTCTCACACTTTCCTGCACCTCTTTTCTCCATAATTTCCCAATTTGGGCTGGGTAAACTCTATTTTTATGTTGTCAAGGTTAGTAATTTACGTTCAGTCCTATAACTGTAAATAAGAGCTTTGGTGGTATAATTAAACAAAGTATTTGGTGAAGAACTGAGCGGTGTGGTTGGTCAGCAGGAAAGACATGTCATCCTCTGTGACTAACTTCATGTCCTTATAAGGACAATCATCAAGGTCAAATGCATCCTGTTCTCTAACATGCTCAAAATTAGGCAATGTTTGGTTTATTTGTGTGTGTACATGGCTTTCTTGCAAACATTTTTGTTTCTTTAAAGGTTGTATTGGCCTTACCTTATTTCAATTGTTAGAGGAAAATAGGCTCATTTGTCATATCACTAGGATATGCCCTCTTGACCATACTATTTATTGAATGGTGCAGTGTGGACTCCTTATGGCTTTGCTCTCCATCTGTCACGGTGGGCTTTGTTTGCATTGCACTGCTTGGCTGGCTTCCCTCTTTGTTATATCTTTGTAAGTTTCCTCCTTAATTGGATTTGTCTATATGTTTTGTTGAACATCCTTAATAATTTCAGAAATAGTGGTCAGGGAGTATATTTTCCAAAGGTTGGCATGACTAAGATGTCTTCTTGTTATTCTCCTTTGATTGAAATTTCATGATGAAAATGTTCCTTTAATTTCTCTCAATAGCTCATAGTAATTCCTTATTTTTATCTAGTACAAATCACTAGAATTAATGTTAGTTGTGTCTTGCATAATTTCTATTAAGATTATTTTAGTACTATTTCAATATTATTTTTAAATAAAACAGATTATATGAGTAAATTATGGTCTTAAGTGAATCTTTCTGGCTGTTTCCAGTAAAAAGTAACCCTCTCTCATTTCCTTTACACCTTCGTAATAACAACTAGACATTTTCTTCTCATATATTCTATTGTATTTCTGTGAAACCTTCTGGAAAGGTTTTTAAAGCAGTATTTCTGTCATCATTTTGTGAGTCCCATTTTCACAACTCACTTAGAAGCGAAATGTTTTATGAGAAACTGTGTGGGGCCTAGAATGAGTAAAGCACTAGTCTTTGAGCATGATTCAGAAAATTAAGTCTTCCAGTAGACTTAAAGCTATTGTAAGGCCCATCTGTGTGCCTAAGGAAAGACTCCTTAACTCACTGAGAAAATGCCTATGAGCGTAAGAAAACTCCTTTTCTCCTCTATAAAATAAAGAAAATGGTTAAAGTTTTACATGTATGACCCGATCCTTTGCTGTTTACAGCATAGAAATCTGTGATTCTCCTGCTGATAGAATGAAAGTTACTTTTAAATGGTTAGAATTGAAAAATGCTCAGATCAAAATATTTGCTGAATTTTCCTCTCAATAATACCTGGGTGGATATGTAATTATTTCTTGGCCTGCTGGGTGAAGTAGCCCACAGGGTTTTGTCTGTCTTCACACATACGGAGAGGACTGTACCGTGGTCAGAACGTGGCTCCGAGGGCCTGACTGCATGGGTTCACATCCTGCCTCTGCTACTACCTAGCTGAGTCACACTGGGCCATTCTGCTTAAACTCCCTCCAACTCTGGTGTCCCCTGAGCCTCAGATGTCCCCTCTGTGAAATGAAGATAACACTAGCACTTAGGCTGTGAGGGAATTGTAAAGGTTAGGTGAGTTAGCCTCTGCAGGGAGCTAAACACATTGCCAGGCCCCTGACAAGCCTCTGGGATGTCTGCTAGCATCATTATCATTCAGTCATGAATTAGGCGTACATAGCTCACCCTCAAGGAACCCTTGAGGCATATTCATGTCTAAAAAAATGAGGTCATTTTGGGTTGATGGGGAAGGAGCCTCCGGAAGAGATAGGGTTCCTTTTCAAAGCTTTGCGGGGTGACAGTGGACAGGATGCATCGACAATGACAACAAATGCTGTTGATGGGCTCTAAGAGATGTATGGGAACGGGGCATGAGTGAAAATATGAACCTACCCAAGTGTGTGTGTGACCAGTAAAGAGAGCGGAACATTAGAGATGAGAAAGGGAAATCCTTATAGAACATTCAAAAGATACAAAAAACAGTAACAGTACACCAATGCTCTAGAAAAGAAAATCTGACTTCACATAGGCATATTAAACATCCCACCAATACTTGAAATGCACTGAACTAGTAGATAATTGAAATAAGGTATTTAAAATTGCATAATAGGCTGGGTGTGGTGGCTCACACCTGTAATCCCAGCACTCTGGGAGGCTGAGACGGGAGGATCAATTGAGGTCAGGTGTTTGAGACCAGCGTGGCTAATATGGCGAAAGCTGTGTCTACCAAAAATACAAAAATTAGTTGGGTGTGGTAGCGGGCACCTGTAGTCTCAGCTACTTGGGAGGTTGAGGCAGGAGAATTGCTTGAACCTGGGAGGCAGAAGTTGCAGTGAGCTGAGATTGAGCCACTGCACTCCAGCCTGGGAAACAGAGCAAGACTCCGTCTCAAAAAAAAAAAAAAAAAAAGATAGATAGATAGTGATAGTTGGATAGATAGATAGATAGATAATGATAGAGATGTTTGGTTGGCCATTGATAAGACATAATACAAAGAAGAGGTTGACTGAAGAAACTACTGAGATCCTTATTTCTTAAAGTCATTCTTTGTGCTTCTAATTTCTTGTAAAAATAGCTCAATATCTAGAAACAGCTTGTCTTCAGAGAGGTAAGCCCAGATATATACAGAAACTGCTGTACTTGTGGTATGATATGGAGGCTGTGAGGATTAAATGAGATTTTAAGTGCCTTGTCTATCACTGATACACAGTAGGCATTCAACAAATATAAATTTCCTTAAAATCTAGCATTAGGTTTAGTCTTTGGATTCTTTATTTAGTCCTCCTTAAATATATTTAGTTCATTCTTTCATTCCCTTTTTTTTTTTTTTTTTTTTTTGAGACAGAGTCTTGCTGTGTCACCCAGGCTGGAGTGCAGTGGCACGATCTTGGCTCACTGCAACCTCTGCCTCCTGGGTTCAAGCGATTCTCCTGCCTCAGCCTCCCGAGTAGCTGGGATTACAGGCATGTGCCAACAGGCCTGGCTAATATTTTTTCTGTAGAGACGGGGTTTCACCATATTGGCCATGCTGGTCTTGAACTCCCAAGTTCAAGTGATCCATCTGCCTTGGCCTCCCAAAGTGCTGGGATTAGGGGTGTGAGCCACCATGCCTGGCATCTCCAAATATTCATTGATGGTTTACCATGTGCCACACCCAGCACCAGCCCTAGGGGTACAGGGTGAATAATAAGTCCCTGAACCCAAAGAACAAGTCTGGTGACTGACAGTGTTAGTGACATCACAGAGAAATGTCTGCTGATTGGAGGGATCAGATCAGGAACCTGTAGGAAAGAGTGGGAGACAAAGAGTCAGAAAAGGGTTCAAGGTAAATCAACGGGGTTTGCAGGCCCCTCAATCTGCTTCTCATTGTAGCCCGGAGCGGGCCTCGGTACCATCCCTGTAGCTAGAGACTAAGTGGGGAATGGCATCCCCTCCCTAGCTGTGGCTCTAATCCAAGTGTAGTGATGCCTTAGAAACTGCTGCCTGAAAACAAAGAAAAAGAAGAAAACAATAACCATAATGAAATAAAAGCCTTAAAGTGAAAGAAAAACAAAATGTCATGATTTGTGCATTTTTCTGCAAAACCGATTTGTTCTGTGGTGGAAGATAGAGTCTGCATTTGATTTCTACAAGATATGCAGTAATGGGTTATGTACTCCAGGGAAAAACTATTCTTAAGGGAGTGAGAACGTGATGGATTCACTTCCTTGGTGAGGTTTACAATATGTGGCAGTTTTAGTGCGAGCAGGTATTTGGTCTATAAACTTGGAGAGCCAGGCATTAGTGGGAGCTCGTTTCTAAATGAAGAAGAATGCAGCTCTCCCTCTCACTCTGGTTATTAGTCCTTCTGGGGATAAACAGGAAGATTAAGTGTTTTCTTGATGTTGTGTTTGCCTGTCACAGTAATGTGCACACACCCCATTGGCAGCACCTTTACGTGGCGCCGCAGACTTGCTATTTTTGTTGGAAGGAGTTGTTCATTGAGAGGCCTGGGTCTCATTCCGTGCTGAATGGCGTTGGGGTTATTTCCACTCTTTGTTCAAATGCTGCCTCTCGATTAGATGCTCTACGATTAGCTGCTTTGCAATTAGAAACTGGATCTGTGAACATCCAGTTTCTTGGTCCCCGGAGGACATTTCATGTCCTCACTCCTCAAAGCCTGCTGTTCTGCTTGTTGCAGTTTAAATGGTGCTAAAGAGAGGCCAACCTGCCAGCCAGCTGGCTTCCCGGAGGACCTTGGAGGCTGCCCGCGCTGGGGCTGCTGGAGAACTGCTCGGCTGGGCACGTGTGGGGAACTTGAATTGTCATCTCTGTGAGAAGTGACTTCATTCTAGGGGGCTTATTTGTGTTAACTAATCTCTTAAAACACTGGCTGGCTGATAAATTAAAATGCCAATTTATTTATTTACTATTAGAAATATACTTGCTAAGCAATATATCTGTGTCAGCCATTCAGTTTGTTCTCTTCACACAAATAAAGCCTATTTGGGGCCGGGCAGGGTGGCTCACACCTGTAATCCCAGCACTTTGGGAGGCCGAGGTGGGTGGATCAGGGGTTCGAGACCAGCTTGGCCAACACGGCGAAACCCTGTATCTACTAAACATACAAAAAACAAAACAAAACAAAAAAACTAGCTGGGCGTGGTGCCAGGTGCCTGTAGTCCCAGCTACTCCGGAGGGTGAGGTGGGAGGATGGCTTGAGCCCGGGAGGCGGAGGTTGTAGTGAGCTGAGATTGTGCCACTGCACTCCAGCCTGTGCAACACAGCGAGACTCCATCTCAAAAAAAAAAAAAAATCTATTTGGGAAACCAAATTATAGATCATATATTTTGTAGTGAGGGAAAAAGAGACTCCTGTACACTGCTCATTGGAATATAAATTGAGACAAGTTTTCTGGGCGGCAATGTTTTATTATTATGTGGAGCCTTTCCATTGGACAAGCATAATGGATTCCTCATTTGTGTCTCCTATCATTACTTAAAAATGTATTTGGTGGTGGAAGCTTCCCCTACTCACTGGCTGAGAACTTGGATGCCCCTCTGTTCTGCTTGCTCTTGGGGAGTAGATTGGCCTATGTTCTAAGCCACAAATGCTGGCTTGATTCAGAAATTAAGAGTATACAATCCAAGCTATTAATCAAACTTCAGTCTTTTTTTTCACAGGTAAGACGTTTCCTTTCCTTGTCCCACCTGAGGTCTGTGTTCAACGGGGCACCTGTTCTTTGCACCGTGGTTTTGGTCACCTTCTCTCACTCCTTTCTTTCCCTCTTTCTCCTTGTTAATTGCATCTTCTGGCCTCTCAGAGGATGGGACACAGCAAAGGAAGAAGTCACTAAGCCTGTGGTGGGAGATACCATGCTCCCCTCTCTCTGGTGATGGGCAGGCTGTCACAGCATGGCTTAGCTGAAGACATCACCTCCCAAATCCACTTCTTCCACACTCAGCACTTGTTTAGTCTTTGCCTGAGTGATCTAAAGTAGAAAGCCTAGCTTTTTTGTCTATCTTTTGAACATTTTGTTCAGGCACCTAACTTCGGTGTGGAACATCTATTGCATGTATTTTACTTTGTGTGTGTCTGTCATGTATTTCCTCAGCCTAAATTCCTAGAACTGGAGTTGTTATGCTCATGAGTGTTAGTAAACCTAGCAGTTAAGAGTGTGGGTTCTGGAGACTATTGTTTCCAAGTGGCAGGGTCAAACTTTAGTTTTAACATCCTAAAATGTTGTATATGCATTGAAAACTTTAAAGGTTTTCATAACAACAGCAAATACTTATTTGGAACTTCTACTAAGTTTAATTTTTCAACAATCCTATGAATTATGTGTTATCATAATCTCCATTTTGCAGATAAACCAAGGCAAAGAAAGACTCAACAACTTGCCTAGAGTCACACCAATAGAAAGGAATAAATCTAGGATTCCATCCAAACTGTCTGCCTCCCATTCTAGGAAATCAGTCTGAGGAAATAGTAAGATACACTAAATAATATAGCTGGATTTTAATTGCAATATTTCTGATAACTTGAAAAAACTGGGTACAACTTACATATTTGATAGTAAGAGATTGATTAAATAAACAGTGGTATCTTAATATGCTTGAATCCAAAGACTTTAAACACGTATTTTAGAGGAATAGTCACATACGAACAATGCATAACTAATGTAATTGCTCTGTCACTCAGGCTGGAGTGCAGTGGCACGATCTCAGCTCACTACAACCTCTGTCTCCCAGATTCAAGCGATTCTCCTGCCTCAGCCTCTCAAGTAGCTGGGATTACAGGCATGCACCACCATCCCTGGCTAATTTTTGTACTTTTAGTAGAGATGGGGTTTCGCCATGTTGGCCAGGCTGGTCTTGAACTCCCGAACTCAAGTGATCCGCCCATCTCGGTCTCCCAAAGTGCTGGGATTACAGGCGTGAGCCACAGCGCTCCACCAACATATATTAATTTTATTAAAAAACTGTTAGAAATACAATATAAAGAAGTCAAAATGGGAAACTGGTTTGCAAGAGAAGATTGAGTTAGAATTGAATTTGAAGTGAAAAAAATCTTTTTAAGAAGGTGATTGGTGAAATGGAGTCAGAACAAAAAGTTGAATAACCTTAAGGATGGTCCATTTGAGCAGTTAAATCCCTGAAAACACTATTCCATTAGAGGGTGACATTAGCCTGCTATCTTCTTGACACAATATATGACCTAGAAAGATTTGGGGAAGAGATACAATTTTGAAATTTCTTTTTGTTACATAAAGGCTACATTTTCCATCTAAAATGCTCTAGTTTCTTCTAGAGAATGCTGATATATAAAGGGGAGGAAGATAAAAAATTTGAAATAGAAGTTTAGCAAGAAAAGAAGATAAGTTTGGGAAGACTTGTAGATAGAGCATGAATAGAGTGCAGTTTGATGTGGTGTGGTTGATCGCAAAGGAATCCCAATGTTGTCTGCAGTGTGGCTTAGTGTACCCTGTAGTCATAAAGTTCATATCCATTGAAAACATCAGGACTAAAATAGGTGTTTCATGTTAAGACCTGGACTTGGCTCTTCCCAGCCAAAAGCAGGTGGTCTTTGTACCATTCATCGCTTGCCATTTGCAAAACTTTGTAAGGTACATTTGGGGATAGTGGGGGTGGGAGGCAGGTGGCGGTATATGCAACATTTATCAAACCTCCAGAGTATTAAGAGGAAAGGTGGTTTCAGAAAAAGAAATCCTTTACATTTCTTCCCCATTTTGACAAAATCCAAACTAAAGCTTCAGTTATGTAGACCCTCTCAGATCTGATATCTTTTCAGGATATAAATAGTACATGTAAGAAAGGAAGTAGGGTAATTATTATAAAATTAGAGAAATATATTTAGTCAGTCAAAATCCTGAGCTGCTTTGCCATTTAAAATTGTGTGTAAAGTTTAGAACTCTCGTTGATCGGACTGTATCATAAAACTGAAAGTGTGGAGAACAAAGACCTCAGAATTCTTGCTCGGCTTTAGAGGATCATGTTCAGGGAGAGGACTCTAATTGAAATGAGGAGTAGATACCAATGGATATTTTACTGTCTATAATGTCAATTGTACAGTTTTGAACTCCATTGTGGGGAATGTCAATGGTCCCTCACTCGTCCAGGGTAACCAAGAGATGAAGAGTTGAGGGGAAGCACTGTGGTGCGGCTTATTGTGGCTGTTTAGTGGTGGTATTTCCTGGAAGGCAAGTTAATGGTGAAATGGAAGGCCCTTTCCTTTTATGTCCCTTTTGGTCTGATATTTTCCATTGTTGACTGCAGGTTGAAATAGCTCAAAATAAAAACCAGAAAATAAAAGCTGCAAGTAAAAACTTCATTTTGCCTATGCCAAATAAAATAGAAAAACTGGACTTCTGGCTTTTCAACATCGATTGCTGTGGGTACTATGGAAGATTCTTCGAATCAGGCACTTCTGGAGAAATTCATGATATGTAATCAAGAAATAACCATAGCCTAGAAGCTGATTTTTTAAGGCGAGCTTCCGTGTTCGTGTTTTCTTCTCCCCTCCTGTTTTGGAGGATTAGATGTAAATGCTCCTTTGTAAAGTTACCCCATCACCTGTTCTCTTTAGCCCATCCTCATGTTTCCCACTGACTTTTATCTCTGGCTTCTCTTTGTCCATGGGAGCTTTTTTCTCTGCCCATAAACATACTCAAATCTACTTTTTTCTTTAAAAGCAACCATCCATCCAGCCCAGAAAACCTTCCCTCAATCTCCAACTCTTTTACTGCCTCTCCTTATCTTGCTTGAAGTCTAAATTCACAGAAGTCTAGTCTGACTTTTTTTCCTATGGCTTCACCTTTCACTCTCTCCCAAGTCATTTCCAAACCAGCTTGCATAGTCACCTCTCTACTAAAGGTAAAAAATGACCTCAGATATCCCATTTACATTCTTTCTGAGTTCTGAGGCATTGACATGTGAATCTCTTCCTCTTTCTTGGAATTCTCATTCCTGGGTTTTGCTTTTTCTTAGTCCTTCTTGCTGGCCCAATCTTCTTTGGACTGTCCTTGGAATCTGGTGTTTTCCAGGTTCTGCCCTCTCTCTCTTCTCTGGCTTTCAGATAATAGCGTGGCATTTATTCATTTCTGGTACTATGCTAAAACCAGAGACACAAGGATGACTAAACATCACCACCTATTAGGAATCTTTGGACACATTAACATTCCAGAGCCTCAATTTTCTCATATAAAAATGGGTCATAAATACTTCAGGTCCAGACCTACATTTGCAATTCCTCATGGTGCAGCCCTGGTTACGAGCCTAACGTGACCAAAAACAAATGCTCAATATCCCCCTTGCACAATCTTTTCCTCTCTCAATAATTCCTCCCATGGCTAATGGCAGTAACATTTCTCTAGTCTAGACACAAGCTAGAAACCTGGGAATCATCCTTTGTTTCCCTTTCCCTCAACCTCTACATCCAATAAATCTCCAAGCCTACCACTTGTCTATCAGAA
This sequence comes from Homo sapiens, assembly GCF_000001405.40. NCBI lineage: Eukaryota > Metazoa > Chordata > Mammalia > Primates > Hominidae > Homo > Homo sapiens. Next base: position 191,565,531 of record NC_000002.12, read on the forward strand.
ATATTGCTTTAAAACCTGCCACTTCATTGCCCCACCCAGACCTCATCATTTCTCCCCTGGCCAATACTACCGTAGCCTTTGTTCTCCTTTCCTTCTTCTAGGTTCTACACCGACTCCAAAATTCATTCTCCACAATGCTGCCAGAGTGACTGTTTAAAAGTAATACTTTGATCACATCTTATCTGCTCTAAAAGACTTCAGTGGTTCCTGCTGTCTATAGGATAAAGTTCAAGCATTTGTAAAACACTTCCTGTTTTGTCCACAACCTCCTTGTATGGTCTCACACTGAGTCCTCCTTCCTTTACCCAGTCACCTCTTATTTTAGCCACAAGGGTTACTGCACTTTCGCCAAGAGGAGTGAGGTCCCTGTGCTACGGTTTATGTTGTTCCTTCTGTTTGCAGCACTTTTCTCCTATTCCCCCACATGGGGACATCCTCCTGGATTTCAAAACATGTTCCAAAGTCCTCTTCTTCCCCGAGGCCTTCTTTGAGCCTTCTCTGGAGGAATAAGTCCTTCTCTATTCTTTCTGTGCTCACACAACTTTGCTTCCCTGTTCTCTTTGCCACCTTATCAGATCGCATTCATAGATGTGAGGGTTATCTTATCTGCTTATTGAGCAAGGACTGCACCTCAGGCTTTTGACCATCCCAGGAGCTTATCATGGTTCCATGGCCAGAACTCAACAAATATGTGTAGCAAGAAGCGAGTAATAAAAAAAAAAAAAAAAAGAAGAGTGCAGAATGCCAGCAGGTCCAGGGTTATATGGCAAAGCCAGCCTTGTGTTGGTCTGAACACTAAAGCAATGTTTCTTTTTGTTACCAGCAGATCCCAGAATATTCACCACTTCAATCCTATATCCTGTGACCCTCAACCTAGAGTCAAAGGAGCAAAGCCATGAAGAGAACCATTTTGTCCACATGGGGGCAGCACAGGCACTTCCACAATCGTATCCGAGGTCCCCAGGTTTCTCACCTCAAGGGTCCATTTATAGCCAGACCCAACTTTTCCTTGCCTGAGGTCCAAACTCAAGAGGCTTCACGTCTCCTCCGCCACCTTCTTCTGGGCTATAGAAGGCATTAATTTTAAGGTGATTTTAAAAAACCATTTATGGAGGTTCATCATAAATTGCTTGCCCCCAGGCGCTGGAGTAAGTTTCAATCATTCACCGTGTTCCTGAATAATGAAGAAGCTTCTCCACCGAAACAACGCTATCATACACCCAGACGGGCAACGCCTTTTTCTGTGGGTCCCTAGAAGTGTTTGTTGAGCTCTAAGGGGAGTCAGATCCAGATCTCATGCTCCCTGGAGTTTATGCTGGTTGGAGTGGGTGATTACTCCCAGGCCCAGGGGTAGCACCAGCATACCTAGCATCCACAGTCATATTAACTTTTCCACAAGGATTTTCTTTCTACTGCATTCCTACTTTTAAGAGCAGGCAGCCACAGCTGTGACAGTTTGCCATTCCTCTCCACTTGTTTCCAATAATGCCTCTTTAGTTACTTTGTGAAAAGATTCTCGACTGAGATTTTTCTTGCTTTCTATCTTCTAAAGTGTTTATTACTAGAAGATTCAACTTTCAGATTCTCTGAAGAAAATTCTTTCCTAGGAAAGGTAAGAGGTAGAAGAGGTAGCTAAAATTAGTTTCTTTTTTGGCTCTGCAAAAGCAATTGCAGCAATGGCAATAGTTGGCTGCAATAACTTAACAAATGGCTTCAGAAATGAGCTCTTCACTGGAATTTGAAAGAGCTCTCAGTGAATCCTGTTTTATAATTACTGCCTGATTCTAATGGGACACTCTAAAGCTTGAGTGTCTCCCAGTTTCATTCCTCAGGTGAGCCCTCTGGTTAACTTTGTCCAATTTGACACATCGGCACTGAACTCTCACCCGCAGTTTATGGGCTGATGACTGTTTAATTACACCTGCCAGCCTTCAGCAATCTCAATGATTAAGAATTGCAATACTGTGTCCTATTAATCTGCCTGGATTCCTTTCCATCTAAGGAAGTCAAAGAGTTTTTTGTTAATTTTTGATATACTTAGTGGAACTTGATAGAGAGCGTCAGAAGAAAATAGAGTTAAGAGGATGGTAATTGACCTCGCCAGGATCATTCTAAGTCAGCAGCAATTGGGGTAAGAATTTGGAGATTTGGGCAGCCTTTTTTGTTTAGTTAAAATTAGCTTTGGCCATAAAATCTAAAGCACACTATCATTATACAGGTTCGACTTGTCTTTGCTGTGTGTCTGCATATATTCATGAAATACTTCACCTCCACAGTTAGCACTTTCCATCTCTAAAATGCGGAGAGCAGGTCGGGCACGGTGGCTCATTCCTGTAATCCCAGCACTTTGGGAGGCCAAAGCAGGCGGATCACCTGAGGTGAGGAGTTCAAGACCAGCCTGGCCAACATGGTGAAACCCCGTCTCTACTAAAATACAAAAATTAGCCAAGTGTGTTTCTCGCTCCTGTAGTCCCAGATACTCAGGAGGCTGAGGAAGGAGAATTGCTTGAACCCTGGAGGTAGTGGAGGTTGCAGTGAGCCGAGATTGCAGCCACTGCACTCCAGCCTGGGCGATAAAGCGAGACTCCATCTCAAAAAAGAAAAAAAAGTGCAGAGAGCACAGGAGAGCTGGACCAAAGTTTGCCTACAAATTTCCAGTAAATCTTGGAGATCTTCATCTTTTCCAAACAACAGGACCCACCAAGATTACAGAAGAGTCTGTGGCTAAGGAATTTAGAAATAGAATGTTATAATTTATACTTTTCCTAAGAAAGTCTTTGTTGTAAATAAGGTTGCATACTCCATTGACATGGAAAGAAAAGGGGAAGGAATGAGGAATGTCAGTGATCCAGAGTCTAATTAATGTTGCCACCAATTTTTGCATAATTAACAGTACATTTCTATTCTTTAATAAAATTGATAAGATTCTACCAAGTTCATTGTTTCTGAAAAGTTGGGAAATGGGAGGTGGCCCTGGGGGTAGGGAGGAGAAAGGTGATTATGCAAGTACATGCCTCCCCCAGATTGATCAGGTAACATGCACCTGCTAATGGGGATAAATATTAGGAGATGAGGAAATGGATACAAGTAAATGCTTTCTCCAAAAACAAAGAAACCAAACTAGTGACCATAGGCAGAACTTGCTTCTAATGTTTGCACTCTGATACTGAAAGGTAACTGGACCTATGCATAAAATGTGACACCAATCTGATCATCTAGGTAGCCTGAAGATAGTATGTATTTTGGGGAGACTATTCTATTTCTAGTGCCCTGGAGGATTTCCCAAATTGTTCAGCTAAATGTAGGTTTAATTACCTCTTTACCATCACCACTCCATTACTGCCTCTGAATGATGACTTTGTGCATTTTTCACTTAAGGGTAATGAACTGCTCTCTTAATATGGTTCCATCATTCAACTTTGTTCTAGGGAGTTTCTTTATAGACAATTTTTATTTTAATCAGAAGTGAATGGGACTATTGCCTTTAAAGTGGACCATCTGTGGGTTTACCAGGAAATTTATTAACTTTGATCTTTATTCAATTTAACTTTCTGCCAGAGCTTCCAGTAAAGTTCTTTCAAGCCTGCAGAAAGCAGAGCTCAGAGCTCAGAAAGTGGGCTCTGTGGGAGGGGGAGAGGGGAGGATAAGAGAAGGGAGTGTATGGATACAGACTGCAATCCCAGTTTCAGCTGAGGTGGCAGTGGGGAGCTGGGAACATTATTCTGGAAGATCCTGGAGCAAGTCCTCAACTTGACTCCAGTTCGAGACTCCTCTGGGCTAGCAAGGTAATATATATGTATTTTTTTAAGAGATGGGCTCTTGCTCTGTTGCCCAGGCTGGAGTGCAGTGGAGCCCTCACAGCCCACCGCAGCCTTGAATTCTTGGGCTCAATTGATCCTCCCGCTTCAGCCTCCTGAGAAGCTGGGACTACATGTGTGTACAACCATGCCCAGCTAATTTATTTTTATTTTTGTTTTTGTTTTTTTGTAGAGATGGGGGTCTCATTCTGTTGACCAGACTGGTCTTGAACTCTTGGCTTCAAGTGAACCTCCCACCTCAGCCTCCCAAAGTGCTGGGATTACAAGCGTGAGCTACCGTGCCTGGCCTAGCAAGGTAATTTTAAACAGACACTGCCTTACCAATGATACAGCCTCAAAAGCCCTGATGCCAGCCTGAGCTGAATGTGATGAGCGTGAGGACTTATCCAGGCACTACCCACCTCTGCAACAAAACAGGGAGACAGGTGGGGAGTATCCACAATGCTGTGGATGGATTGGGCAGCAGGCAGAAGCTTCTGGCTTGTAGCTCACGCAGACCACTGCACAAGCTCTGCTCTTACAGCTTCCAAATTACTTTTCTGGCCTTTGAAGTGGAGCGATTTAGGATGCCTGCAGATCCTCCCCTGTTTAACAAATGCTCCCTGCTCTCAGTCCAGGGACCCTCACTCTTCCTGTCCTCTAACTCAGGACAGATTCCTGTCTATTATAGGTAGACAGGAAATCTTTTTGGATATCCAGGAAGATGGATATCCAAACTTCCCCAAGATCCTAGTCTATTTCCTTCCTTCCTTCCTTCCTTCCCTTTCTTTTTTCTCTTTTCTTTTCTCTTTCTTTCTTCCTTTCTTCCCTTCTTTCTTTCTTTTCCTTCCTTCCTTCCTTCCTTTTTCTTTCTTTCTTTCTCTTTCTTTCTTTCTTTCTTTCTTTCTTTCTTTCTTTCTTTCTTTCTTTCTCTTTTTCTTTCTTTCTTTCTTTCCTTCCTTCCTTCCTTCCTTCCTTCCTTCCTTCCTTCCTTCCTTCCTTCCTTCCTTCCTTCCTTCTTTCTTTTCTTTTCTTTTTCTTTTCTTTCTTTTTCAACTTTATTGGGGTAAGTGATTTATAGTAAACGGCAGAGATTTAGTGTGTGGTTTCACAAGTTTTGACATATGTGCTTACCCAGGAAACCGCCACCTCAGTCAAGATAATGAACATTTCCTTCACCCCGAAAGTTTCATAGTTGCCCCCTTTGTAAGACCTCCTTCTTTTTGCCCCATCCCCAGTCTGCTTTCTGTGACTATAGATTACTCTGCGGTTTCTAGGATTTTATGAAAATGAAATCATCTTTTCTTGTCTGATTTCTTTCACCTAGCATAAATATTTTGAGATTCATGCATGTGGCTGCATGTATCAATAATTCATTCCTTTTTACTCCTGAGGATTAATCCACTGTATGGATCCATCACAGTTTGTTAATCCATTGAGGAATCATTCCTTCTGTTTTGTTTTATAAGATCACGAAGCGTTAGATGTGTAAGGGGCATTATAGGTCACTTAATCTAAGAAAATCATCAGTTATCTGTAGTTATCTACCTACAGATTAGGTAACTGAAGCCAGAACACTACTTAAGAATTTCCCTGGAAATTGTTTAAAATTGAGATTCATACCTATTCCTGCCGTTTGATTCTGATGGTGGAGTGAATCCTGGGATTCTGCAGTTTTAGCAACAGCCTCTGGTGATTCTAATCCAGATATATGGTCTACTATACTTAAAACACCGAATTATTTAAATATTGAGGTCGTAGAAGGTTAGGAGCAAAGGCTGGATTTAAATCCACAATTTTTGATTTCTAAGTTTAGGGCTCTTTCTACTACATTATGTCAACCCCAAATAACATCAGACACATGGAAGCCTGACGCTGTCTGCTAGCGTAAATCTCTTTGTTTTCTCATCAAAGAAATGCCACAGCTCGATTCCAGGCTACATTCTTGTGTTTCCAGAAGAGGGTACTGATAACAAATCCTTTCTTTAATGCACGTATTTCTTTCTCTTACTCTCTCTCCCCACCCCCTCTCTCCTCCCTTCTTTCTTCCTCTGCTTGTTTTTGTTTTGTTTTGTTTCGTTTTGGGTTTTTTGTGGGGTTTTTTTTCTGGTCATTAAAGTTGCAAATATGAAAAGCAACAAAGTGAGACCTGGGAAAATGAGTTTACTTCAATAAAAAGCCAAAGTCCCTGGAGAAATTTCTTGACATCATTACATTTTTAATACAAACTTGCCTGTAAGTGCTGTCACTTACTGGCTTCCAGTCACTAATTTTATGAGTCAGCACTTTCCCTCAGTGACTTCCTCAAAATTATAGGAATAGGAGGGGCTGGACAGAACATGCAGAAGTAAGAATGCTGAAAATTTAACCAGAGCTGAAGAAACGTTGACCTTTAGGAACAACAATGACCAAAAATGTCATCTAGTTATCTTACTCCCTATCTCTTTCCATTGGGTAGTTAGGGAGGAAGCCATAAGCCTAACTTGGTATATATATATATATATATTTTTTTTTTTTCCCTTAAGTTATTATAATTCCAGTGACCCTTGGGCTGCCTTCCTCCAAACTCTGAAAATTTGAACTCAGGCAGTGGGGCCTGAACCCTTACTTGATACCTGGTGTCTGAGAATGTTGTTTCTAAGCAAGGATATCAAGATCATGAAAAACCAAGCAGTAACATATCAAATGAAAGAAGAGACATGAGTCCAACTCAAGCTGCCAGAAAAATTTAATTCATCTTTGATAGTTTGGGCATTTTCCTAACAATATTTTTATGACAAATTGGGTAATTCAAATGTGCTGGCTACCTTTGAAGCCCTAGAATGAAAGTGAGCTTTTGCCTCATGAGATAAAATAAGACAAGGCTTTGAGAATTCAGTCGCCCCACCCTGGGTAGAATTGTGAGAAGGCACACTGTGTCCCTAGGACCCTCAGACTCACTTCTTTGAAACCTTTTCTTTCCCCACTCTTACCAGGTATGGGGGCTCCATTGCTCTCCTCATTGGATCCTTAGTGTGAGTGACACAGAGTCTTATTATCCTATGCTGTCTACGTTTGCATTTGAACATTAATTGTGGCAATGACAAGCTTTGTCTTTGAGTCACAAGGCTTGGAAATAAGACAGAAGATTGGTAATTAGAAGTTCTAATCTGTGTTCATCTACTTATCACTTGTGGGCCCTTAGGCGAGTCATTTAACCTTTATGAGTCTATTTTCTCATGTGTCAAATAGTAACGATGATAGTAATATGCACATTTGTGAGTGGCTATAGGGACTAGAGATTAGGTATATAAAGTACCTGGTCCATAAATGGTAGTTAAAGGCATGTCGGCCATGCGGGTGTCAGGCATGCAGATGATGGAAAATTTGGGACTTCTCCTATTGACAAGAGGACTTTTCTAGTACAACTGAAACTGGCTTATTAGAATGGAGAGTGGTAGCTGCCTACTCAATTAGGGTGGGCCTATGTGTTTTGCCCTAATGCCTCATGTCTACCTAATTTCTCTTTGTGTCCATTGTAATCATGGAGCCCGAATCTTTGGATCATTTATGAGAGTCATAAATCTAACTGGGTGAAAGTGGAATTGAGAAGAGACTCCAATGTATTTGTGAGACCAGGTACTTAAGGGTTGCTACATTTGAAACACAATTATAGAATACATACATATACAGAATGACAAATGATTTCCACAAGTTTGACAAGGAAACTAATCTTATTACTTTATGGTCACACTTCTGTGACAATGCAACTTAATTTTGCCAAAATGTATTTCTATGTTTATGCACATATACATGCTCCTCAATGGCCTATTTCTATACTCACCCAAATTGTATATAATCACAAAAAAACTGTCTTTTTTACAATACAGTTTATTTATTGCACTTCTTAAAGGCAGAAACATTCATTGTGATTTCTGTTCTCAGGTAATGAGAAGCTGTGATAGATATTAACAGAAGAAACTTTGAGTGGAAAGTTCTCCAGATTTTCTCACTGCCTCTCTCCAAATTTGATATGCTGTAATATTTTTAGTCTTATTATTATAGTGTCAGGGTGGAGATGAATCATATTGAGAGGAAGAGGTAAAGTGTTAGACTCTAAAAGTGTGTAAACAGCCATCAAGGGAAATTCTGAAGCATCCTAGTGCTTGGGGAAGGTTTAAGGAGTTTATTCTTGGCACCGTTGCCTATAATCCATAATTAGCAACCCATTGATATGGTATTTGTTAAATTCCTACATTGTAGGTTAAGACTATTGAAATTGCAGTACACCAGTGGGAAAACAGACTACAATATTCACACTGGCATAGATTTCAGTCTCTGGGAGTAGGTAGTTTGCCTGAAGCCAGATAGTTCTTAGGAATCAATAACCTCATTAGCCCCAGGAGACTGGATCTCTATACTTTGTAGAGTGGTACAGTTGCTGGAACATCTGCCAATGGGCACCTGCCTTAGTGGAAAGAGAATTATTTTTTTGTAGGCATTAAAGCTCAGAATAATTCAAAAACATTCCTCTAGGTACTGAACAACTATTTATCAATCTTACAGATGGAATTATTGCTGTCTCTGCCCGAAAGCCTTTGTTGACGTCTCCTTCCAATCAGTCAGCTCAGGGTTTAATCTGGTTAATCCCACAGAGCAATGGAGTTCTTTTTCTGCCATAGCTTTTCCTTAGTCCAAGGAGAAGGAAGAAATATTTAGATTCGTGAGAGGTCTGTGTTCTCCAGCACGCTGCTGCAGTATCAGAAATACACGGCAAAAATGAAGCAACTTGTTTTCCTTCTTCAAGGGGTAGATGAGAAATAGCTGCAGTTTTTCAAACTGTGGAAAATGTAACTATGTATGTTTCTGCTGCATGGTATAACTGACTGTCAGGTGTGGATCAGAAGCTAGTTGATGATGATAATGAAATATGTCATTATTTCCCCATTTCTAGAAGTGCTCAGTGTGAGCAGACAGTAGATCCAAAGCATAGAGTAATTAAGACCAGGCCCTAATAAAACTCAGATCCGAAGGTTGTCTTGGCTCTACCTATCAACTTCTTTTTCTATCAGTTAAAATATGTGTGGAATGTAATGATAATCTGAGTCATATTAGTGGCATGAAAGAGAGGAAAAAAGGATGGATTCAGCGATACTAAAAAGGTAGTCTCAGGAGGATTTGGTGACTGTGTTAGTTTCCTAGTGCTGTCACAACAAATTACTCCAAACATGGGGCCTAAAACAACAGACATTTATTCTTTCCTAGTTCTGGAGGCCAGAAGTCTGAAATCAAGGTGCCAGCAAAGCCATGCTCCTTTGAAGGACCTGGGTGAGAATCCTTCCTCACCTCTTCAGCTTCCTGTGAGCCTCTTAAGTCTTCCTTGGCTTATAGCTGAGTAACTCCAACCTTTGCCCCTGTCTTTCTTCACATGGCCTTCTCCTCCTTCTCTGTCTTCTTTCCATGTGAAATCTTCTTCTTTCTTTCTCTTATAAGGATGCTTGTCACTGGATTTAGGGACTATCCAGATAATCCAGGATGATCTCATCTCAAGATCCTTAACTCAAGGACCCTTTTCCCAAGTAAGGTTCTATTAACAAGTTTGGGATTAGGACATGGAGGGTACCACTTAACTCACCACAGTAACCACATGAACGTATTTGTTTGATTAAGGAGTTCTAATAGGGATGAATCCCAAATCTCTGGTCAGGACAGATGGTAAGATTGTGGTGGCAAATACCTAGAAGAGGAAACATTTGAGGAGACGCTGGTTTTCTCATTTAGTTTTAGACACTGAGTTTAAGGTGGGGGATAGAGGAAGCAGAAATTGACTTCACCATTTTGTCTCATGTTAACCCAGCTTTGAGATTTACAAGAATGCTGTCAATGTTTTTCAACTAGCACACATGCAAATAGATAAAGGCTACAGCTATTCCTGAGTTCGGCCTTAGATTATTCTATGTCTTTGTAAAATTTTACTTTCAGAATACTTTGAGATAAACAGTGTGATTTATGAACAAAATTAATTTTTCCTTTATATCCTAGCAGCAGTTAATATTTGAAGTATCCTGATCAGGAATACACACTTCAGGCATAATTACCAAGCACTTCAAATATTGCCATGGAAATCTGCTCTTAAGGACTTGATAATTAGCATAAGAGATGTAAAAATAATTTTTCACTAATGAAAAGATGGGTGTTGGACATATATATTGACTCTCGTGTCCCACCACTGTTGCATGAAAACTTATGGGAATCTGACAAGCCCAGCCATCGAGTTCCAGTTCCTTCAGAGATGCCCTCAGCGTAGAGCTCATTAGTCCTGGGTCCCACATGTCACAGAACACCATTGCCTGATCAGAATGTCGCCTGTTCCCATCATTAAACATTATGGCATCTGCCTTGGAGTGAGACTTTTGCACACACACACACACACACACACACACACACACCCCTGGATGGGGGAAGACAGACTTCTGGTGATTTAGAACTGATACTAACTGCTACTTCAAAATTGGAGGACTAAGGCATAATTGTTATTTGATATTTGCTTCTTCAAATAAATCGTATTCTTGATAATTCAAATAATAGTTATTATTGGAAAAATAATAATTTCAAAAATCCAATTTATTAAACCTGTGTGATTTGAGAGAGTTACAACAGTATTTCATGGGTTGAGAAACCACAAAAGGGATCAGTTCTAGTAATTTAATAGTGCTGCTGATTCTGTATATCATCAAGTCACCACCGGGTTTATACTTCGGAAAGTGTCCATATTTTATTGCAAAAAATGAAGGGAATTTATTGAAGAGAGACCATAGAAGTATTATAGATGTATAATAAGGGTAAAATTCTCTAACTAAAACATTTTATGTTTCCAAGATTACAATTCGCATGTGGAAGAGAAAGTAGCTTTCATAAAGGAGGGAAATGTGTTGGTTTTAGGGAAGAATACAAGCAAAAATTGTGAAACATTAGCAACCTGTTTATAACTTTTAACTAAATCTGATTTTCTCCCTATTTTTGGTAAAGGAATTAAAGACTAACCAGAAATAGAAAACATGTCAAAACTTTTTATTGGAGTTGTCCTTCTAAATAAACATGTAGCCATGTGTGGTGGCATGCACCTGTGTCCTAGCTAATCAGGAGGCTGAGGCCAGAGGATTACTTGAACCCAGAAGTTTGAGGCTACAGTTGCTAGGATCACACCACTGCACTGAGTGACAGAGCAAGATCCTGTCTCAAATATGTATATTGAGACACATACACACACACACACACACACACACACGTAGTAACTAAAAGGTAACCATTTGGGATTGAGATTTCTCTTCAAATAGAGTCAGTAAATGTCACATAGTTGCCTAAGTCTGAGTTAGGTCTGACACTGAACAATGGAAGAGGCTCTTGGTCAGAAAATTTTACTCACATGGGAAGAAGAAAGGAGGGAAGATGAGGAAACAGGGCAAAGGAAAGATAACAAAGCCGGTGAGAATACTCGATTCTTTTCTTGTAATCATGGACTCATAGAATCGTAGCAGCAGAGGTTCCATAAGGTCACCTAATTCCTGTTCCTCAACTGTATTGTAGATAGCAGTCACCAGGTTTACTTCTACTTAAGGCAGTATTTACAATTCACACTCCTCTAATTGTTAGAATGCTTTAACTCACACTGAGCAGAACTACCTTTCTTAGATTTGATGGGTCCTGGTTCTGTCCTCTGGAAAACATGGAATAATTCTTCTCCCTCTTTGGCCTGACAACATTTCAAATGTTTAAAGACAGCTGCCATCTCCCTTCTGTATTTTAAAATAAATGGATAATCAGGGACAGTTATAATCACCTGAGATTTGCATGACAGGGACATTCTGGGGAGTTTCACACCAGCTCTATCCAGACAATCTAAGCGGAACAACCTGACAGCTATAGAAGAGGCTCCAAGATAGATTTACTGTCCTCATCTCAGTTTTCTGGCCAAAAGTCTTAAGAATATGAAATGCTAATGCTATTTGGAGTACTTTGTTCTCAAGTGAAAGCTAAATTAAATCTCATGGTCATGAATTGTGATACGATTTTAAAATGGCTGTTTTCATTCATTATTAGCCCAATTTTACATCCTTGTTTTTGTGATGTAAAAAGAATGAATTCAGTGCAACTAAAAGATCAACGTGATGTTTTGTCAAATACTTAGATCAACAACAAGTGATTATTGCATATTTAATTTTCTTTTCTAGAATCACAGAGACACAGCTTAACAGTAATTTACAGTTTTGAATGTAAGATGGCAGGTATGAAAATCACCCAACAAACATTGTTTTTTGGATATCTAATTGTGTTGTCTGTAATTTACTTTTAAAATACTTTAACATAGTGATTTAGTTTTAGTGTACAGTGTTAGCGTACAATTCTGTTCAGGTGAAGGTTGGTTACCATTTGGAGTACCCTGATTGGGAATATACCCTAATTGGGAATACTGGAATGGTTATGCAACACTGGAGAGACATGAGTCAGAGACACTTCAGCAAGTTTTCTTCTTAAGTTTTGATCAACACCAGAGATTTTGTTAATGGCTAAATTATTAGAAATATGTTTATGTTTATTAGAAATTATTTCTGTATTGATAAAATTAGTAATGATAAAGAAATGTGGATTTTCTGAAAATATTACACAGAAATTCCTGTCTTTGCGTGCACAGGACATAATATTTTTAAAGTCCCAATACTTGATAGCTTTCAGAATGGCACTCCTGACTTCTGACTGAACCAGTAGATGATTTGAAAAATCTGACCATTTCTATTAAAAAATTAGGTAAATCCTGCCACTCTAATAAACCTTTTCATTCAAGAAGCCATCAGAGCACATTAAAAGGTAGAGATGTGGGACTTCCTCAAGCTTACAGAACAGGTTCTATGACTGCTTTTGTGTCTACTTTCTGTGGCAGAATGCCATCTGAGACTTCTTTCCATTGTATTCCTCTGCCTGGTAGCCAGGATTTAGAAGAAAAGACCTATGGCTCTCATCTACCTATAGATATGAAAGGTGTGTTAAATTGGATTATTGTTTAAAAATACTGTGTAAATAGAACACTTCTGGCCGAGCGCGGTGGCTCAAGCCTGTAATCCCAGCACTTTGGGAGGCGGAGGCGGGCGGATCACAAGGTCAGGATATCGAGACCATCCTGGCTAACACGGTGAAACCCCGTCTCTACTAAAAATACAAAAAATTGGCCGGGTGTGGTGGCAGGCGCCTGTAGTCCCAGCTACTCGGGAGGCTGAGGCAGGAGAATGGCGTGAACCCAGGAGGCAGAGCTTGCAGTGAGCCGAGATCGCTCCACTGAACTCCAGCCTGGGCGACAGAGTGAGACTCTGTCTCAAAAAAAAAAAAAAAGAACACTTCCTCATCCTTTGACTTTAGGATGAACACAGAGCATGCTTTAGCCAATGTGATGTTGTGACAAAGGCAGGGCTTAAAAATGGCCTTATTCAGTAGGCTTGCCCTCTTGCATCTCTGCTAAGACCATGATAGAAACATGTTCTAGTTGCCCTTCTGGTCCAAGAAGGATGAGAAACACATGGAGCAGACTTGGATCTCAACTGCAGCTCAGAATCACTCAGCTGAAATCAGCTGGGTAGTTGTTTGATATGCAGCAATCACTGACTGGTATTCAAGGCTGCCAATATTTATCCCCCAAACCTAATGATCACGAATACTCAAATTAGACTAAGTAGTAGACAATTTTCAAATAATGCTTCATTTAATTCTCACAACAAATCTGGGAGGTAGACATTATTTTTTCTATTGTATGGATAAAGCAATCAAGGCTAAGAGAGATAAAAACAAGTTGGACCAAATCACACCACTAGGAGAAATAGAAGGAGAATTAGCTCTAATCAGATTGTAGAGTTACATCCTCTTCCATTGTACTGCATTGCTCACTCATACTGATTTGCTTAGATTGAATTGAACTTTTTAGATAAAGATGTATCCATGCATGCAGCAACAGAGACAACAACTGAACACATAATCCGATGAGGGTCATTCATGTGCACGCTTACTCAGCCAACTCACCTTTAATGAGCACCTACTATGTGCCAGTGCATTGTAGTATGTCCTAGGGATTTAATGATTAAGTATGATAGACATTGTCCCTGTCCTCACAGGGCATCTAATCTTATTATGGATGTGTTTAATATATACATGCTTTAAATTTTGTTTGTGATGTCAGAATTTGGCCTAATTTTACACTGTGTATATAAACAACAGCCCCAGACAAAGGAAACTCTGTTCCTGATGGAGTGACTTTTCAGGTGGTAACTACTATTTGGAATGCAATAACAACTATGCTCAGAAATGCATTCAACTACTAAATGCATCTGAGGGTTGTTCTTCCACACAATGTTCCAGTATATTACAGGTCAGAGAGTTGGAGAATAAGAAAATTACTCCTACTGTTCTGGGGGCGGGGGTGGAATAAAAGCAATAGGATATTATAATTCTTATTAATAAACATTATTAAACTCAGACAATTTCTGAAGTTTAGAATAAAAATAATTAATCTACTGAAAGAATGGTAAACTAGAAAAGATTAAAAATTATAATTAAAGAATGAAAATGACATTTGGTATCAGAGTCATCTCAGCAGACTATCTGAACAGTGCACTAAACAAAGTGAATTATTTCTACCATAATAATGGTATTTACTGTAATACAATGGCATACTAGAAATCTAATTGCAACCTGTCAAGGATTAAAAAAACCACAGTTATAATTGGAAAATACAGGAAGAATAGATATGATCTGTATTTTTAAAGGAATATGGCAATGCTACTATATGGTTCAATTTTCAGATATCAGGATTTAATATAATAAGAAAATACAGAGAAAATGAAAATTGGGGAAACTTTTGAATAGGTGCTTTAAGAAGGGGATTTGCAACCGATTGGAAACAGGCTGATTTTGATTACATTTTAATGTGAGATAAAGTAAAGATGGGGTAAATCCAAAGTAAAACATAATTATAAGTTTCTACATAATCCCTGGCAAAATATTAAAGATTAGATTTCAGAATTGTGTTAGTAGTTCCATACAACTTTTACTATTCATAGTTACCCATTGTACATTAAGCATTGTCAGAAACAAAAAATATATTCATAAATGGAAATAGTAAAAAAGATATTTAATAAGATATCTGGATTTTAAAGTTTTTCCTTTTCTGAAATAAAAGAAAAAATAAATAAAACACAATAGAAAACAATCTAAATACTAGAATATGAGTGAGGCAACAGAATGATATGAATTCATTTTTAAATAGAAAAAAATTAAGTGCAAAGTACTTTATTTAAAAAGCATGAACACACCATTTTATATACTATCCCCTGATTTATTTTCACAATGTCTTATGTGTATATATGTATATTACACATGCACACACACTTACACACACACAAGTCCCATGGGAGCACATTTGAATGGGTATGCATAATGAGTCATGGAGGTTAATTGGCCAAAAATTTGGGTAAGTAGTCCTATTTCCACAACGGCCGAAAAAGATGAGCATCACTCATTCTAACATACACGGAACCCTCAAATGTGATCAGAAAAATCAACAGCTCTTAACTTAAATACTGATAATCGATAGATTCACAGTACTGATACATAGGTGAGAATAATAGCTTCATTTCAGGTAAGTATAAGGGATTTGGGAATATCTGGTTATGAAGAGTCTAAGATTGAAAATAAGTGCTGATAGAAACTGTTCATGAAATGTGGCCACCATCCATTCTATATTCTGAGAAACAATGTGGTAATAATCTGGTGATTTTGGTCTTTTTTGTCTGTTTGTCCCAAGTACAGAAGTTGATGGACATACACAAAATAAACTTCTGCTAAAAACCTTGATGAGTGATAAAGGCCATCTGCCAGCAGCTGGAGAAGTGTACTTTGACAGGCTGTATATTGCAGAGAGAGAGGGAGAGAGAGAGACTATTAGAAGATATTTTCAGAAATAGTTGTGGATTTTTTGTAAATGAAATTAAAACATAAAACACAGAAGGCATATAGTAGGGAAATAAAAGTCAAAATTGCATTCCTAAAGTACTGTCATCTCTGAGGAAATTGTATTAGCTTTATCCATCTCAAAGTATTTTTCTGAAGCATGTGATTAAATAACAATAATATTGACTTCTATTTAAAGATATGTTACTTTATTATTATGTTACTTTGCTGAATTCGTTATTAAAGATATTGACATTTGAGATGGTTAGAGTACTAGAAGGCATAGATCTGGCTATAAATTTATTATGTTTTAGAATAATATTTATTTTCTCTCTGATTATAATGGCACTACATTGTAAGGAATTTGGATCATAAGAATCACACACAAAAAACAGACAAATCTGTACTCCTACCATACATTATAGGTGAGATTATAGGTGATTATAGGTGTCATCATTCTGGCATATTTCCTTCCAATAATTTTACTGCTCTATTTAAAAATATATACATATTATATGTATAAATTTGTTTCCGGCGTTTTTCTTAATGTTACATCAGCAACATTTTCCTATGTGATTAAAATTTTTAATAAACGTAATTTTTTTTTGAGCAGAGTCTCGCTCTGTCACCCAGGCTGGAGTGAAGAGTGCAGTGGCATGATCTTGGCTCACTGCAACCTCTGCCTCCCGGGTTCAAGCGATTCTCACGCCTCAGCCTCCCAAGTAGCTGGGACTATAGGCACACGCCATCACACCCTGCTAATTTTTGTATTTGTTTAGTAGAGATGGGGTTTCACCATGTTGGCCAGGCTGGTCTCGAACTCCTGACCTCAGGTGATCTGTCTGCCTTGGCCTCCCAAAGTGCTGGGATTACAGGTGTGAGCCACCATACCTGGTGAGAAACATAAATTTTAATTGCTGTGTAATATTCCATTACATAAATGAACTCTATATTTAGTGTTCTATTTATTTATATATTTATTTTTGTGACTTTACATGACCTAAGAATTAACATGTTTGTATTTCAGAATATTTTTTAGCAAAGATCTTTAGAATTGGAATTATTGAGTCAAAGGCTAAATGTTTAACATGAAGCTATGGTAAATACTGGCTAGCTGTTTGCCAAACTTGCTTGATTTTCCTTCTGAGTACAGAGATAGGCTACATTTCTCAGCCTCCCTGGCAGTGAGGTAAGGACATGAGAATGAATTCTTCCCAAAGGAATGTGGCAGAAGTGATACAATCATGCACAATGCTTCCAGGTCTGGCCCAAAATGACCTCTTACACAATTCTCAAGGCTCTCTCTTTCCTTATTTGCTGATGGTGTGTCAGTGCAGGGTGAGCTTGAGGCATTTGAGAAAGACAGCAGAGCATTTGTCAGGCTGTTTCTGAAGAAATGTGGGGCAGAATACCCTTCATTCCCACTGGCTTGAATTGATATCAGATTGAGAAATAAAATTCCAATAAAATGTTAAGATATTGAGATTTGGGGGTTTAGACATTTTAGTGCTAGCATAATCTTAACTAATAGAGATATTACCATTGAAACTTAGGTACTACTCTGTAATAAAAACCTAAAATATGTGGAATCAGCATTGGGTAGTGAGGACATTAATATCAGAGGATAGGAAGATGGAGACTCATGTAATACAGTGGTAAAATATGTGTTAACAATTCGTGATAGCAAAGACATAGAGTCAACCTAAATGCCCATCAATGACAGATTGGTTAAAGAAAATGTGGTACATACACACCATGGAATACCATGCAGCCATAGAAAAGTACGAGCTCATAGTCTTTTGTGGGAACATGAATGGAGCTAAACAGAAAACCAAATACCACATGTTCTCACTTACAAGTGGGAGCTAAAGGATAAGAACTCATGGACACAACGAAGGAAGCAACAGACACCAGGGTCTACTTGAGGGTGGAGAGTGGGAAGAGGGAGAGGAGCAGAAAAGATAACTATTGGGTACTGGGCTTAATACCTGGGTGATGAATTAATCTGTACAGCAAATCCCGTGACATGGGTTTACCTATATAACGAACTTGCACATGTACCCCCAAACCTAAAATAAAAGTTAAAAAAGAAGTACATAAAATAAAATGTGTGTTAAAACTGTCACCAGAAATAGCATAAATGCAGCCGGGTACTCATTGAGCCTGTAGCTCTAGGGAAAGAGACTGGAAAACAGAATTTTGTGATATGTGTTGGTGGTTACTGGCTTCCATTAGGAAGGTATTAGAAGAAAAAAAAAAATGAATCAGTAAATAGCTTGACAGGTTCCAAGCAGAAATGAAAATAAATACAGAGAGAGAAGAAATCTGGGGCATCAAAGAGATTGAAACACCAACGTTTCTAGATTCCAAACAATAGGAAATACAATTAAAGGTGTAGCTTTTTCTCCCAAACCATATGACTTCAGGGATGCTGGCATCAAATTGGGTGCATGTGAGAGAGGCATGAAGCTGAGGAAGCAAGGAAAGAAATAACGGATAATAGTTACGTTTGTGAAAGAACTTTGGGTAGGGTTCCACATAAGCCTGGACTTAAAAAGCCACTGACAGCCTGAGCCTTAAAATCATCCTTGAGCCCCCAAACAGACAGAGAAGTTTCTTATCAAAAGTAGAATCAGAGTCAAGGAAAAGCACTGTTTCACTCTCAAGTAGGGCCTTCGGGATTCACACATGATTCCATTTACATGAGCTATTCAAAAAAGGTACATCTATGGAAGCAGGAAGTAGATTAGTAGTTCCTCGGCATTAGGGTGGGAGTTACAAATGGGCATGGGAGGCCTTTGCAGGGTGCTGGAAATATCCTAAAGCTGGATGGTGGTGAGAGCTGCACAACTGTGTGAATTTACTAAAAATCATTGAATTGTATAGTTCAAATAAGTAAATTTTATGATATGTTAATTACATCTCAAAACAAACTTTTAAGATAAAAACCTGTGCTGGGATGGATCCAGAAGCCAGCCCAAGCTGCCACCTACTTCTCTTGGACTGGGAGCTGACTCTGGTACTCTCTCTACTGGCAGGGTGCTGCCGACCCAATGTGCATGGATTTAATTGCAATGCAGAAATAGTCATGGGGAGATGTCCCTTAACTGTAGCCCTATCACAGGGTGTCTGTAGCCCCATGGTGAGGTGTCTGTCTGTAGCCCTGCTGCAGGGTGTCTGGATTGGTGAGTATCCTAGGTGCTGCCAATGCCTCTTTCCTTCTCCCAACTGGTTCCGTAGCCCTATGGTGGGGTGTCTGTAGCCCCATTGTGTGATGTCTGTTTGTAGCTTCACCATGGGGTGTCGGTGTCTATAGCCTCATTACTGGATGTCTGTTCAGCTCCTGGGGGTCTTGGCTCTTTCTAACTAACAGGTTGGCTCTTTCTAACTAGTAGGAACAGTCCTGGTTTGGGAGACTTCTCCTCAATCAAGACGATTTCGAGGAGGTTTCTCAGATGGAGAAAAGGAGGATAGTTTGGAAGGGATACTCTTGGAGTTCTTGGTTGGGAATCTGATTTGGAAGGCCTTCTGTCCGTCTCATCTTTGTGTGTGTTTGCATATGTGGAAGGGATCTCAGAAGGGGTTGCTAATGGAAGTCCAGCAGGCCTAACTGAGAGAACCCTCCTTATTTGTCTGGTCACATTCAGTGAGCCCTAAAGAAGGCTCAACAGGCCTGTCTCTTGGGGCCTGTCTCTGCTCTTCACCTTACCC
This sequence comes from Homo sapiens, assembly GCF_000001405.40. Classification (NCBI taxonomy): domain Eukaryota; kingdom Metazoa; phylum Chordata; class Mammalia; order Primates; family Hominidae; genus Homo; species Homo sapiens. Next base: position 191,585,009 of record NC_000002.12, read on the forward strand.
AGAGACCCCATGTGAATTACCATTCGGAGGTCGTCCATCCCCACCTGCGATGGATCAAAGCAACAGGGATCAACTGGAAAAAGTTTGAGCTTTGCCAGGTTGATACTGTGTGCTGAGCGAGGTGACTATGTTTGTTTTGATATGTGTGTTTTGCTGGGATGGAAAATGTTAATTTAGTTCCCCATGCAGCCTGTTGGGCAGCATCTGGCAAAGTAAGAATATTTCTTATGGTTCCATAAAACAGGAAAGGGTGATTTTCTCTTGAAAAGTGGCTTGAACTCCACAGCTGTGGTGCAGTGAGCATGGTCATCAGAAGCCACTCCGTTCTGGAAGCTGTAGAGAAAGGGAGCCCAGAAACCTGGTATTCCGGCAAAAAGGATAAGAAATTCTTATCAGCCAAGTTTCTGGTCTCTCTCTCTCTCTGTCTGGGTAAACGGTAAATGTCACTATTTGTCTCTCTGCAAAGGTTTGATTAAGAAAAAGGATTTGTAAGACCCTAGTCTTAGGCGGTAGCAAAACTGGTGTACTTTGTGCTAAGAATTTGTCTTTGTCTTTCTGTATTCTGTAATGAAGAAAGGAGTATCACAGGATAGAATGTGGGTTTAGGACCCTTATAAGGCAGCTTTTCAAGCCAGCCTGTTAGGCTTATGAGTTACAAACTTTGCTACGGGTCTTTGAAACCAACACCGTATGAAATTTCTGTCTTGTTTTATTTCCTTAAGAGCTTAACCGTTTGACCATGTGGGGATACTTTCTCTTGGTTTCCACCATCCAGAGGACAGGAATTTTGAGGTTCATGTCATAGTGAACCCTAAAAATTTTCTTGGGCAGTTAAAAGCCTTTGCAAGCTTCAAATTGGCTTCTCTAGGCTCCTTCTGGGAAGAGCAATAGAAACTGCTCATTGCTATAACTCAGCAGCCAAGGCTTTGCTTTTTGACAATGACGGCCTGACTTCTATTCTTGGCTTCTGAAAAGACTCCTTTCTGTTTTTTTTAATTTATGTAACTTTGCCATTTATTGAGGTTCCTCCCCATCATGAATAGCTTCTGATTTCCTGTCTTGAATTTTCCTTTCTCTAAACTACCCTGGGGGAGATTCTAAATCTTGCAAAAAAAGAAACTGCTTACCATGTCTTTGAGACACCTATGTCCCTGGTTAAGTTATAACCTTAGTTAGAACTGATTAATTTCATGTAGGAAGTTACCTGTGGTAGAATTCAAAAGCCAAAACTATTGGCCACTTGGCATGGCTAGAGTTGGGTAATAAAAAAATTTTAAAGGATTTTTTTTAAGAGTGCTATGGTTAAAAGTCAGCTTAATTAAAAGTGGATAAACAAGCTATAGGCATTTTAAAAGGTCTCTATGTTTTTCTCTTCTTCGAACTTGTTTTTCTGGAAAAAGGTTTTTTCTTCTCAGTTGACTGAATTATTTTTCTCCATTTCCTTTCTTTGTCTGTCCACTCTTAATGCACCCACAACAGGCTCTTCTGGTAGCCTGGGACTCATTGGGAAAAAGGAGAAGTCACCACAGACCCCGTTTGGGGAAAAACCTCCATTTTCCTCATGAAACCCCAGGAATTAAAATTGGATAGATCCCTCTCAAAATCAAAGGCTCTGTTCTCTTTTACGTTGTGTTATCTGACGGTTTTGAGTTTTGGGGGTATCAGAAATAACTTTGTATTATGACAGAGCTTTGGTGTGTAATAACTAGGTAGGAAATATGCTTTAAGGGATGGCTAATAGTAGTTATGGAGGGATACCTGACCCTTTGCACACTTCGATCAGAGAAGCACGCTATTGTCCACCTGGAAGGTAAGGAAACATCTCCACCCCACACTGGGAGATAAGATCCCCATGGGGGATGGGCTGATGACAAAACGGTTGATTGGCTTTGGGTTGCCCTGAAATGAAATGTATGGTAAAAGCACTGCACTGTCTTCTCCAATAGTATTTCCTTCCTTTTGGGGATCCAGAATCCAGTATAAAATGGCAAACTCAATTTTGGGAATCTGTCTTTGCCTTCAGCTGCTTATTTGCTGCTTATTTGGCCCCAGAAATGCATGCTTTCCTGGCCCTCTTCCTCCAAGGGCTCCACTCTGAAGCCAGTAATCCAATTAAGAAACTGGCAAATGAAAAATCTTACAAGTGCCGAATCTTCTGTCTGTCTGTATTTATATGTGTTGGGTGTCTGTGTTATGTTTATATATAAAAGAGCTCTGATTAATTGGCTTTGAAAAATAAGCGCTTAAATCAAATATTTTTTCAGAAAAATAGAAAATTTAATGCCTTTTTGTTCATGTGACTTTAGTAGTCTTTTGGAAATAATGACAGTTTTAAAGATTATTGGTAATGGCTGGACGCAGTGGCTCACGCCTGTAATCCCAGCACTTTGGGAGGCCGAGGCAGGTGGATCACCTGAGGTCGTTGTGGTGGGTGCCTGTAACCCCAGCTATTCAGGAAGCTGAGGCAGGGGAATCACTTGAACCCCGGAGGCAGAGGTTGCAGTGAGCCGAGATTCCATCGCAGGACTTGGTCTCAAAAAAAAAAAAAAAAAAAAAAGACTTGAAAATGTAGACATTTGGTCTAAATTAAGGTCAGATATCAGATTTGCTATATGCTTTAAGGTCAAACTGACTAGATTGACTTTGTAGGACTGACATTAGCCACACGATTAGAAATTATGGCTTAGGAGTCATGCAGGTAGAGGCAACAAGATTCTGACCACCCCTAAACTGCTCCTAAGACCAGTGCTCGAGATATTTTGCAGACCCTGCACTTGAAGGATCAGCTGGCACCACCCAGATGGATAAACTAGCTCATCTGATCTTGTGGCCCCCACCCAGGAACTGACTCACCACAAGAAGACAGCTTTGACTCCCTATGGTTTTATCCCTGACCAATCAGCACTCCTGGCTCACTGGCTTCCTGCCACCCACCAAGTTATCCTTAAAAACTCTGCTCCCAGGCCAGGCGTGGTGGCTCACACCTGTAATTCCAGCACTTTGGGAGGCCGAGGCGGGCGGATCACAAGGTCAAGAGATCAAGACCATCTTGGCCAACATGGTGAAACCCCATCTCTACTGAAAAAACAAAACTTAGCCGGGTGTGGTGGTGCATGCCTGTAGTCCTAGCTACTCAGGAGGCTGAGGCAAGAGAATCACTTGCACCCGGGAGGTGGAGGTTCCAGTGAGCCGAGATCACACCACTGCACTCTAGCCTGGCAAGGGAGCAAGACTGTGTCTCAAAACAAAACAAAACAAAATTGCTCCCCGAATGTTTGGGGAGACTGATTTGAGTAATAATAAAACTCTGGTCTCCCTTGAAAAATAAAAAAAAAAAAAATAAAAAAAAAAACACCTGTGCTGGTGATCACAGAGGAAAATAAGCACTTGGTAAGCATGAAATTTGGTGTAACGTCTTTGGGGACATCTAGTAAAACCTATTCATATTTCAAATATTTATGTTCTCTTACCTAGCAATTCCACTTCTAGGAATTTATTGTAGGGAAATGGATATGTGCTACAAGGTTGTTTCTTGTAAAGTTGTTTACAATATTGAATAATGGAAATAAATGTCAGTCAATAAAGGATTAGTTAAATCACAGTAGGATCTATCCAAACATAGAAATAGTCTACAAGTCTTTCCATGGAAATCTTACTGTATTTACATGGAGAACTATCTAAAAACAACAACAACAGTGCAGTTCAAGTATGGTGTTTATGGTATGGATCTACATATGTTTACCAAAACATAGGGGGTATGCTATGATATGAATGTTTGCATCCCCCTAAAATTCATATGTTGAAACCTAATCACCAATGTTATGATATTAGGAGGTAGGGCCTTTGGGAGATTGGAGGGGGTGGTCAAGAGGGAGAGTGGAGCCCTCATGAGTGGGATTAGTGCCCTTATAAATCAGGCTCCAGAGAGCTGCCTTGACCTTTCTCCATGTGAGGACATACGGAGAAGCTGCCCTTTCTATGAACCAGGAGGCAGGCCCTTACCAAACACTGAATCTGCCAAAACCTTGATCTTGGACTTCCCAGCCTTCAGAACTGTGAGAAATAAATGTTTGTTGTTTATAAGACACCCATTTATAGTATTTTGTTATAGCAGCCCAAATTTACTAAGGGTATAAGAGTAGAGGTACCAACTTTTAGTTTCCTGAAATAAGTGAATTATTTTTGGCCATTACATATTATCAGTCCAATAGCAAAAAAGACATATATACTCTGGAAATAAGTGTGAAAATAGTTAAATTTGTGTTCATGTGTGTAATACATTTGCTATTAAATAAGCCATTTGACATACATTTTCACAGTTTAATTTGGCATTGACGAATTAAATCTTATAGTTCACCTTTGTTTAATTTGTCCTGTGGGCTGATTTATATTAATACGTTAGTACCATAAATAAAATCTGGTCTGTGTTCTGGAGAAGATTCAACTCTGTGATACAAGACATAGGATCATAGTATCTTTTAACAAAACAGGCTAAAATAGGTGTGGTTTGAAGTAAAGGTCAGTCCTTCAAGCTTCTCCTTCACAATCACCTAAAGAAAACTGAAAAGAGGGCATTTAGAGCTTGATTCCTACCATGATGGAAAGGCAGAAAGAATTTGTAAATTTCTTTCTTATAAGTAAATATTTAAGAAATTTACACATCAAATACCCTGGGAGAAATCAATGTGACTCTAAACACCTGTTTCGCACAGTATGTTACAAACACATTTGCTTGAGGGATTTATGATATTTGTTGATAGATGCTAAAATCCAAAGCATATTTCTGTACATAGATCAATCGAATTTAGGATGAAAATGAGTAAATATATCAGCTCATGTATCAAACTTTTATGAATAAATTGGAGCCACTCTTGGGGGGACAGATAAGAAAAAGTCAGCCCCTCAAAAGGCAATTATTTTTCGAGCTTCTTCAGCATTGGCAGCAGGAGAAAAGCTGTGCTAGAAAGTAGTACCACCTTGCAGTTATTTCAAAAAGGAGCAAAAGTAGCATATTCTACTTGTAGCATGACCTAAATTCTAGGTCATGTAGATATCCACAAAAAACGATGCATTTAAATGAACAAAACCTGAATTGAGAGGTTACTGACAAATTGGTAATTAGACATTGTTTGGAACCAATGACTATTCATGACAATAAAAATAGGGTGTGTGTTTGTAAGAAGGAGAGAAACACTTGGATATGAAGCACGGGACATTAACTGCCTGAAAAATAGAAAATAAGGAGGCTATCTGGGAGTTAAGCACTGAACTTTTATTTACTATAAGAAACTCTGGTTCCTTTGAGTCTTTCTGTAAAGATTAAAGGCTTTTCTTAAAATTCAAAACAATTCTAAATTTTTATATAGACAGTGTTTAGAATTGTATTATTTGTTTCAACAGGTTACCATCTTCCCCTATCATATCCTTTGACTGGGCAGTATGTTGCAGCATCATATTCTTATTCCTTGAGATCAGATGTTTTTAAACTTAGACTGTGAGGCAGGAGAAGCATTTGCATGGCAGGGGATCCTAGGCTCAAGGGACGGCCGAGGGGTTGGGCATCTCACTGGCAGTGTTGCTGCTTCTTCTCCCTAGCATTTACCTGCTCTCCTTCTTCACTGTTTTATTTATTTATTTATTCATTTATTTAGAGATGGAGTCTTGCTCTGCTGCCCAGGCTGGAGTGCAGTGGTGTGATCTCAGCTCACTGCAACCTCTGCCTCCTGGGTTCAAGTGATTCTCCTGCCTCAGCCTCCCAAGTAGCTGGAATTATACAGACATGCACCACCATGCCCGGCTAATTTTTGTATTTTTAGTAGAGACCAGGTTTTGCCATGTTGGTCAGACTGGTCTTGAACTCCTGACCTCAGGTGATCCACCCACCCTGGCCTCCCAAAGTGCTGGGATTACAGACGTGAGCCACCGTGCCGGGCATTCACTGTTATTTTGACCTTGAGAACTGTGGTTAGCAACTTTGGCCGCACATTGGCATCACCTGGGGAGTTTAAAATAGTGATGTCTGAATCTCAGTGCCAGGAAGTCTGACTTAATTGGCCTCGGTGTGGCTTGGACATCAAGGCTCCTACATGTGCTCAGGTGATGCTCACCTACAGCTAATGTTGAGAGCCACTACTCTGGTCTGCAAGTTTCGGAGCATGATCCCCAGACAGGCAGCAGGGCGACACCATGGAACATGTTAGAAATGCACCTTCTTAGTCTCTGCCCCTAGACCTACTGCGTCAGAAACCCTGGGGTGGGGCCCAGCCATCTGTGTGTTAACAACCCCTCCAGGTGATTCTGATGCACACTCGGAATGAGAACCACAGCTTAGAGGAATGAGCCTTTTACTGGTAAGAGTGAAGCAAGGGTGAGTGGGAGAAGGCGGCAATTGTTCACCTATTTTTAAATCTTCCAAACAAGGGGATTTGAAGGCTTTTTCCCTGTGTTATGTTCCTTCACAGGTTTTACTGTATAACTGATGACATCACGTCAAATATGTCCATTATGAATGAGTTTCCTGATTCTTCCTCCAAATCAATATTTTTAGGCTTGTCAGCTATTGGGGAGTAGACACTAGTGAAAATGGTGTCATTAGCTATACACAGTAGATGGTATTCTGTATCATCTGACAGTGTTGTGAAGGTGAAATGAATCGGAAAGGAACTGTTGTCAAGCAACTTAGGTTCTTTTTTTTAAGGTTCCGTAATTTTTTATGATTACTGTAACTGTAGATCTAGTTAAGACTTCTAGTCAAAGAAATTGTTTAATAAATATAAATCCCAAGGGAACACTAAAGATGCCATCTCTTATGTGTTAGAATCTCCAAATGAGATTTCTTCAGTTAATAGCACTGTTTGTCTCTAAATTATTTTCCTTTCTATATCTTCTACATATTGTATTATTTCCCTATTGCTGGTGTATGGTAAATGCACTTGATAGCAATAGCTTAAGCATTTCCTGAGAATGACCCTGTATGGCAATGCACCTGAATGTGTGTTTGGAGTTCCAAGCTAAGGGATCAGGGATTGGCCTACTGGGAGATTCACTCCTTCTCAATAAGAAATATCTGAGCACCCCCCTCTCTGCTCTGCACCCACCCCAGGCCATGGAATGCAAGCCATATAGGGGATTGTTTTGGGTTAAGTGAAGGTTGCCAGGTGGAGAAAAATGCTATGTAAACTGCATTCCTTTTGCAAGCAGTTGCGGGTCTGTTCAGCCCACCGCCACTGGACTCTTTATTCTGTATGTAAGGCCCCAGTAAGACCCCATGTCTCCTTTGCTGGCTCTGGGTCTCTTCTTGGGCCTCTTGAACCTGGTACCTTCCCCACTGGAGTCAATAGGGTTTGGAACAACAGCTGGTATGTTACCACAAATCTGGGTCAGAAACCCAAAAAGGGTTTAACACTAAAGAAGGTGTTAGCAAGGCTGCGTTCCTTCAGCAGGCTCTAGGGGAGACTGTTTTCTTGCCTTTCTAAGCTTCTTGAGGCTGCCTGCATTCTTTGGCTTGTGGCCCCTTGCTCCATCTTTAAAGCCAGCACTGGAACATCTTCAAAGTGCTGACCCTGACCTGTGAGCCTCCTCTTATAAGGATCTTTCTCACTACATCTGGCACCCCTAGATGATCCAGAAGAATCAACCATCCACAATTTTTTTTTTTTTTTTGAGATGGAGTCTCACTTTGTTGCCCAGGCTGGAGTGCAATGGTGCAATCTCAGCTCACTGCAAATTCTGCCTCCCAGGTTCAAGTGATTCTCCTGCCTCAGCCTCCTGAGTAGCTGGGGTTACAGGCGTGTGGCACCATGCCCAGCTAATTTTTGTATTTTTAGTAGAGATGGGGTTTCCCCATGTTGGCCATGATGGTGTCGAACTGCTGACTTCAGGTGATCCACCTGCCTCGGCCTCCCAAAGTGCTGGGATTACAGGTGTGAGCCACCACGCTCAGGCCCACCACAAATTCTTAATCTTGTCTGTCAAGTCCTTTTTGCCACGTAAGATAACGTTTACAGATTCAGGGAATTAGGATGTGGACATCTTTGTGGGGGGCTATTACTTCCTACCACATGTATAAAGAGACAAATGGAATGTTCTCTGAGAGACTCTTGAGGACTAGACTGTAATGGACAGTTAAAGTATCTCCTTAGAGGGCTTGACAAAGCGGTACACTTCAAATTGTTGTGTGCTTAAAAATCTCCAGGGGGTGGCCGGGCGCGGTGGCTCATGCCTGTAATCCCAGCACTTTGGGAGGCCAAGGCGGGCAGATCATGAAGTCAGGAGTTCGAGACCAGCCTGACCAATATGGTGAAACCCCGTCTCTACTAGAAATACAAAAATTAGCCGGGCATGGTGGCACGCATCTGTGATCCCAGGTACTCGGGAGGCTGAGGCAGGAGAATTGTTTGAACCCGGGAGATGGAGGTTGCAGTGAGCCAAGATAGCGCCACTGCCCTCCAGCCTGGGTGACAGAGTGAGACTCTGTCTCGGAAAAACAAAAAAACCAACAAAAAAAAAACCCCAAAACCTCCAGGAGGTTTGTTTAAAAAAATACATGCTCTGGAGGCCTGCCTTCAAAGATTCTGATTCAGATTCAGTAGATCTGTGGTTCAAATGGGCAGATGTTCCCTCATGTGTGTGCAAACTCCCATTCCCCTGTCCCTAGCAGTGCTGCCATAGGTGACTCAGTTCAGGTGGGCCCTAGAGCATACCTACAGAAGATGACGGGAGGGCAGTGATGAAAAAAACCACAGAACCCACACAACTGTACAGCAGTAGCATGATTAACTCAGGGTGGACTCAGGGTGGACATCAGAGTTACTGGGGGGAATTAACAAAATACCGCTTTCCTGAGCCTCACTCCCAGAGACTGTGATTCCAGAGGCCTGGGGAGGGACAAGGCTTGTGTTGGTGAAAAAATCCTCCCAGGGGATTCTGACTAAGCACCACTGCCCCAACCTCCATAGCAGCCTCAGGATCTTGGTGGTCCTACCTGATCCAGCTGTGCCCAGGCAACTCTCTCGTATTCAAAAAACTATGAGCAAATATTCCATTTTTGGTGACCAATTAAACTATAGATCATAATAAATCTTCATTTTTGTATCTCTAATTCTTTTTTCAGAGGCTGGCACACAGTGGGCACCCAGCAAATGTTTTTGGAATGAGTCAGTGGTTCTCGGACTTTACTCTGCAACAGAATCACCTGGAGGGCTTGTTTCAACACAGATGCTGGGTCCCGTCCCTAGAATTTCTGACTCATTTGGACTGAGTGAGGCCTGGGATGTGCAATTCTAACAAGTCTCTGGGTGCTGCTGGTTCAGGATATCCCATTTTGAGATTCCTGGAATAAATAAAGTTTGAATTGTGAAAGTTCTAATTCTTTGATTACAAAATGGAAATGTTTCTTTTTTCTTTCTATTTTTTTTTTTTTTTTTGAGATGGAGTCTCACTCTGTTGCCCAGGCTGGAGTGCAGTGGCACGATCTTGGCTCACTGCAATCTCTGCCTCCCCGGTTCAAGCGATTCTCTGCCTCAGACTCCCAAGTAGTTGGGATTATAGGCTTGCACCACCTTGCCTGTTAATTTTTGTATCTTTAGTAAAGATGGAGTTTCACCATGTTGGTCAGGCTGGTCTTGAACTCCTGACCTCTGATGATCCGCCTGCCTCAGTCTCCCAAAGTGTTGGGATCACAGGTGGTGAGCCACCACATCCGGCCAAAAAATGGAAATGTTTCTATGTGGTCACGGGATTTAAAACTTTCCCCCAGTTTTTGAGTTGCCCTTACTTTTTCATCATTTCTATTTTTTTCCTTTAAAAATTTTATCTTCCTGCAGTAAACCACCATGGCACATGTATACCTATGTAACAAATCTGCACATTCTGCATATGTACCCCAGAACTTAAAGTATAATAACAAAACGAAATTTATCTTCTAGAAATTGAAACAGAAAATCATGTTTTTCCTGTAATAGCTGTCCTATAATGCTTTATTGCTTATTTCTTCTCTATATGTGAATCCTCTAGAGACAAAACAACTGAAAATATTGGGGGCAGTTCTTGTTGATAAAGAATGTTTTCAGACTCATACTTAGCATTGTGGAGATATAACCTAACAGTAAATTATTTTCTTTTAACCTGAAGCTTACAATTTGATTTGCATTTTTGATTTTTTGGTTACTTAATTTTCTTTGTTATACTCCTTAAAGTGAGTAAAAATATTAAAAATAAAGGAAGATAGTCACAGATACATTATGACCTCAGCACAATTAAGAAAAGTAAGTACTACTAAGTAATCTGTCCAATTTGCCTGAGACTTGGTAGTGGACACTTTTTTTTATTATAGAAATATAAAATTCATCCACTATATATTTTCAGAAAATGTATTTCTTTGGAAGACTAGCTGGTGCCCCCTCTCCCCACTATATTTATCCAGTAGAGATCATACATAGAGATTGATAGCCCTTATATGTATTTTTTTCAATCTAAGAAATTCTTAAGATTTAAGGATAGCTTTTCTTATTCACACAAAATTTTAGCAGTGCCCTTTCCTCAGAAAGAACTCCCTAAAGTTTGGATCAACATTGCAGACAGCCTTATGCCTTTGAATCGAAGTAATAAAATGTATTGATTTTATTTATTGTGCTCCCATGAAAAGGCTGTATAACTGGATTGATGGAATAGAAGATTACTGGAAATATTTATATAGGGCTGGGAAACTTTAATCTTGTACACAGTGCCGAATTGGACTATATTGCTGGGCTGAAAGGAGGCATCTTGTAAGAAAGAGCTCTTCGTAATGAACTACTCTTGCATAGTTATTCATCATAAATAACATTTTTATTGAGTGCTTACCATGTGTGCAGCACTGTATTAGATCTTTTTCTAACGTGTAAGTCTTCTTTTTTGGCCTGTTATGTACTTTTAAAGATATGAATTGGTAAAAAAATTATCATTACCCCATATAATTCAAGATAAAACACTTATTAAGGTATTATTTGCTTACAATGATGTACATAGATCATAAATGTACGATTAGATCTATTTTTGACAAAGACATGCACTCCTGTAATATACACCATTGTCAATCAAGACAGATATTTTCATCTCCCAGAAAATTCCCCCAAACTCCTTTCTCATCAGACACTCTCCCTTCCTCAAATAACCACTGATCTGTTTTCTCTCTGTATGCACTCCTTTGTGTCCGGCTTCTTCGGCTCAGTGTAATGCTTTTGAAATTCAATCCTGTTGTGTGTATCAGTGGTTCATTCCTTTTTACTGCTGAGTAGTATTCCAATGTACAAGGTACATACAAATTTGCTACGTACCACTGAGGTTGCCCCAGTTGAGTGAGAGCGTAGACAGGATCTAAGAGTTATCCTTTAGCTGTTTTCTCCACTCGTCATACTTTAAGACTTAATGTTCAAGCCATTGTTCCTTGAGGGACAAACCTTGGACTTCCTTCATTAGTACCACTAGAGCCCCACTACTAGATCTGATCTTATTAGATCAGAATTTAAATACAAGAGAGAGGACCTGCTATTTCTAGCAACCTCCCTCTTTAGGATGCTTCTGCACATTATTAATTGACACTATTTTTTAAGCAAATTTTTATGAATATAAAGGGTTAAGGAAAGGGCTAGAAAAATGGGAAACAAAATGTCCACATTGCTCCCAGTAATTAATGTTGATGCATTACAACGTGGGGGCAGACTGTGTGAGGTGAAGCAGCAGGCTCCTAGGGGCCAGGCTTAATTAATTAGAGATAGAGAATCAAACTTGAGCAAGTTTCTTCACCTCTCTGAGCCTGAAAAGAAGGGTGTGGGCAAAACAGAAGGGGAGAAGGTGAGAAGAGAAGAAAACAAGCCTCTGTCAGCTCATGGTGTCTCAAAGAGGCAGAAACATTTCAGATTACCTAAAGAAAACCAAAGCCTTCCTTGCTTTTCCTGATCACTCTTCCCACCTGCTATTTCCTGAGGGCTGCAAGCCTCACCTGTTATTTTCCACGTTGCTGCCTCCCAGCAGAAATGGGAGTACGGTTCAAAATTAAAAGAGCAGCATATCAGTGCTTCTGAATCACAGGCTGAAAAAAACACAGTCCAAAGAAACGGGATCTTTTTTCTCATGTGTGGCGATAAGGTGCTTAAATGTCAACTTGAGAAGAACATGATAGATAATAGCAATGAGCCCTGTGATGCACCCCAAAATGTCAGGCTGGTGCCACATGCTGTCCAGAAAAATATTTTGGATGATCTAGGGGTGGGGATGGGAGTATATGCTTTTTATTTATGCAGTTTATTCTATCTTTAAGTGTCAAACTGCAACGAAACATTTTCATCACTGTGGTGAAATGTCTGGCTATCTCATGGTTGCAGTCGCTGCACAGACACTGTGCACAGATAAACACGCATCTCGTATTTCATCTGTCTTTGTTCAGCATGTCTTCAGGCATATCTCCTGGGCTGCCACCATCACCCGACCATCCCGAAGGGTGGGACTCAGAGTTTCTCGGGATACCTGTCAACAGGCTAACATATCCCCACACACTGCTCACCTTAGCCCGTCTTCTCTTCTCAGGGTTTTTGGGGAGAGGGGAGATAAGGTAAATGAAGCCATCTTGACCATCGTCCTGGCCAGACCTTTTCTTTTCCTCAAAGGAAAGGCTTCTACCTGCAGTTAGTCAGGTCCACTGGGTATTTTAGAATATAGGTTATATTACATATCATTAATGGAATAAAATCTGACAAAAACACAAATTTTTGTTAGTAGTAATATTAGTATCTATATATTTTAATAGACCATATTATATTTATATTTTGAGACTTATGTATACAATACTTATAAATAAAAAATTAATGTCAATATTTTTAGAAATCGTAATTTTCACTGTAAGAGAAAGGAGATAACGAGTATAAATTTCTTTTTTTTTTTTTTTGAGATGGAGTCTCACTCTGTCACCAGGCTGGAGTGCAGTGGCACGATCTCAGCTCACTACAACCTCCGCCTCCCGGGTTCAAGTGATTCTGCTGCCTCAGCCTCCCGAGTAGCTGGGACTACAGGCCCATGTCACTACACCCAGCTTATTTGTGTATTTTCAGTAAAGACGGGGTTTCACCATGTTGGCCAGGATGGTCTCAATCTCTTGACCTGGTGATCCACCTGCCCCAGCCTCCCAAAGTGCTGGGATTACAGGCGTGAGCCACTGCACCTGGCCACGAGTATAAAATTTAAAAGAAAAACTTGGGTTTTTTTTATTAAATTTGAAAGTGAACTATTTGAATATTTGAAATTGAAACTTGAATTTGACATATAAAATATTCAAACATATTTGAATATTTGAATTTGGGATATAAATATAAGTTCATAATGTCTTTAAAATGTTTTTTAAAAAATCCAGAAGCAATGAGAACCCAGTAACATGAGAGTGTTAACACCTACATGATGGGCTCTGAATGCTATTCTCTACTTAGCACAAGTAGTTCTTGGAGGAATAACTGGTTCCAGGGGTGAGGTGGGAAATGACAAACTGAGAATGAATCACCTTATTATGCTGGAAAGTAAGGAAGCTGACCACTGGCCAATGGTGGACAATTTCACCATCAAAAAGAAAAATGATGGCAATTTATTGAAACTCATTAATTAAATAAAAATTCATGAATTTATAATATCCCAAAGAGAAAGCCAAAGTAACAAACACAACTCATTTGTCACAGCTGGAGGTAGTCCATCAACTTCGTACTCTAAAAATTAATAATTAAGAGGAAAGAATTAGGTCTTGATCTGCATTTTCTGTGAAAATTCTATTTTTAAGTCACAAAATAGTTGATGAGAGAGAGAGCTGTTCGGACAGAAGTATTCTGATAAATGTAGAAAGAATGATAGAAAAATCAACATTTTACAACATGTAGCGAAATCACTATTTTAGGAAATGAATATCAATGGATGCTGAGACTAAAAATTAAAATATTAATGAGGAGCTGGACATTCCGAGGGTGCCAAAGGGTCACACAACTACTTTACAACCAGGGATCAGGCAGTCACCACCTGAATCTATTGATGAGTCTTAGCACCATTGTAAGCAGGGCAAATGGGTATTATTTACTTTCTGATGGGATGTAATATGAAGCACATAGTACCACCTGTGAAGCATCCATGCCACAAATTTTAGCCCTGAATCTAACCAAGCCTTCATATGTAACTTATAGGTTATAGGACATGGAAACAGATTGAAAAAAATCTGCAGAATCCAGAATTTTCTGGTACAACTACCCAGTCTGTTTAAAAAAGCCACTGCTTGAATAAACGGCAGTTGGGAACATGACCATGCCTCGTGGTTATCACGAAGCATGATGACCTCTTTTGTCTCATGACAAAAAACACTTAAGAGCAACCTCAACTACAGCAGAAGAAACCTTCTACTTTCCTGGTTATTTCTGTATCTTGAATGTTCACATGTGCATATGCATTCTAGCAAAAGAGTGTGGTTAGTAAGTTGAGTGCTTAGTGTTTCTACTGACGTCTTGTGAAGAATGCAGCTGGCTTCTGATTCCTGCACTCCTTCCCAAACTCTCTGCCCTCTCCTTCTCACCTTCATTGAAGTTCATGAAACTAGTAGCAAGTATAGGGGTATAAACAGAAATAGTTCTGTCAGAGGTGTTTGAACCAGAGCAACTCCATCTTGAATAGGGGTTGGGTAAAATACGGCTGAGACCTACTGGGCTGCATTCCCAGACACTGAAGGCATTCTAAGTCACAGGATGAGATAGGAGGTCAGCACAAGATACAGGTCATAAAGACGTTGCTGATAAAACCGTTTACAATAAAGAATCTGGTCAAAACCCACAAAAACCAAGATGGCCACGAGAGTGACGTCTGTTCGTCCTCACTGCTACACTCCCACCAGTGCCATGGCAGTTTACAAATGCCATGGCAACATCAGGAAGTTACCCTATATGGTCTAAAAAGGGGAGACATGAATAATCCACCCCTTGTTTAGCATATCATCAAGAAATAACCATAAAAATGGGCAACCAGCAGCCCTTAGGGCTGCTCTATGGAGTAGTCATTCTTTTATTCCTTTACTTTCTTAACAAACTTGCTTTCACTTTATGGACTCACCCTGAATTCTTTCTTGCACAAGATCCAAGAACCTTTTCTTGGGTTCTGGATCAGGACCCCTTTCCAGTAACAGTTCTAACTCAAAATAGAGCTTGTCTGAGGTAGTCACATATTCTGGGCATCACAGAGTCTAATAATGTTTGTGAGTAATAACAATAGTTGCATATGCTGAGATAAAAGTAATCAAATCTCATCCTCTATGATGGAAATCCGTAGCTGCACTGTGCAGGATTGTGCTTCAGGGGTCTAAAAATTTCACCCTAACTGTATGCAGAATACTAATACTTGATTAGAGCTCTCTTTCTATCAAATGTAGGTAGTTCTAATGGGAATAGTTGCCCAACATATAATACAATCCTACTTAATCAGCACCCCCCGGCCCCTGTTTAAAATCTGGAACATTTATATATGTGTGTGTGTGTATCCATCCAGGTTCATTTAAGTATTATAGTCACACTGTCAGAATTATTCTGATTTCTTTAAAATTTTAATTGGCTGAGTTTCTTAGTGAATCATAGCTAGATGAGGAGCAATTCCAAGTAAGTGGCAGAGATTAAATATCCTGAAACCTTAGGAGGAATATTAGTGTATAAAATAAATTTCATTATGTAACAGCCTATAATCTACCTAGATCAGTGATTGTTTCTTCTCCTTCTCTCATTCCCTCTTCCTCCCTCTCCTCTGCCCCAGATCCCTTTGAGAATCTTATTAATGTCAGGGTTCCCTTGTGAAAAAGATGTAAACATCTTTTTCCATAACTTCAGAGGGCTCCTGTCAACTCCCCCACTGTGGCAGATTGGATTGTACCTTCTGAAGACGGCCAAAATAACAGCTCCCATCCCGCATGCTCTTCTGCCATGGGACTTGCTGCTCTCCCACCGAGAGGTAGAGTCTAATTTTTTTTCCTCTTGCTTCTGGGCATTCCTGAATGATTTGCTGAACTGAATGATTTGCAGTAGAAGAAATTTTCTAGGACCTTCAAGGTTAGATCATAAGAAGCCTTGTGGCTTCTACCCGGGAGTTTTGGAGTGCTTACTCTTGGGACATACCCTCTTACAACACAGCTGCCATCCTGTTAGGGTCACAAGCTGCAAAGAGAGATCACATGTGGCCCCTCAGGTTGGCACACTCAGAGCTCATAGCCAACAACTAACATCCATTGCCAGCCGTGGGAGGGAGCCATCCTGGTCATTCATCCAGTGAGGTCATCCCTTTGACCTCAGACAACATCTGACTACAGCTGCGTAGAAGAGCCCATTCTAGCCCAGCTGACCCACACAAGGAAGAGCAGTAATAATAAATGGTTGTTTTCAGCCACTGAGTTTTGGGGTGATTTGTTACATAGCAAATATAACAAACTGTAACAGCCACCCACCCCTGTTGAGAACCACTGCTCTTAATGATTTATTGAGAAAAGGAAAGAAGTAACATTCATAAAGTTCTGCTAAAAATTATAAAGCCCTACAACACTAGCTGTATATTTGTGCATCTTATAGAAGTCACTAGCTAAGTTTGTACAACACTGAGAGAGCTTCTGATTTGAGGGGATTTGCCTTTTTATTTCATTTACAAATCAATCAGAGTAAAACCTGCGGTTTAGAAACTGTTCTCCTACTTCCACAAGTAAGTCTTTATAACATCTGAGTAGTGTTCTACATTGGATTTGGGTGATTCTTACATTAAATATTGCAGAATGCAGCAATATATCTCTTTTCCCCTCTTTTTTCCTCCCTTCTCTTTTTCCCTCTCTTCTCTCTGTTCCCCTCTTGTCCCCTCCTCTCCCTGTTTATATACACATATAAACCACATACATTACTATATTACTTTTGCTCTATGTGGTCAATATTGCAAATCCCCTTATCCCCAACCGACTGCCTAACATTGACTACCTTGATTTTATTTATTTATTTATTTATTTATTTATTTATTTATTTATTTAAGACAGAGTCTCGCTGTGTCACCCAGGCTGGAGTGCAGTGGCACTATCTCAGCTCACTGCAACCTCTGCCTCCCAGGTTCAAGCTATTCTTCTGCCACCATGCCCGGCTAATTTTTTGTATTTTTAGTAGAGACAGGGTTTCACCATATTGGCCAGGCTGCTCTTGAACTCCTGACCTTGAGATCCATCCGCCTTGGCCTCCCAAAGTGCTGGGATTACAGGCATGAGCCACTTGCCCGGCCAACTATTTTGATTTTAATACCAGATAACATTAAGAAAAATCTTTTGAAAACAATATGTCATATGCTTTGACCCAGAAATTCCACCTTTAGATATTTTTCCTTAGAAATTAATGGTTAATTTGAAGATTTAGTCACAAGGATGTTTATCACAACTTTACATATTATAGGGGAAAATTAGAAATAACCTAGATATACTTCAACAAGGGACTTAATAAATGATGGTATTCATGTGCTACAAAATAATATGCAACAATTAAAATTAGATAAATCTATTCATACTGACATGGCAAGATGTTCAGGATGTATTGCTAAATGAAAAAAAAAAGCAAGCCGGGCGCGGTGGCTTATGCCTATAATCCTAACACTTTAGGGGCCTGAGGTGGGCAAATTGCTGGGCTCAGGTGTTTGAGACCTGCCTGAGCAACATGGTGAAACCCCATCTCAACAAAAAATATAAAAATCAGCCAGGTTTGGTGGTGTGTGCCTGTAGTCCCAGCTACTTGGGAGGCTGAGGCTGGAAGATTGCTTGAGCCTGGGAGGTTGAGGCTGCACTGAACTGTGTTTGCCCAGTGTACTCCGGCCTTTGTGACAGAGCAAGATCCCGTCTTTAGGAAAAAAAAAAAAAAAAAAAAAGCAAATTGTGAAACACTAGGTATAATGAAATATTTTAATAAGTAACAATCAAATATGTATGTGTATGTATAGAGAAAACTAAAATTATATATACTGCTGTTAGCAGAGGATATGTTTGGTTGGTGGGATGATAGAGTGACTTTCTATTTTCAACATTTTGGTATTATACTGACTACTTTGCAATATTAACAATTTTAACAACGTTTTATTTAGGTTGAAATTTGCTAAGACAGTAGAAAACAACTGCTCCTCCTCACACGTAATTATATGTGGTGATGGATGTGTTAATTAATTTGATTGTTGTAATCATTTGACAATGTATTCACACATCAAATCACATTGTACATTTAAAATATATACAGTTTTTGTCAAATACTTTATATTTAAGAAAAATTCATAAAATAAGATAGACTATACTATTGGAACTTATTATTTCTAAAAGTATTTTTCTCTGTATATGAAGAAATAATTGAGTAAACTTTCAATGCACCCATGTCCTCATCTACAAAACTTAGTTTTGCAAGGAATTCTGTCTTACTTACTATATGTGAATAACTTCTTCTTGGCACCATGCCTCCTATGATTTGTGGCGTAGGACTTGTGTTACCATATATATTATTTTTCAAAGATTTCAAAATAGTTTTTACATGTATGTATTCTATATCCTCAATGATATTGTAAATTCCTTGGTTATTGCATTTTCTTTCTATTGTACCATCTTCTGTGATGAATAAACATCAAGTGCTTTGCTGGTTGATGGTATAATTCAGGGGCTGCCAAACTACAGCTCATGGATCAAATTTGGTGAATCATTTGTTTTTGTATAGCCCTCCAGCTAAGAATCATTTTTACATTTTTAGATGACTGAAAAAAATAACATCTTGTAACATAAAAATTATATGAAATTCAAGTTTCATTGCCCATATACAAAATCTTATTGGAGTGCAGGTACATTTGTTTACATATTGTCTATGGCTGCTTTCATGCTCCAACATCAGAGTTTTAACAAAGACTGTATGTCCCGCAAAGCCAAAAATAATTACTTGTCAGTTTCTTACTAAAAAAGTTTGCCAGCCCGTCTTAACATAATAAGTGTAAGTAACATCAGAAAGGTCCCATTAAAAGTGACCGCTATTGTAAACTGCCTTTAGTAGTATATGATAGATTATGTTATTGTTCTCAAGTCCTCTCTGCTTCTGTGTAACAGGATTATATATCTATAGCCATGTGGATATGACATTGCAGCGTCATCCAGTAGCATTCTACAAAGTATGCATCCCTGCTCCGATGTCTTCAGGCTGGGTCATGATATGCTTTGGCCAGTGGAACATTAACAGATGTGATGTGAGTGAGGCTTTAAATGTGCTTGCAGAGTTTGGCCTAGGTTCCTGAGCTTCTGTTAGCTGCCATGAGGTAGCAGCCATCTGTTCTGGTAACCATTGGTCCTAGAGTGAGAGACATGCAGAGCAGACCTGAACTTGAAGTCGAGTCAACCCAGCAGGTGTGCAGACCCATGAGTGAGAAATGAATGTCTGCTGTTGAGAGTCACTAAGATTTGGGGGTTATCTGTTATGCAAAAGCTTGACTAATACTGTCGAATTCATCCCTTATTAGTTATGGTGAGATTTGTGTAGCCCTCCTATGCTAATAATATAACAACTGGAAATCTCATTAGGTTTTGAAAGAAATGATATGGATTACCACAGGTAACCTGTAAATGTAACATATTTATACTGCTTTATGAGTATAGTCATAAGTTTGAGAAAAGTCTATTTATCTTTTTCACAGAGCTGTTCTAAAGCCTTGAAATCACATTTTCTGTGGATTTATTGTCCAATTGTATAAAAGACACTTGGTTGCTGTTAAAATGGATGAGCTGAACTTCTATGCTTCTCCAATCCTCTACTACTCTTGTCTGATGCATGGGGTGAAATGATTTTCTGTATGCATTCTGTTTGTGATTGCTAAGTCTTGAAATGCAAATGTATTTTTACCTACAAAGTGGGAATCTTTTGTTGATATAAAATTTTGCTGTAGTAACTAATCTAAATCTATACAAGTTTGGTGTTATTTCCTATGGGTATTTAGAATCTGATTATATTAGTGAAGGTGTATAATTTCCTTAAAGCAAGGTTTCTTAACAGTGGCACTATTGACATTTCGGGCTAATTACTTGCGTGGGGAGCTGTCTGTGCATTTTGCAATGTTTAGCATCCCTGGCCCCTGCAAGTTAGATGCCAGTAGCACATCCCCAGACCCTATTCTCCTTACCCTGTGCGGTCATGACAATCAAAAATGTCTTCAGCCATTGCCAAATGTCCTCTGGGAGGCAAAAATCATCCCATTTGAGAATGACTGCCTTATGAGGGGAGCTCTAATGCAGTGGTTTTCATAACTAGTTACACATTATAATACTGTAGTAAGCCTTTTTTTTTAAAAAAGTCTTATTTTGAGATAATTTCAAAATTACTGAAAAATTGCAATAACAATACACAGAACTCTCATGTACCAATTGTTAGTATTTGCCAGATGTGCTTTTCATTCTTTCTCTACATATATGCATAAATATTTCACTTTGACTCATTTGGGAATAAGTTGGATACAGGATGCTCCCTTGCCCCTTAATATTCAGTGTTTATTTCCTAAGAACAAGGACATTCTCATACATAATCCCAGTAGGATTAGCAAAAACAGGAAATTTAAGATTACTACAATATTATCTAATCCACAGCTCATATTCAAGCTTTGCCAGTTATCCCAAAATGTCCCTTGTGACTACTTCGTCACTGTCCACAATTCAATAAAGGATACACATGGTATTTTATGGTTGTATCTCTTTAGTCGCCTTTAATTTAGAACAATTTCTTAGCCTTTCATTGTTTTTTATAACCTTAGTATTTTTCAAGTGTACAGGCTAATTATTTTATAGAATGGTTCTTGATTTGAGTTTGTCTGATATTTCCTCATGATTAGATTCACGTTATGCAATTTTAACACAAACATTAGTGAGTAATGCTGTAAACCTCTCAGTGCATCTCCTCAGGAGCCACTTGATGAAGGTAAATCCCTTTATTGGTGAGGTTAACGCTGATCATTTGATTAGGATGTATATTAGTTTCCTAGGGCTGCCATAACAAATCATCACTAACTGGATCACTTAAAAAAGGTATGAAGTTCTTCTCTCACTGTCTGGAGGGCAGAAGTCCAAAAATCAAGGTGTCGCTAGACCCTACACCCTCTGGAGGGTCTAGGGGAGAATCCTTTTTGCGCCTCCCAGCTTCTGCCAGCATTCCTGTGGCTGCATCACTTCATCACTGCCTCCATCTCTGCATGGTCGTCCCCTCCTTCTCTTTGTCCATGTCTTCTCTTCTGTCTCTTGTCAGGACATTTGTCATTGATTTAGAGTCCGTCCAAGTAATCCCAACTGATCTGATCTCAAGATCCTTAGTTTAATTACATCAGCAAAGATCCCCCCCACCCCACCATTTTTTTTTTTTTTTTCAAATAAGGTCACATCCCAGGTCCTGGCAATTAATATGTGGACATATCTTTCGGGGGTCACCATTCAAGCGAGTACATTTGGTGGCTGCCAGCTTGTTTCACTGTGAAGTTATTATTTTCTCTTTGGCATTAAAAAGTAATTTGTGGGAAGACTATGTAAATATTTTATTCCTCATCACAATTCTCACCCATTAGTTTTAGTATTTATTGATAATTCTAATTCAACTGATTTTCTAATTTCATCATTCCTTCTAAATTTTTTAGTTAGCATTCTGTTTTAAGAGCTTCTCTCTCTCCCTTCTTTCCTTCCTTCATCCTTTCGTCTTAACAATATAGACGTATTGATTCTTATTTTATTCGCTGGGTTATAACCTATTATTAGTTTTATTTTCATGATCAAATTTTGCTACACCTGGCCTGCAAGAGTCTGCTTGCTTCTGTTTCCTTTGACGTGATCTCCATCATTTTGAGGAATTTTTTACTTTCTGGCACAAAAAAATGTTCTAAGCTCAGGTTTTTCCCACCTCAGCCCTATTTCACTAAGGAGTCACTGGATTCTTTTAGTGGGCAATAGTGGTTTTTTTGTTGTTGTTTGTTTTTTTGTAGACACTGGGTCTCCCTATGTTGCCCAGGCTGGTCTCGAACTCCTGGGCTTAAACAATCCTCCTGCATCAGCCTCCCAAAGTGCTGGGATTACAGGTGTGTCCCACCGTGCCCATCTTGGCAATGGTATTTAGAAACCAAAATCTTGGTGTCTCAGGAGCTTTTTAGGAAAAAAAATGTTTGAGTTCTGCTTTGGGAGATTGCAATACATATATCCTGGGGCAGGGCCCAGAAGAGAGAGAGAGAATGTGTGTGGGTGTATGTGTAAAGTTCCAGGTTGTTCTGTTGCATAACATTGTGTGGGAACTACTGCTGTAATGCATTTAAACCATGATTTAGCTTGTGCTAATTTTTTCAGTCACACATTTTTCATCTAAAGGGACAAACAACTGTCTCATATCTTAATTACTGGATACCAGAAAACTAAGCAAGATAAAACCTACAATATCTGAAAGAATTTACTAGGTATCAGATGTCAATGATGGATGTTTAAGATAGAAAATGTGTTGCATAATGTAAAATAATTATTGATTATGAAATCAAGCCAAGCTAGATTCAAGTCTAAATGTAATTACAATTTCAATTAAAAGAGAAAGTGGAATTTTTACTTTTAAATTGCATTTCTCTGACTATAATCCCTTTCTCTGTCACTCTCTATCTCACATTATAGAATTCATCACTTTATGGGAAGGGGTGCAGGAAACACAAAGGTTTTCACAATGGAATGGAAAAATAATCTATTTCAATATCTGTGCTTGACTATCTTCAATAACAGATAACTCAGAGAAGGAACAAAATTACTCCAGTGAAGTCAACTGCAATGTTGAATAGCTATATCACATTTTGGTATTGAGCGTGAAAAAGCATTTTTCCTGTATGAAATTTTGGGTTAATCTTTTTTACTTCTTAAAAAAAAGAGCATTCCAAGGTACTAAGATTCATATCTTGGGGAAGAATTTTTTTCTATCTACAGATGATCAGTGAATATACTGAGACTTTGAGTCTGTAACTTTGCCTTAGTA
Organism: Homo sapiens; assembly: GCF_000001405.40. Taxonomy (NCBI): domain Eukaryota; kingdom Metazoa; phylum Chordata; class Mammalia; order Primates; family Hominidae; genus Homo; species Homo sapiens. The sequence goes on from NC_000002.12 coordinate 191,608,054, forward strand.
AAAAGGAATATAATATAACTCCTCTTTCAGAAGATAAATTAGAAGAAAATTCCACCACTGCAGTGAGAATTATAATTCTTAGCATTAATAAATAGTAATTGTCATTTTTGAGTATATACCAGGAATTTTAAACATCAACTTTATTTTACCAATAAAGAAACTAAAGTTCAGAAAAATGAAGTAAATTTTCCAAGGTCACAAAGTTAGGAAATGGTTAAGCAGGGACTTTAGCCCAGTAAGGATAGGCTAAGTTATGGTACAGCAACAAACAACTCTCAAATCTCAGCAGCTTATAATAACGAAGGTGTAGCTCACGCTGCATGTACATTGTTGGTGGGCTTTGGCTCCACTCAATTACAGATTCACTAGAACTCAGGCTGACATGAAGCCTCTGTCTGTCTGGAGTTGTAGCAGAGGGGAAGGGGAGCACAGAAAACAACACACTGGCTCTGAACGCTTGTATAATACCTGAGAGAAGGAACAAAACCGCTTTAGTGAAGCCAATAGTGCTGCTGAACAACTAGGTCACATTTCGTTGTTGAAGAGTGGTATTTTGTATTTCAATAGCCAGAGCAAGTTATAGCCAAACCTGATGTCAGTGAGGTAGGGAAGTAGTGTCCTCTGATAGGGAGGGCCAGCCAAATATTTGTGGACAGTAACAGATTGATGTGTGGATGGCATCGTTTCACCTGAAGCCCATGTAATAGTTCCTTGGCCTTGGCAATTGATCTACTTTGGTCCAAACAGAGGGAAGCAAAGATTGCTGTCTGATGTTGGCGGAAGACTTGATCTTGTTATTTCTCTAACCAATATGGAGCTGCTGCAGTCATTTTTCTACCACAAGGAAAGAAGTGTGACAAAAGCAGGAAGGCAGTGTCAAGAGCAAGGGAGCCACAGCACTGAGGACCCCATGAATCTCTGGAGCAGTTCAACCTGAGAATGGTCCACACTCTGAACTTTCTAGCGACGTAGTTTCATAAATTCTCTTAGGTTTAATCCAGTTTGCATAAAATCTTTTATTACTTGTATTTCTAAGACATAATATTAAAATCCAAGGCCTAGCATAGTTCTGAACTGTCTTGAAAGAGGCACACATGTGTATATGTATAATATGCTTAATTTTGTGTAAAGCCAATGTAGCAACATTATGAACATTTTTTTAAATAAAGAGAAAATGATCTATTAGCATATTACCCTAAAACATCAACTATTAGTAGGTTTTTGTATACCTTTCCAGTCCCCTCATCCCCACCATGTGCATTTATTTTTACATAGGTTGTTTCATTGCATACAAATAATTTTGTATGCTAGTCTTTTCACTTAAATGTATATTAAAGTTCTTTTCCACCATTGTTGTATAACATTTATAAGGATTATTGGAACAGCTACATAATATTTCAGCAATTGGCCATAGTATAGTTAGATAAAAATTTTTCCTAATTTTGGACATTTAGGTTACTTCCAGTTTTTTTATTTCATAGATAATAGTGCCATGCATGTATAAATATATGTGTGTGAAGGAAAATTGGAAGGGTATATATAAAAACTGATACGATTGGATGCTTTTGTTCAGCCTCTGTGAACTCTAGACCATAAGGTGATCAAACTCACAGAATGTCTTTGTTCTAGAGACCCACATACGTAACACTGGTATCCTTTATTGTGCTAGGTTAAAAAATGGTATAAACATCTTTATACCACTTTTTGGTATAAATATAATTTTTGTTAGATTAAATAATTCTTATTTGGAATAATATTTGGAATAATTGATTAAAATTGAGAATACTAACTTCTGAATGGAAGGATGTGGGACTTGCTAACATATTAGTAGTAAGTCAGAAGGAAATGCTTATTGGGATGAGTCAATAAAGAATATAGGCACAAATTATCTTGTGCTGGGATCCTCCAATGACATATGCTGCTCATGCAAATGTTTGGCCATTGTCCTCTAAGGAAGTTACACTGAAGGGGTCCAGCTCTATACTGTCCCTTGAGAGTCAGTTTGGTGTTCTGTATGGGTCAGATGGCCCTGTGGGCCTGGCCTGCTCACTGGCCTCCGAGAGTGCTCTGTCTCTGGTCCAGCATGCCCCAGTAACTTCACAGCTTGAACACTTTCCAGAGAACTCAAGATAGTAGTTCTCTTGCTCACCTGAGATTTGTATAGATTTTTATCTATTTGTTAGAAATAATTAAAAGGGGCTTAGATGTTGGTATTCAACAATAATGTCCAGGCAGTTCTCCAAGCCTATTTATTTTTCTCAGTCTTTTTTAGGAATTGGAAGACCAGTGGATCCTTGATTGGATGTTGAACTTTGTGGCCCTGCTAATCTTGATCTAGAGGTACAGGGCTGCAGCTGTAGATCTTGATACCTATTTCTCATCCCAGGTCTCTAGGTCTCAAACATGATTTCTTGACAGTGATATTAGCAGAAGCATTTAACCTGTGGCCACAGGGGCATTAACAGCAGAGTCAGTTTGTGCAGTGGATCTGATTTCCTAAATTAGGGAATTGTTCCTTGGTAGGGCGTAGGCTGGCTAGGGACAAAGCAGTTATGGGGAGTGGAACAACAGGGGTGTATATTAGTAGCTTTTGAGCAGAGAACAAAAAAATGGGCCTACATTTCAAAAGAAGCCTAGTAAGAAAGAATCTGCTCATAATAAAGTTGGTCAAGTAGAGGCTCACGAGAAAAGGCTATACCATCTCTTCAGAGACAGTGGGAGTATAGGTTGACCTATAAGTGAGAGGATCTGTAGCATCTGTTCCCAGGAAGTGGGGACAAGGATTGAGGACTGCCAGTGAAAATTAGACCTTGTAAAAGTGAAAATTAGACCTTGTAAAACAGACAAAATGCAATTCCTACTTGCATCTCTTCCATGATTGCTGCATAAATGAGCAACTTGTGCAATCACTTTAACTGAAATGACTAATTATTTAACATATATCTTTGGCTAAATCCCATTCAGAGAACACAGAGAAATAATGGCTTATTTTTTATTACAAATTTTAAAATGTTTAAATTTTCAACCAATGGTTTTAGTATTATCTTAGATACTGCCTTAGAGTCTGCTTTTATAGCACTTCTCTTCCAAAAAACTTCCAGTATAATGCCAAGAACATTTATCCTTCATAATTCAAACTTGGAGTTATGCCAAAGCCTGTTATAAATTTTATTTTGATACTTGATTCTGAATATGTAACGTAGACCAACATATCCTTATTCATTTTCAACAAATGCCAAACTTTCAAAGCAGCGTTATACAGGTGACTTCTTTAACAAGACTTTAGGGTCCTCAGGCTATCTCAGGTGCACAAAATGGAAACTCCCTGAGGGCAGGGCCAAGCCTGTAGTGTTCAGTGGCTTCTCCTCAAGCTTAATAAGCCCTATACTGGCTCAATGGATAATACATGCTAATGGATTTCTTCTTATAGCTATATTTACTGAAAAAAAAAAGGTTAAGGGGAAGTAGAATAATACATTTTATTGGATGAAGGAACTTGAATGAAGTTCCCATTTAGTGAAATATGTGCTTAGCACATAAACTAAGTATATAGCTGTTTAAAAAGAGACAAAAGCCAAAAAGTCTGTAGCATGTTTTCTCTTTTCAGTATTCCCCAGTCTACAGTTTATTATTCCATTTTCTTAATGGTTTTTCTCTGCCCTCTATAATTACCCTGAAGGACCATCACTAAAGGGCGAATCTGGTACTTCTGCTTTCAGAAGTAGCCCTTGTTACCTCATGGAGATGAAATTCTCTGGCTTTCAGTTCCCATTTGGTAATAGCCCCATGCACATCCACTCTGACAGGCGATTGGTTGCTTTTGGCAGCAGAGTGAAGTGTGTGCACAGGGATGGCGGATGGAGGAAACTCTGCAGAAGAATTCAGGAGTGAGGACAGCCTGGACTGGTTGGGAAGGGGCAGCTAAGAGAACAGGTGCCATGGATGCTGTTCAACAAGAATGGCAACTCGAAGAGCTGTGGATAACCCACAGGGAGGCTGACTGGCATGTCCACCTTCCCTATTTTCTGAGGTAGCCATTGCCCTCCCATATATTCTTGGAATCCTTATCCACATTGCTTGCCCAACAAACATTCAGTAAAGACAAATGGGAAAACTTGAGAATAATCCAGAATAGCTTGGTACATGGAGAAAAGCAGTCATAGTATACAGCAATTACTCAGAGAGCTAAGAGTCTGAGGTCTTCAATTTTATTTCTGGATAACAATTTACTTTAATGTAGAAATATACTTGGCATCTTTACTTTAATCAGTCCCCTGTGAAGTGGGCATAATTTCATTAATGTATGCCATACAGATGCTATTGTGAGGATTAATTAATGCTTTTAAAATGTGGACTTCAAATTAAAATTATTTCACCTTGAACCAAATAAAAGACCCTTAAAATTAACAGACACGTATATCTATACATGTTAACTACTAAGGAATTTCCTTTCTTTTTTCTCTGTTAGAACTGAAAAACCCCAAACAATAGGATGTGTTTAACTCCACCATGTAACTGTAGTTACTAATGGCAGAAACAATGCTCACATAAGTGCTGGAAGACTTAGCAATTCCTTGAAGAATCTGATTCATAAGGGAAAAGTGCTCTTCAGCTATTTTAAGCACTTAGGTGCATGTTCTCTGAGTGAGTCTACTGTCATAGCAACTGATTTACCGCAGAAAAGCAGGGAAATGTCTTAAGTCAGAGGTGCTTTTCCTTACCCTTTATTTGGGAATCTTTTCCTTGACTTTTAGAATTAAACTTTGTGACTCAGACAACTATCATGAAAAATTTCATTCAATGAATAACAATTCTGTGGCAGTTAAAAAATTTCTAAAGTGCCAGGTTTAATAGATGTTCAGATGTTACGGTTTAGCACCTAAGGTCCTGAAAGCATGCCAGAATACCAGATAGTGTGACATTCATGTGACAGTGAATGAGAAAATGAACCTGTGGGTTTGTATAAATATATACAGAAAATTCAGATTGAGAGAATCCAGACCAGTCTGAAATTTAAGGTTCATCTGGATTACCCTAGTTTTTTTTTTTTTGAGACGGAGTCTCGCTCTGTCCCCCAGGCTGGAGTGCAATGGTGCTATCTCAGCTCACTGCAACCTCCACCTCCCGGGTTCAGGCAATTCTCCTGCCTCAGCCTCCTGAGTAGCTGGGATGACGGGCACCCGCCACCACACCTGGCTAATTTTTTGTATTTTTAGTAGAGACGGGGTTTCACCGTGTTATCTAGGATGGGATCACCCTAATTTTAATCACCTTATGGTTAATTTGATCCCACACAGAATTACAAACTACATATTCCAAAAAAGTCAATCAAATAACCAATAGCCTGAAAAAAGGTATCCCACATTTAGAAACTGTCTGAGGGGAAAAAAATTAATCCTTTGGGGTAGATGTTTTAGTGGCTCCCCATCAATAAACAATGAAACAATTGGTGAGGCAGGAGATACTGTGTAATGACTTTTGTGTGATGATAAATTTCTAAAAGGGGTTTCATTTCCTCTATAACACTTGAATTTATTTTATACACAAAGGTTTTGTATAAAACGGCCATAGACATTCACCAAATCAAAGTGTTAAACTTGGGCAAACATATTAACTTTTAAAAAAAGAGAAGCATAAGGAAAGAAAATACATACCTGAAATCACTTATCCAAAACCCTCAGGGTCCAGAAGTGTTTTGTAATGTAAGGCTTTTTGAATCTTGGAGTGATAATGAGATAAATTATATCAAATCATACATAAGATACCCTGTGGGGTGTGGGGCAGCACCCTGTAATGAAACAAATTGATATTGCTTCAGTGAAATGTGTGAACATTCACAATGATTGTGATCAATGGAGATTAAAAATAGCCTCAAGTCAGTTGAGGACAAGTTTTGTTGCCAAATGAGTTTACGTCAGGTCAGGTTTTGATGCCAAATGAGTTATGAAAAGTCTTTCATTTATCAAATCTCTTTGGACTTCCAAATAGGTAGAAAAGGGATTGTCAACCTATACTGCCTCATGCAATGGCTAACATACTTTTCCCTCTGCTCATTGAATGCAGCTGAAAATATGCACTGTTCAAAAAAGGAAATAGATGAATTAAGAAGTGTCGGAGCTACAAGAAGTTAGCAAAGAAAAACAGAAATATTTGGGAACATCTGCCTTTCAACAGAATATTTTTACTGTTTCTAGTAAAAACAATAAGCTGAATGGATGGAAAAACTGACCTGAGATATAGTGTGATGGTGCATTGTTGGCACAAATATGGGCAATTAGGAAAAAACTTCACACAATAGTGGAACAAGAATGTGAAATGGGGAATAATGTTCTATATACGGGCTGTCTAGCAACAATAGGTATTTTTTAAAGAAAGACTTCAGGCCTGGCACAGTGGTTCACGCCTGTATTCCCAGCACTTTGGGAGGTGGAGGTGGGTGGATCACTTGAGGTGAGGAGTTCGAGACCAGCCTGGCTAACATGGTGAAACCCTGTCTCTACTAAAAATACAAAAATTAGCTGGGTGTGGTGGCAGACGCCTGTAATCCCAACTACTTGGGAGGCTGAGGCATGAGAATCGCTTGAACCCGGGAGATGGAGGTTGCAGTGAGCCAAGATTGAGCCACTGCACTCCAGCCTGGGCGACAGAGCAAGACTCCCTCTCCAAAAAAAAAAAAAAAAAAAAGAAAGAAATACTTCAAAGGAATTAAATTTAACAGAGCTTGAGCAAAGAACAATTCATGAACCAGGCAACACTCAGAACCAGAAGAGCTAGGAAGAGTCCACCCAGAAGAGTGAGCAGCAAGCTTTTATAATCTGGACATAGAAGCAAAGTAGAGCAATCACCTGATTGGCTACAGCTAGGTGTCTGCCTCATCAGGGCTTGGCTCAATGAACTGACTGGCTATGATTGGCTGAAACTCGGCTGTCGGTTATACTTCTAAGTTAAGTTTCAGCTTGTTTACATATTAAGTTAGGTTGCAGTTTGTTATATGGGAATGCAAAGTATGGACACAACTTCAAGCTAATGCCTCGGGCTTATTTAACAGTATTATCATGTGAAAGACACAGCTGTGGAGAGGCAAAGGGTAAGGGATTTGGCATCAGTTAAACTGAGGTAAGCCTCAGCTTCCCCATCTGTGAAGTGGGGAGAGTTACAGGTTGTTGGAGGCACAAATAAAACCTGTAAAACACTTAGCATAGTGTTTGGTATATGGTTAGCAGTGGAAAAAAGAAAGAAAGCAAAAAGTTTTTACAGTCGGTAAAGGTACAAATATCTCATTCATCCAGTATGTTTAGTTGACATCAGTGATGACACTGGATTACACAGAAATGGGCAATATTCTCTACTAGCAATATGCCTCTGATGAGGCCACTCTTATGAGAAAAATACATTTGAGTGATGTCTCTTGAATAGAAATCTTGCTTCAGTTACACCTTAAAATAACATCAAAGTGACTATAGTAAATAATAAGTTAATTGTACATTTTAAAATAACTAAAAGTGTAATTGGATGATTTGTAACACAAAGGATAAACACTTGAGAGTGTGGCTACCCCATTCTCCATGGTGTGATTATTATGCATCGCATGACTGCATCAAAACATCTCACGTACCCCATAAATATGTATACCTAGTATGTACCCATAAACATTTAATTTTTTTAAAAAAGAAAAAAGAACTTTTTTTTGGTCATTGTTGTTAAGATAACTAACTTCCCCATTCTGGCCCACTGCCCTAAACTTTCCACTTTGTTTTGTGTGATACTGGGTTTTGTATCAACCAGTGTAGAAGCCTCCAGAATTTGGCTACATCTGGGTTCAGAAAACTATTTTCTTCTCCAGTTTTCTGAATGAATCTTATTTCTTGGTTGTCATATCTCATAACTCACATCCTTCTACGTAGTGAATTTTGGGCTTTCTCTTTCCCCTTCATCATAAAGCTACATACCTGAAAGACAGCGAGCCATTCCTTTTTATCACTTTTCCTCAATTTTCACTATAAAACTAATTCACATACTTGGTTGAATTTTTTTTTTAAAGAACATAGATGTGTCTGTGAGCACACACGTGTATGTGTGAAGTAAACAAGTAAAAGGAAAAAAATCTATCATGAACTTCCACAGGTTCATTACCTCAACTCCACTTTCCAAAGATAATTGATGTTAACCATTAGGCCTGTGATCTTCCAAACAACTTTTTAGGTATATCCATAACCGTTCACATTCTATGTGTTAGGGAGAAATTTATTGTTGAAGATTTAGTAAAAATAAAGTAATTATATACATACTGTTCTGCAGCTTGGTTTTTTTCATCTTTAACAATGTACTATGGACATCTCATATTGTTACAAATATAACTTTCCCATTTTTGTAGTAAGTCGTATTCTTTAAGCATAATTGTGTATAGTCATTAATTTATTCATTTACTTAAGTAATAGCTGTTGATCATAAAAATGAGGAAAATATGTGCTAGTTGCTGTGGAAAATACAAAGTTGTAAGAGACATAGTTTTTGCCTATTGGATTCTTATTATAATCTGGAAAAATAAATAAGACAGGAAAATATATAACAATGATATTAAGTAGTATAAGTCAGAAGAAAGTAAATTAACTTTTAAAAAGCTGACCAGGACGGCTTTTTAGGAGATTTGGATTTGTACTGAGATGAGAAAGATTGATTGGATTTCAACAAATGTAAAAGAGGTTAAAAAAAATCGCATTAGTGAAATCTTCAAGGGAAGAAAAAATAGGACATGTTTAAAGGAAGGTCACCTCATTTTGTCAAATCCAAATGTACTGATTGTAAAACATCTTGATTTCAGAGATATTAAAAAGTGGGAGGGAAATGTTCAAGTTAAATCAAGAAAATATAGTATTTGGTCAATTTGATTGGAGTGGCAGATTTCCAGAAGGTGGAACCGGTAGCTAAATCTGGAACAGTAAGTAGAGCCAGACAATGGGGAATCTTGAATGCCAGGGTATATCTGATATTTTCTGTTTTTATTCTTTTTCCAGATATTTCTTTTTTATTAAAAGCTGTTAGAAATTAGGATGAGACCAGATAACCTAACCTTAAAAACTAAGTCGGCCGGGCATGGGGGCTCATGCCTGTAATCCCAGCACTTTGGGAGGCCGAGGCAGGTGAATTGCTTAAGGTCAGGAGTTTGAGACCAGCCTGGCCAACATGGTGAAACCCCATCTCTACTAAAAATAGAAAAATTAGCCATGCGTGGTGATGTGCACCTGTAATCCCAGATACTCGGGAGGCTGAGGCAGGAGAATTCCCTTGAACCCGGGAGGTAGAGGTTGCAGTGAGCTGAGACCGTGCCATTGCACTCCAGCCTGGGTGACAGAGCAAGACTCCATTTCAGGAAAAAAAAAAAAAAAAAAAAAAGAAAAGTCTATATTCTAGAGTTCTTATTCAAATGATGTCTTTAAAACTATTGGTACATTGTGGCAGGCTCTTCCATTAGCTGTTTCTTTCATAAAAAAGTTAATATTTTAAAAATTAATTTACTCATGTGTTATTTCATGTGCCCAGTATTATGCTAGGCACCAGGGTATCAATAGTGAGCAGGACACATTCTTAGTTCCCAGTGCTCACAGCCTGGTTGACAGACTTTCCAGCACCTTCTCCTCACTTCTCAGACATCATCAGCGTCAAACTTTGCCTGCCTATCAACCATTAAAAAAAAACGTCACCTAGACATCACCTTCTGCTGCTTCGGCCTTGTTCCTGGTTTGTGGTTATGATTTCCTGTTTGCCTTGCTGAACTATGATTTCTTGAAATCCCCATGCCCTTTCTTAACTCGTAGGTGACTTTTTTTTTCCCCACTGTACTTTACTTAAAGCAGAGCTATTTACAAATGAACTTTCATTTTTGTCATAGCATCTTCATAATTATTTTCTAAAATTAGAAAAAAAGTAGGTTTTTAGATTCCCTTGGTGTTGATGAAGACAACTGCAATGAAGATGCTGTTGTGGACTTAGAAATATGCTAAAATCCACCACAAAAAGTTTCCTTTTATAAACACACATGGAGAAAATCTCTATTTGGGACAGAATTTGGCATGAAGCTCTGCATTCACACTTAAGATTTTTAGTTTCCTTGAGAAATTGACCCCTCTAGTGTTGTGAAATGTCTCTCTTTATCACTAATAGTATTCCTTCTCCTAGAGTCTACTTTGTCTCATGTTAATACAGCTATTCTAGTATAGTAGCCAGCCTTCAGGATAGTCCCCAATCATCCCTACTTCCCAGTATATAGACCTTTGTGTAGTCTTCTCTCACATTGTACCAAAGTTGGTCTGTGTGACCAATAAAATATGGCAAAAGTGATGTTATTTCACTTCTGAGATTAGATTACAAAAGACTATGGCTTCTGTCACAGCTCCTGCCCTTGCCTCTCTCTCTCTCTCTCTTTCTTGGATCACCTCGGATCACTTCCTCTCAGGGAAAGTATGTCATAAACAGCTCTGCGGAGAATCTAGGCAGCAAGGAGCTGATGCCTCCTGCCAAACACCACATAAATGGGCTTGGATGCAGATCCTTCAGACTTGGCCAAGCCTAACTCCTAGATAATGAGAGACCTCGAATCAATACCTAGCCAAGCCACTCCAGATTCTTGACCTACAGAAACAATGAGGCAATAAATGTATGTTGACCACCCACATTTGGTGGTTGGTCAGGATTCACAAGACTCACAAGAAGGCTATATTCACAGCTACAGTTTATTATGGCAAAGGATACAGCGAAAATAGCAGGATAAATATTTTTACTGGGCGGAGTCCAGAGAGGACCAGTATAGGCTTCAGAGTCCTTCTTCATTAGAGGCCACACAGGATGTACTTTCTCTCTAGCAGCAACTTACAGAAACATTTGTGAAATATCTCTACCTAGGATCCAAAGAATTTTTGGTATGCTGGTCACATAAGCATATCTTGCTATGCAACCAACTATGGCAACTGAAATACAGGACTCCAAGAATGAAGCCAGGTGCACATCATTAATCTTGATACTTATACAAAGCAACCTGAAAAGCTAGTATAGCACAGTCCATTGCTTCAGGTGTACACAACAAAATCATCAGTCCCTGACATCCAAGAGCCATATTCTTAGTGATTGGCAAAGGATCAATCATGGTTCTAGGTTCTGTTGGAGCCATGCAAGGAATATATGACCACACCTGCTCTGCTAACTCTTTCCTCACAAAATGTGGCCAACAGTCAGCACTAAATGCAAAATATATAGATAAATGAGACTTTAGATAATTCCAGCCCCCAGACTTCAAGTCTTCCAGCTTAGCCCCCAAGCACTTTAAAGAAGAAACAAGGATTCCCCACTGTGTTCTGCCAGGATTCTTGACTCACAGAAACTACATGAAATAAGAAATGTTTATTGTTTGAAGTCACAAACTCTTGGGGTAGTTTGTTATACAGCAATAGATTAATATACAGGGTAATATTTTCCTATTCTTTGCATGTGTGGCAATTTTTTATTGAATGACCAATATGAATTTTATATTTTAGGAAACTGGAGTTTGTTGTATTTCATTGAACAGTACTAGGCTTTTGTTTCATTGCTAGCTAAGTTACAAGTAGAATCCTCTTGAGGATTGCTCTCAAGTTTGTTAGGGTGGGTCCAGGACAGTCTTTATCTTAGGGCTAACTTATATCTACTACTAACCTGATAACAAGCCAGGTGCAGTGGCTCACCCTGTAATCCCAGCACTTTGGGAGGCCAATGTGGGCAGATCACTTGGGGTCAGGAGTTTGAGACCAGCCTGGCCAACATGGTGAAACTCTGTCTCTACCAAAAATACAAAAATTAGCCAGATATGGTGGTGTGTGCCTGTAATCCCAGCTACTCGGGAGGCTGAGGCATGAGAATCACTTGAACCTAGGAGGTGGAGGTTTCAGTGAGCTGAGATCGTGACACTGCGCTCCAGCCTGGGTGACAGAGTGAGACTGTTTCTCGAAATAATAATAATAATAATAATAATAAAACTGATAGCTGTCTACAGACTATTTGGAGGATTGGTAAACTTTTTTGGTAGTGGACACATAGTAAATATTTTAGGCTTTGCAGGCCACACACTGTCTGTTGCATATATTTCTTTGTTTTTTCAATCCTTCAAGAATATACACATCATTCTTAGCTTGTGAGCTGTTGAAAAAGTCTGTGGGCTGGGTGTGGCCTGTGAGCTGTAGTTTGCCAACACCTGATGTCCTTTGCATTAAGAGGTCTTTCTATTCTGGCTGAAAGGACAATTAACTAGTCCAAGCCTTGTGTAAGTTCCAAACATTTTTCTGCCTACTCATTCTCATGGTTCTTTCCCCAGCCTTGGGTGGTTTCCTCTCATGCTTGTCCAGATTAGCACTCAGTCAAATACCTGAAGGGACCTCTCTGTAGATTTCCCAGGCCCTGAAGCTCCCTCCTTGATGGTACTCAGGGTTACAAATCCTAAACACCTTAAGCGCTCTGAACTCTGATCTTTCTGTACTCAGTGAGACTGCAGATTCCTTCTGGGTTCCCCCTTCCAGTGCTGTTATTTTCTTACATATAGTTACTCCTCTGTGTTGGTTCCTATCTATACCGAACATAAATTTCTAACAGAAACTGTTTTGTTCTACTTAATGTCTTCCTTGTTAAACACAGTACCATATTAACACATATGCAGATCATCATCGTGCCATTAACAAAAGCTATATCTCAATGGCCACAAGATTTCTAGTTGAAACAAATCTTAAATGATCTATCTGATCTTAGTCCAATTGTAAGCTTTCCTAGTTGTAAACATGTACCTTTGAGGGTCATACTCTACTTTTAAGGTAGCCCATTTCACTGTTGGACAGCAATAATTATCAGAAAATGTACTTCATAATGAGCTAAAATATAATTCCTTATCACATGGACTTTTCAGTTCTTATTAAATTTATGTTTAACCTAAATCTAGAGGACCTTTTCTTACCAATTGCTGTTAACCCTTGTTGTGCATTATTGATTCAGTCTGTGAATGTCTTGAGTGTCTTCTCTGTGCCAGGCTCTGTGCTGAGTTTGGGCTTGTGGAGGTGAGAAAAGGGAGGTAATGAATGGGCCTCATGCATCTTTCAGCTTGGTGGGTTATTTAGAGAGAAATCTAAGCATGCAAATATGTGTAAAAGTTACAATGTGGTATGTGCCCTGAAGAAGCATAGTGTGATGACACTAGGTATAGGAAGATTTGTCCTAGTCAGGGAAGTTAGGGAAGACATTCTTGAGGAGCTAATGATTTGAGATCTGAAAGCAAAGTAGGAGATAATCAGACAAAATAAAGATGAGAGATTTTTAGGAAGAGGGGTCAGCCTGAATGAAGGTACTGGGGTGAAAGAGAGCAACTGTTTTTTAAATCTAAATGTAGGACTTTCAGATAACCCTGTTAAATACTCACTCAATGAATACACTCAATCTCAGAAATATCACTCTATCACCGAAAACATGTTTCTGATATTTTTGGTGTACTTGTAGAAGCAGATTTAATTCCAATGTAAGAAAGCATTTTGCATTGCTCTTTGGAAAGGTATTATTGTCCCTACCTCAGGTTTTGTGGGGCCAGAAGCTTATACAGGGCCCCCACTCTGGGGGCCCTTTTAAAGAAAAAAATGTAAATGATACATACAAAATTTAGCACAGGGCCTGGAAGAAGGCCTTGGCAGTGAGAGGCACCAAATGAAACGTTTCATTAGGTTCAGGGTAAAAAATCTACCTACTGTCTTTAGAGATTTGGACAAAGGGTACATGACCATATGTTGGTGACGTAATGAAGAGATTTCATATTGTATAGAAATTTGGACTTGATAGACCTGTAAGTTTCCTCCAGATTCAAAGATTTTGTGTTTACTTAGCTTACATTTGAGAATGGAATAGGTCAAAGTTAGCCTCCTTGCATTCTTGGCCCCCTGCCCCTACTCAGCTAGTTTGTAGAATTAATTATCTGATGGCCAAACAATGATGGGGTGTTGGCTGGATGCGGTGGCTCACATCTGTAATCCCAGCACTTTGGGAGGCCGAGGCAGGTGAATCACTTGAGGTCAGGATTTCAAGACCAGCCTGACCAACATGGAGAAATCCCGTCTCTACTAAAAATACAAAATTAGCTGGGCATGGTGGTGCATTCCTGTAATACCAGCTACTTGGGAGGCTGAGGCAGGAGAATCGTTTGAATCCAGGAGGTGGAGGTTGCAGTGAGCCGAGATCATGCCATTGCACTCCAGCCTGGGCAACAAGAGCAAAATTCCATCTCAAAAAAAAAAGAAAAAGAAAAAAGATGTGGTGTTTGGGACTGTGTGGGTGTTGGGGATAGTAGGGCATATACTTTAGACTATGAAGTAAATGAATCCTAATGTTAAATGCCTGGCTTCCACCTCTAGTCAATTGTTTTGTTCTAGCACTCACATCTCAAGTCATAGAATGAGAGCTAAAATGTCTTATGAATCAAAGGCTGGGTTTGAGTCACATGCCAACCAATGTGTGCTCATGGAGAACACCTCAGTGACAGCCCAGAGACAGCACCTCCAGCCCACCCTTGACTATTCACCTCACACCCGACTCCTCTGTCCAGAGGAGGTTTGAGGAGAGGGGATGGATGTTGTAGTGCTATCCATCATCCCTGCTGTGTACATGCATTATGGTGCTTACATTGCACCACTGTGAGAAGGAAAAGAGTGCGTATTGTGAATGAGGACTTCCTACCCCACAACAAAAATAGAATCTTTGCAGCCAATTATGTGCTGAAGCATTATTATAAAACAGGAAGAATCCTAACAACAACAAAAGATTAAGAGCAGCACTATGTATGTATGAGTACTTCTGCATTCCCAGAGCAGTTGTCTGGACTGATTATAAAGCTCTTAGCAAACTTTAATTAGCGCTCACAGGTTGGTGAGTTACATGGCTAAAGTTCTTGCTAGTGTGGTCACCAGAGAAGTAAACTCAGGTGAGGTTAAATGGTCAATTCATGGACACCTGGCCATGCTCATCTGTGTTTGCTTTTCCAGTTTGTCAGGTTCTTTGGAATCTGACTTGTTAGCAGCTCTGCCAGGCCCCATCCCCTTGCTTGCAGGTGCTCACGTCTGAAGATAATGTGTTAATCATATCAGCTCATGAGCCTGGGGTTCAGCCACACCAAGTCTGGACCTGCTGGCTTTCTTTGGAGTCAATCTGCAAAGGACATCTCCGAGTCCAGGGATAACAGTCCTGGAGTCAGTAGATTGTGTCTGAGCTCACCTGCCAGGCATGATGTGGAAACAAGGACACTGCTTTTCAGTAGGCAATAATTGACTTCAAAGGGCTCCAAGTTGGTTTAAGATTTTTCTGCTTTAACATTTAGGAACAGTGGAAAAACATACTTTTGTTATTTGTGTATTCTTAGAAATGGCTAACACTTCTAAGAAGATGGGAAAATTTTAAGGCTATTAAGGAGACAAAAAATGAAATCCCCTTGAAGATACGTAAAGACCTAGCGCTTCTCTGTCCTGTGTGTCTCCCACCCCACCCAGGCTTATAGGGTATCTTTGGTTTGCGCCCCATGAAGACACATGTGAGTTCTATCTCAGGCAGGGGCTCTGGGATCAATGGTGGGCGAGTGAGTTTGTTTACCCTGGATTCAGCCTCTGCTCCTTAGGAATTTCTCAAACATTAAGTTTCCTTTAATATTATCCATTCATCAATATGCTGATACAAATCTACTTCAAATCTATATACATTTTTTTTTTTGGTCCAGCCAATAATTGAGAGAAGACTAGAATATTGACTATTACCTATTAGGCAAGGGTTGATTGTCTTTCATGTATCCTAAAGCAAGGCTTCAAACTTCACAAGTTTTCATCAGGCCTGGCACTCTGAGGTTTGGAGGAAACAGCACCTGTCTACCCAGACTTTATCTCATAATTTCCAAAACTGCAGTTCTGTTCCTTCTCTTTCTCCTGGTCCCTTCTGTCCTCATTTCTAAGTCCCTTCTTTCCCTTCAAATTTTCATTCTCTCTCTAGGCCTTTTCTTTTTATCTGATGTCTTTTTAAAATTATTCATATCGGGTTTTTACATAGTCATTCATCTTTCACTGTGGTTTTTGTTCAAGGATACTCTGATGATTTACTTTTATGCTTTATAAAAAATGTTTTGTGTATAAAAACTCACAATTTATGACTTTTTTTTGGTCTCAGCAGCTAATTGAACTGATAGATTTAGGAAAGAATTAACAACAATTCCTGGTGTTTTTCTTAACTTTTAACTAATAGCTCAGAATCCACCTTCCCATAGGAGAAACTTTTTTTTTTTTTGCTTAAATTCCTCATTATTCTTGTGTACATCAAAGCTCATTTCTCTGTCTCCTTGCAGGGTCCAGTCATCTCTTCCTTTCTCATCAGTGAGTTGGTGGCTCCACACCTAGAAAACCTTAAAGTTTGCAATAATACCAACAGGTTAAATAAAAGAGTTGTCCTGAGACATGGGCTTGGTGAGGGGAGCCTATGGGATAACTCTTACTTTTCTCTACTCCAGGCATAATCTCAGGACACTGCACCACAGGTGAAAGCTGCCTGGTTAGTGGATTAGTCAGCTCAGGCTGCCATAACAAAGCACCACAGACTGAGTGTCTTAAGCAACGAAAAATTATTTTCTCACAATCCTGGGAGATAGAAGTCCAAGATCAAAGTGTTAGCAGGGTCGGTTTCTTCTGTGGTCTTTCTCCTTGGCTTGTAGACCGCCATCTTCTTTCTGTGTCTTCACAGGGTCTTCCCTCTGTGCCAGTCTGTGTCCTAATCTCTTTTCATAAGGACACCAGTCCTATCAGATTAGGACCTACACTAATGACTCATTTTAACTTAACTACCTCTTTAAAGACCCTATCTCCAAATACAATCATATTCTGAGATACTGGGGATAGGGGGTTCAACATGTGAATTTTGAGGGGGACACAATTCAGCCCATAACAGTATATTAAAAACTCCTCATCTAGACACCATATTTCCAGCAACAACCAAGCTCCCAAGCACAGCTCTAGCCTACAAAGTCTGTGGAGAAGGTGGGTTATACAGTCCCATCAGGGTCAGAGGTTGCAGCTCCCTCTCTTATGTTACAGATTCTTCATAACAAATGTAAACAAGCTGCTTATCTGATTCTCCAAATAGCAGCAAACCAGTGTACAGAGTAATCACCAACCAGAAAAAGCTCAGCTGCAGGGGGCAGGCAGATGTGCCAACAGCAGCAGGAAGTGACTTCAGCATCGAACGGGCAGCAGACAAAACCTTAAATGGGCAAAACTGTATTGTCAGTTACCATGTCACATAATGAGAGCAGAGAGTAACAATACTTCCGAATTTGTCAACAGGAGGTGACGTTATTTTTAAAAACCTATAATAGAAGGCTGTGGAAGTTTTCTCATTAAATACTGTATAGACAAAATTGTTTGAGTATTCGAGGGTGATACACTTGTTATTAGGGTAATTTACCTATGTAAAAATGAAAATATCCAAGTTCTGCTGGATAAATGCTTCTTTCTGTATATGACAAAGTCCTGCTTGGACGTCATGAACTTTGCCATAATCCTGGCTCTGAGGGTGGGGGCTTTCCTGTCAAGATGGCCCTAAGGTTTAGACTGACCTCCCACAGAGGTTCAACAAGGAGTCACTCAGATTCACTAACAGTTTTCAAAAAAGATGTTTATTAGACAACTTTCCACTGAAACCATACCCCCTGTAGTGCACAGTTAATTAATATTTTAATAACTTCTAAAATGTTATGAAGATTGCAATTGTATAGCATTATATTTTGTGTATAGGTTTATTCAAAGTAGTAATATATTTAGTAAAGACATACCACAATATTTGTAATCCTGTTGTGGCATTTCCTCCTGTGTTAGTACAACAGGAGGCTTAGAAATGGGTGCATCCCGGGCATTCCTCACCTGCGAGAGGCCCTACACCTGGCCATGCGGTGGGCTCAGCTTTTGCCTCCTCTGAATAATCTCCTCTCATTTGTACATTGTGCCTCTGACCACCTTCTGTCTCATATCATAGTTATTTATGAAGCTGTTTTATCCATCTTACAAGATTGTGAGTTTAATTCCCAATGGCTACCCCCGACAGTTAATGTTAGCTTCTGTGTTGAATCCAGAGGCACTCTATTGCTATCATTCCTCTACAAGAAAAAGCCTAGCTATACCTATTTTTTTTTTTTGTATTTGTTAAACCATTTGAGGCTTTTATAGCACTTGTTGTAGCTGCCTTCCAAGGTTAGCCTCAGAATTCTTCTTTCGTCTCAGAGGAAGATTATCCAGAATGTCTTGCTGGAGAATTTGTACAATTTTCTGCAGTGATGTGCTGGCAAATTTTCAACAACTGGTTCTGATTCCTAGTGTTTGCTGGTTAAAGATGACACTGAATGTAGAATTGGGAAAAATATACCCAATTGGCTTTTGCTCCCTAAACATACTTCATAGGCTTCTAGCATGCCATTGGTTCACAGCTCAGGGATAATGAGAAAAGCTATTCTGTAAGAAATGAAGAAGCCAATTGAATCCCTTCTCTACCCACAGAAGGCAAGCCTGAAATTAATCTTCACAAAACTGTGTCATTTTCCAGGTTTGCCTTCCTCTTAGTCCTCCCCATCTAATTTCACAAGATGCTGACAAACCCTAGAATAGCTTTAAAGTCATAAGCAATGAGTCATAAATGGATCTATTCAGAAGTTTCTTAAAGGGTCACTAATTGGAAGGCAGCTAAAACTCTCAGAATTGTTACTGCATATATGCCTACTTTGAGGTTATAATTATTAAAACCCCCAAATTAATTTTTTAAAGCATTTGCTGAACTTCCTACCACTTTACATCCCCATACACTGATGACTTAGACACATGCTAAGGTGCTGTGACTCAACAATTTTTATCAGAGGCAATGGTACCACCCCCTTCCCATCCTACCTCTTTTCCCTACTTCCATCTGCTGGAGTGAGCAGATTTTAAACTTGATTAATTAGAGATTTTGTTTTGCTCTATCTTCCTCCCAGCATGATGTTTTGCTTGCAACAGATATAAAAAATATATTGAAGTTGAATTAGCTGATTTCTTGTAGTATATGAGAGTATATTTTTTCCTCTCTCTAAAGGTGCTCATAAATGTTCACAAATCCTTGCGTGAACAAGTTGAGATAATTTCTAATCTGAAGGAAACTCTTTGTCCTTAGAAGAACTGATTTTTCTGCCTTGAACAATAGAGATTGGACAATGGAGGTATCTGGCCTTGCTCTACCCCTTCCTTGTTATAGTAACAGGGATGTGGTTGTCCATCTCCACAACCATGCTCTTCGCAAAGTACCACTGCCTCAAGAGCTCCAGCCATTTAGGACCCAAATCTTATGCTTAGCCATGCTGGTTTCTGGTCCTGGAGGGTGGGAAAAATCTGAGTCTTCAAAACATATAAACCAACTAAAAAGATAATAGTGAAAAAGACAGCAAGTGTTAGGAAAGATGTGGAGAAACTGGACCCCATATATATTGCTGCTGTGAATGGGAAATGATGTAGCCACTTTGGAAAATAGCTTGGCAGTTTCTAAAAAGTTAAACATAAACTTGCCATATAACCTGCTAATTCTACTCCTGTCTAGCTACCCGAGAGAAATGAAAACATATGTTCATATAAAGAC
This sequence comes from Homo sapiens, assembly GCF_000001405.40. Taxonomy (NCBI): domain Eukaryota; kingdom Metazoa; phylum Chordata; class Mammalia; order Primates; family Hominidae; genus Homo; species Homo sapiens. Next base: position 191,627,731 of record NC_000002.12, read on the forward strand.
ATGCATGGGAACCTTCATAGCAGTTTTATTCATAATAGCCCAAACTGGAAACCATCCAAATGTCTATCAACTGGTGAATGAAGAAACAAAATCTATCCATACAATGAAATATTCTGCAGCAATGAAAAGTAAAGAAGTACTGATACATGCTACAGTGTTGAAGGAGCTCAATAACATGACACTGAGAGAAGCCAAGGCAAAAACCTGTGTACTGTATGATTCCATTTATGTGAAATTTCCAGAAAGGGCAAATCTATTAAAAAACAGAAAGCAGAATCATGGTTGTTTTGGGGCTGGAATAGGCTATAAGTGGACACAAAAGATCTTTTGGGGGTGATGGAGAGTTGGCAAATTTCACACAACTGCCAATTTATTAAAATTCCTTAAATTGTGTTTTTAAATAGATGAGTTTTATGGTATGCAAATTATGCCTTAACAAAGCTTTTTACAAACAACACAATAAATGGAGACCTTTATTATTTCTATTTAGCTCTTGCTCTTCCTTGCCTGATTACAAATCCCGAAGGGGCTACATGTCATCCAGCTGCGTTTTTTCTTTTTACGAGTAGGTGAGGAAACTGGCTAAATATGTTGCTGGAACAGGGAGAGGTTTGGCCCAACAAAGCCAATGCATTGCCAGAATTTTCTTTAGCTGCAGGCACACTAGTCGCCTCATCTGCAGGAGAGGACATGGCTCATACCCTGCGCTTACCAGCCTTCCTTTCACGTAGGTGGCTCTGCAGGGAAATGACCAGTGTGTGCTCCTGTCCTCCTATGCATGCTGGGGGACTGTGTTGTATGTAGGGTATTGTACTGTCTTGATCCCAGGAGACAAAGGCACTCTTTGTTAAACTGGAGCTAGTCTTACCTTTAAGGATGGGATCATTTCTTTGACCACAGATCTCTTCCTTACCAAAGGATATGCCCTCACGTCAGACCAGAAAAGAATAGGAAGCCCATAGGGAACCTTCTGATTTTCAACTTGGTCTTTTGATGTTGCCTTTGAAATATACCCTGGAGCTTGCTCCAAAACTAGAACTGGAAGATGACACTTTTCATAGGGGATCAACCAGGAGTTAGGGAGATAGAAACTTTGGACAGAAGCCTGTGATATTGTTCCAGTCCTAGGGGACAACAATAAACTACTTTTTTTTTTTTTTTTGCCTATCAAATTGGCAAACTGGCAAAAAAATTAGGATGTACATACTGTTCTAATTTGGAGTACTTAGGAAATAATGGGCCTGAGACCCTAATCTGGGTGGCTTAATTTGTTTCTTGCAATACCTCTACAGAATGTTTCGCCCTGGTGGTTTAGTTCTGCCCTGTAGCTGCAGCTACCTTTCCGTTTTCACGTCTTTGACTCCCTTGTTTATACCTGATTTTTTTAAGGGTGTATTCACCCTTCTATTTTGTTTAGCTTGATTTTTTTTTATTGTGGTAAGAACACTTACCATAAGATACACCCTCCTGATAAATTTTTAAGTGCACAATACAGTGTTGTTAATTACAAGGCACTATGTTGTACGGTAGTTCTCTAGAACTTATTCATCTTGAATAACTGAAACTTTATACCTGTTCAACAATAACTTCCCGTTTCTCCCTTCCCCCAGCCCCTGGCAACTACCATTCTACTTTCCGTTTCTGAGTCTATTTTAGATACCTACTGCAAGTGGAATCATGCGGTATTTGGGCTTCCATGACTGGTTTATTTCACTTAGCATAATGTCCTCTAGGTACATCCATGTTGTTGCATATGGCAGGCTTTCCTTTTCATAAAGGCTGAATAATATTCCATTGTATGTATATACCACATTTTCTTTATCCATTCCTCCATCAAGGGACATGTAGGTTGTTTCCTTATCTTGGCCATAAATAATGAATGTGGGAATACAGATATTTCTTTGAGATCTTGATTTTAATTCTTTTGGGTATATACTCAGAAGTGAGATTGCTAGATTAAATGATAGTTCTATTTTTAATTTTTTGAGAAACCTCCATCCTGTTTTCCATAGCAGCCACACCATTATACATTCTCCCTAGCAGTGCACAAGGATTCTAATTTCTCCACATGCCTGCTCACACTTGTCTTGACTTTTTTTTTTTTTTAAAATATAATGTCCATCTTAACCTTTGTGAGGTGATACCTGATTGTGGCTCTGATTTGCATTTCCCTGAAGATTTATATTCACCTTTCTGATACTGGTGCCTGGCAATGCCTAGAACACAGCAGATGCTCACTAAATATTTGTTGAAAGAGTGGGTTAAGCCCTAAGAAACTCCATTCTCAGTACAAGCACAAATGAAGACACAATATGAGCTATCGGGGACAGGGTTACTATGACACAAAAGCAAAAGGTCTTCAGGCTGCTGGGATTTCTATCCTTCTGGTTTCATATTAAAAGGCTGACAAAAATGGCTAGGACCCAGGGACTTGGATAAGTTCACCACAGTGGAAAGAGATAATTGTTTTTAGAAGGAGTGAAATTAAAATATTTTACATATTCTTGTAAAAATAATTACAGTATCTTAAATATTTGGACTTGCTAAATGCTTGTGCTCTGGAGGCAAGCCCAGGAATTTTTTTTTCAATCCCTCTCATCCTCCAAGCCTCATCCCAAGCCTCTGCCTCCACAGCTACCTTTACTAAATGTCTGATTTATTCTAGGATAATTTTTTTCAACAAATATTTGTTGTTTCTCTCCCTCCTTTGCATGTCCATAGGTTTTTGCACTCCTTTTGCTCACTCACCCCCCTCATCCCCCATCTCCTGTGACAGCTGCTCTGCCCTTATCTAACCCTTTCTGCAGATGGAGATCTCTGTGGGAGCAGCATCTCTTTGTGTCCCATGCAGAAACTAACACTTAGGTACTAACATGTGTTTATTTGGACTGAATAATTGAATCATTTGATTAGTTTCAGAATAGTTAGTTAGGCAAGGGAGGCAACTCTGATGAAATGGCTTATTTTAAATGCCATTTTATACACTATTTAAAAATAGCTCTTCTTCCAAAAACTGAGGTCTATACATATGTGTTGTGATTCAGTTTAAAATAGAAAAGCATTTTTTCCTAAAAAACTTTCACACCAACTTTATAGTTATAGAGAGAATATTTTCAGTTGACCAAGATTATCAAAACAATGCCTAATTCCAGGAAGAAAGGAAGAAATAGTGGTGAAATTTAACCTGTTTTTAAAATTGCTGCTATGAAAATATATAATCTAGTAAATGATATTTTGTTAGTTTCATACTAGCTATAAACAGTTTCAACGGAAAGCTTTTGTTTTGTTTTGTTTAAGACAGGATCTGGCTCTGTCATTCAGCCTGGAGTGCAGGGACCTCACGGCAGCCTAGACTTCTCCAGGGTTAGCCTCCTGAGTAGCTGGTACTACAGGCCTGTGCCACCACATCTGGCTAATTTTTGCAGTTTTTGTAGAGATGGAGTTTCACCACGTTGGTCAGGCTGGTCTTGAACTCCTGGATTCAAGGGATCCACCCACCTCAGCCTCCCAAAGTGCTGGGATTATAGACATGAGCCACCACACAGACCCTGGAAAGCTTTTCTGATATCTTTCCCGTACTCCTGTTGGCATGAGTATTTCTGGAAAGACCACAGTTTTCTGCTTCCATCTAGCACAATGGAAGAAGCAACATCAATTGGGTGATATTTGCGTGAAGTGGATTCTAGTCTTGACTTTGGCAATAAATAAATGAGTGATCACGAACAAGTCTCTCAGGACCTCAACTTCCTTACCTGAATCTGTATTATGAGGCAAGTGGGCATCAGGATCTATGATCTGCAGCTTGTAGGATTTCCAGCCTCCTTCTTATTTACCAATGCCCATGGCTGAGGCTCTTGGGTTTGCTTCACTTTCTTGTTTCCTTCTATGCAGCAGCATCCCAACCACTCTCAGAAGAGCCAGAACCCAAGTTTCTGGAGGCTGAGCAATGCCCACCCAGTCCAGGATAGGAAGACTTTCTTGTCATGCTTGGGATGGGGGCAGGGAGGGGGCAGGTAAAGAGACCTAAGCACCCAGAGCAAAGACTGGAGAAGAAATTTCAGTAAGAATGGATCCTGCATGCCCAGCATCTTGGAGTGGAGGGGAAGAGAAAAAAAATGGGGTGAGAGCAGAGAAAAGTAGCTAGGCTAGGAGACCTGTGCTCAGGTTGGCTGGGCTCCAAGCCCTAGGGCTGTCAGTAGGAAGCTTGGATTCTTACACAATACCCACTCCTTTCCAATCCCCATAAACTCTAGAATAACCTCTAGCAGACTTGCTGACAGCCGATCCTAGTTTAAAAGCTCCATCACATTAGAGGCTAAGTGTAAATAATACCAAGTAAGGATTTGATCTCTTGGAGGAAAGGACAGGAGAATGTTTATGAGTCTAAAGTGGTAAGAAGCCCCCTCTCCACCCTCCCTTACCAGAGGAAGAGTCTGAGAATAGAACTGGGCCCAGGAAAAGAGGCCCATGGGATCTTTCCTTTTTTCCCCCAGTTGGAGCTCATGCAAGCCCACCTGGGCCCCACTGGATTTTGTTCCCTTGGGGATTTACCTCCATGGCTGGGCTTCACACTTCCCTTAGCCCTCATTCTTCTTTGGATTGTATCCTAAGCATCCATCCTTTTCTTTTCAGTCTGAAGGCAGCATCCTTTTAAGTTGGGAGGGGGAGAAAGTTACAAGGGGAGGCAAACAGGTGCCACAACTTCGGTTCCTGTCTGATTTTGCTTGGGATAGGCTGGGCCTTCCTTCCATTTTTTAACAGGCCTATATAAAAAACCCAACACATAAACAGGGCAGGCAGTGTTTCCCAGCATGAGATATGTCAGGTATTTTAAGGGAACACTATGCTTCTCCATTTCTTCTTAGTGCCTTGAGTCTTGCTTCTCAGCCTTGGCTGATAGCTGGGAAATATGGACCTGCATATTGCGTCTGCTTGTCTTATCTAGTATTTAATTTTTTAAAAGCCCTCCTGACAAGGCAGGTAGGATGATGTTTCCTGAAACATTCTTTACGCCACTCCTCCCACAGTTAGACTTTTTTTTCTTTTAAAAAGAAAATTGTTTAAAATATATGTCTTAATAGCTCATGACTATTAAAATCTAAGTGCTCTGCCCTTTCTGTCTAAATCCAGGATCCTATTCTCGCTTCTCCAGGACATGATTGTATTTAGAGTTAGGGTGTTGTTGAAAATGGCAACCTCTATATCACCTGGTTTTCACTTTAGGAAAACCCACAGAAAAGTTTCTCTTAGACCCAAGTGTAGAAAACCTTTTGCTTTTTTTAAAAACCAGTACATTTTTACACATGATAATGTGATTTTTGTCACAACCATGTTTCTTTTTATATTTTAAATTGATACATATTTGATATACATATTTTCAGGTATATGTGATAATTTGATACATTCATATAATCAAATCAGGGTAATTGGGATATCCTTCACCTTAAATATTTAGTTTTTCTTTATACTGGGAACATTCAAATTATTCTCGTCTAGCTTTTTTGACATGTGCAATTGATTAATGTTAACTATACTCACCCTACTGACCTATTGAATACCATTTCATGTTTCTACTCGACTATGGTAGTAATTGTGTGAAACCCCAGAGTGTGCCCTGCTGTGGACTAATTCTCATATTGGCCTTGTCTTATCAATATCTGTGTGTGTGTATGGCTTGATTTCTCTTAGTTTTGGAAAATGATGTCTCTCTAATCTGTGTATATTTTAGGCTATTCTTTCTTTCTTTCTTTCTTTCTTTCTTTCTTTCTTTCTCTCTCTCTCTCTCTTTCTTTCTTTCTTTTCTTTCTTTCTTTTTCTTTCTTTCTTTTTCTTTCTTTCTTTTTTTTTTTTTGAGATGGAGTCTTGCTCTGTTGCCCAGGCTAGAGTGCAGTGGCACGATCTCGGCTCACTGCAACTTCTGCCTCGTGAGTTCAAGTGATTTTCCTGCCTCAGTCTTCCAAGTAGCTGGGACTATAGGTGCCCGCCACCATGCCTGGCTAATTTTTGTATTTTTAGTAGAGACAGAGTTTCACCATGTTGGCCAGGCTGGTCTTGAACTCCTGACCTCAGGTGATCTGCCTGCCTTGGCCTCCCAAAGTGCTGGGATTACAGGTGTGAGCCACTGTGTCTGGCCTTCAGGCTATTTTTTTAAAAAAAGCTTTTTATTTTGAATTAATTTTTGGCTTATCAAAAAGTGCAAGCATAGAACAGAGAGTTCCTGTGTAGCCTTCACTCAGTTTTTTAAAAATTTTAATGTTGTCCTGTTGAATATGCTTGTGAAAGACACCTAAAATTCTTTTTGAAACAAGGCTCATAGTGAACACTATTTTGAACACTCAGATGTTGTGTGCATCAAAACAAATAGGATGGAAATGACTGATACGGACATCTCAGGTGGGATGATATTGGAAGGATGACCTAGCTTAACACTGAACTGATGCTGCATGTCCCAATAATTCGCTCAAAAGTGATTTGATCACAAGCAAATAGAAACCAAACAATATGTTCCAAAGAAAAGTAGCCAATAGGACAATATGGTTAAAAGTCTTAATTTATGGGAACTGGATTTAAAATATATTAGTAATTAGTATTAATCATGGGATTGAGTCACAACCCTTTATGTGGCTTTAAGCATTTTGTCCACATATCAGATTTTTCTATTTATAATTATAATAACCCTTAATTTGTTTCTGGCCAATAGAATATTAGTTGAAATTATCAAAAAGTCCAACAGTTTAAAGCTTGCTTATATATGGTTTATATTGAAAGTTATGAAGCATTGTTATGGCATGATCCTATTTTGCAGGGGGTCAGGGTTGTGTGTGTGTGTGTTTATCCATGTGTATATATGTGTATGTGTGTAGGCACATTAAAAACGACCTGAGAGGAAATTACTCAAAGTTTCAACCAGGTAGGTGACTTACAATGCCCCCTTTTTTTTTTTTGCATATCTGTATTTTCTAATTTCTTTTATTGAGTAACATTGCTTTTATACCGGGGAAAATAAACAAAGAACTGAAATAATAAAATAAAGCACGGAACAAAATATATAATTCCCAGTTTTAATAGATTTCCCTATTACTTGCTCTTTAGGTTTTAGCCAGTCCAATTTTGTTGGTTATTTAGGTTGTTTCAAATATATATTGTTGTTGAACAATTCTCTTTTCCAACTTTTCAGTATTGTAAGAAGCAAATAACATAAATAATTGACAAAAAAGGAACCAGTTGTGACAATCAGACAAAAATGCTGATGACGCAGAGAACTGCCTCACTACCTTGTGATACATACACACTAAAATTACCAACACTGAAAAACCAGTGATTGTATTCACCCATTTTCAATAAGTATTATTTGTACCAATTGTTCTGTTGACAAAGTTACTTTTAAAATAAAGTTTAAAGTAAACTATAAGTACTTTATATTTGATCAAATTATCTTTGGCAAAATTTCATTTAGCCAAATTGTTTTCAGCCAAATTATCTGCTATAGTTTGTGAATTTGAAACATTTTGACATTTCCAGTCAGGACTGAATATGCTGATAATTCGCAAAAGTCCTGAGCTGTGAAGCAAAAAGAAGGCTTTCATCAATCCTGGGGCTAGTCTACTTTCTGGAATATGTCCATTGTATAATATGAGGAATGAGAAGGGTTATATTCTGCAGAAAGTTCTACAGCATAATAACAAATGCAGTAACAGGTGTATGGCTGTGGTGGAAGCTTGGTCAAATTGAAACTGGAACAGGAATAAACCTTTACTTCATTTATACTTTAGGTGACAAGGTAGCACATTTGTACATAATAAGGCTGGCCTGGGGATGGAGGGAGTCCCTGCCCTGACTGTGACTCAGTGAGACTCTTTGCCTGGTCCTAGTCCAAGAGAAACGCATGCTATGATCTCACTGAAGTCTGAAGTGACTCTGAAACTTTGCAGTAAAAAGAAAATTTCATCCTTTAAGATGGTGAGTTACCAGAGAAGTCACAAGGATAAAATGAATGATGGAGGTTTCTGGAAGATGTTATCACCACATTCATAGCATCTAGCCTTTCGTATACATTGGGATGGAATGGGTAAGAGACAGGCTTGGGGCTCAGTCTCCTAACTGGTTAGTAACTAAAGATGCCTTGGAGAGGAGAGTTGAGAGTCCATATTTTTCACAGAAATTCTTTTTGAGCCACATTGACATTCCTAAAACACCGCACATACTGATGCTATGATTTCACGGTCATTTGGTCTCTAATACCCACAAACTTTGCCTGCCCCTAGCATAGTTTTACAGCGTTTGTTTAAAAACAACACCCCAAACTAAAACCTTACCTGCATAAACCAAGCATATCTGTGGTTTGGAAAACAGGCCAGGAGTCTAGAGTTCTATTTCTAACTATGCAGCTAACTTCCCAGGTGGACTGGAAGAAATCCTTGATTCCTTTGCTCCTTAGTTTCTTCATATTCATCCATCCTTCTGAAAGGTATTCCTTAAGTACTGGGACCCTGTGGATACAAAAATAAATAGAACCTAGCTCCTTTGTCAAGATCCTTGGAATTTAGGGGAAAAGACAAACAATAATTGAAGATTGCAATCCAGTGTGGTAAGTTTGTTGTTGGAAGTAGGCACTGAGTCCTAGGGGAGCACAGAGAAGGAATGTCAAATCAAGCTTGGAGCTGGGGAGGTGAGTCAGGGACCACATCAAAGGAGTAGTGATGTCTTCCTGCAAAGTTAAACTCTGTGAAATGAGCAGGGCTTATTAGTGGATCCAGAAGAATATTTAATCTATATTCCTATGTTAATTGAAGAGATGGTAATTTGAGGTCCCTATATAGGGAGAAGTTTTTCCAGAGCTGTAAGAAAGAAGCAAAGTACAAACAAATTTGCCTAATATATCCATGGCTGCTTATCCCCAGAGAGTGGTCTAGATCTTAAGATCTTTCTAATATGCTCCAAGAAGAAAATATTTGTTCTTGGGACATTTCTGTCACTTAATATATTTGCCTTTAGACATTTGAAGGGTATCTGGCTTTCATAAGAAGTCACAGTCACCTGTGTCACTTTCCTCTCAACAGCCCCTTTCTTTGTACATTTCCTTGTAATGCACTATGAACTCTAGGTTGAATCATTCAAGTGCTGTAATATTCACATGAAAGCAACACCAAACTTTGTCTCCATTTTTAGGTTCATGTCAAAGCTAGTTTTTCACTAAATATCTCTGGTTACCATTTGATTTGATTTTAAAATAATATTTCACTTTTCTAAAAGTCGATCTGTTCCACCAAGTCTTAACTCATTGTAGATACAGTTATAAAATCATAAGCAGACAAATAATTCTCATTTCTAGCACATACGTTGCTTTCTTCCCAATGTCCACTTTTCCTCTTCTTTTTCCCAAGAGAATTTCAATTTGATCCAGGATGGATACTAGTTAGCCAAAGTCAACCTTGAGAATTCTATTCCTTTATTCAGTGGTTGACTTAGGAAAGGGCAATTCTGGTCTCTTTGGGGGAAGTCAGCTGGCAAGCCTCTGGAAAAGGTTTCCTTCTCCTAAAAGACACACAGAAGTTGATGTTCTCTCTCCTTTTTTGGAACATTGGTGCATCTAGAGTGGCCCTGGAACCACGGCAGCCATATTGCCACCAGCTGGAAGACGAAGCCAACGGTGGGAGAAGACAGAGCTGGTCGAATCCCCCAGGAGTAAAATGCAGCCTGTAGTACCCTTCCTGGATTGTATCTTACTTGGAGTCTTCTTGTTCTGGGAGGCAATAAATTTCTTTGTTATTTAAGCCATGATGAATCAGCGTTTTCAATTATTTGCAGCCAAAAGCATCCTAAGCAATAGCCAAGTATGCATGGAAGTTCATGCACTTCTCTCACAGAACATTATGTCAGACATTTAGTTCTAGGAAACAGGCTTATCTGATTTCTCAGTTCTAGGAAGCAGGCTTATCTGATTTCCTAGTTTCTGGCAGATTAGAAATAACTTTCTCTATTCTCTAGAAATAGAGAAAGTTAGAGACAGGCAGCTGGACAGAGAAGGGAGAGACATGAAGGCAGAACCAAGAACTCAAGAGGCAGCATTGTGGGGTTATTTAATGCTGGGGCAAACAAGTTCTCCCATCTCTGTAGCTCTTGTGGGTATGAGAGCATAGTTCAGTGACTAACCCATAATGACAGTCATGTGTCTGTCATCAAAGGAAGTTTGCTTTCTGTTTACTCTGTTTCAGAAGGGGAATGAGGCTGAATAGTATGTAAAAATATTTCTTTGTAAACAAGGAAAAGCTTAAGTGATTAAAAGGATAAGCTTATCTGAAAAGGCACGTGGAGAACAAACTCACTCCCTGGCTATGCTAAAAAAATGAGTGCTAATTATATATGCAAATGAAACCTATTAAAAAGTTTGCTTCATCCAGAGAAAAGGGAAGAAAAAAAAAATGAGGCAGTAGTTTGATTGCTGCATAGAGCAGCTCACTTCAGTTTTGGTCCCCATGAGAAGCCCCAGCAGAGAAGCAAAGCTAAGAAGTGAGGACATGGTGTTGCTCTTCTGCAAGTGACTTTATTTTGGCTCAATGGCTCAGCAAGTTTGCCTAAGCTGTTTCCTCAGAAGCCTGCCAGTAGGAAGTAAATAAGCTGCTTGACTCTACTCATAGAGGGGGTTGAGCACTCCTAATTAAAATGTAAATAATTCTCAGGGCCAACAGCTTGTAGACGATAATGACTGGAAAGATCACAGAAACTAAAATCGCACACGCAAAACAGGTTCTAAGTCTTTGTATACACAAACACTAAGCCTACCAATTGATTTAGTCACCTCCGTGAGAAATCACTGGAACCAAGTTATTTGCAAGCATGCAGCAGGAACCAGGTAGCTGGTATACTCTGGTGACACCAGGGAGTAAAGCTTACCAAGTCCACGGGGCATGGATAACTCAAAAAACAAGGGCTTTCTGCAATCAGCTGGTGAATCTGTGGTCCCACACAGCCCCGCCCCAAGGGTTAGGATAGCTCCTCCTGCCCAGCCCATCAGAAGTCTGCCCAGAATCTTCCAAGGCTCATATGTGGAAGATGAGCTATCTGGACAGGCCCCACCCAACAGAGAAGTGTTACTTTGGTTTTAAAATCACCCTTCATTTGAGAAGTACCCTGAAACTTTAATATGCAAATAACAGCTAAATAAAAGGAAAAGCCCAATACAGTTTCTAATTACCAACAAATGCGTATGTATCTTACACATGGTAGCTACTCATAACTTTTTAAAATGAATAAGTGATCTGTTAACCAGAGTACTACATGAGGGAAACAGAGAGAGAATTAAATACTTTTACTAAGAATGAAACTTAAGGCTCTTTAGTTTAGTAGTTTTCAATGGCATTTTTGTTTTCTTCATGCTAGGATACTGCCATACATGCTAGGATTATCTTACTGGTAAATTACTATTGTTGTTAGATAACATTTTGTTGGCATTGTCCTAAACACTCCACATTCATTATTTCATTTTATTGCCACAATAGCATGGGTACAATTATTAAGCCTATGAAAAATGAGGCTTAGAGGTGCAAAGTAATTTGCCTGAGGACACGGAATGAGGACCTGCTGGGTCACCAGGCAAACATAGGTTCATTCCTATGGCACCTCTACATATTTACCGATAATAGTTGTACTGAATTTTTTCCAGATTTTCTTTCATGTTTTAAATAGAAGAGACTGAAGATTCTCTCATCTGCATTATGATATGTTGTTTTCAGGAAGAGAGAAAACTGGAATCATACATGGAGGATGGTGAGAAATTATATATGTTCATGGAGTGTCTCACATGTTTGTCAACAGAAGTGAAAAGATCGTGACCCAATTTTAGAGTTACTTATTCAGGCAACTCTATTATAATGAGTTACTTCAACACTGTAGTGTTCTCCCATTCTAAATTCTAAAAAAAATTAATTTGTTTTGTATTTTTTTTAGTAGAGATGAGGTTTCACCGTGTTAGCCAGGATGGTCTCGATCTCATGACCTCGTGATCCGCCTGCCTCGGTCTCCCAAAGTGCTGGGATTACAGGTGTGAGCCACCATGCCCGGCCAAAAAAAATTAATATATTTTTTTAATTCTCCTGATGCTTACTTGATTTTTCAGGTTGATTTTTTTGAAAACAGACTTAAACTTTTTTGACATTCTATATTCATTTATTCATTCATTCGTTCATTCACATAATTACTATTTATTGCCTTCACAATGTCTGGACAATACTGTGAAGGTTAAGACACCAGCAGCTTCTGTTTTTCATACAATCTTTCTTGAAAAGTTACATTTTTCTTCTTCAGTAGCTGGTTTGGGTTCACAAGATATATAGGGTTTGACTTTGGTGACCTCCAAATCGGTCCAACCTGCACTGCCTTCTGGATATATAAGGTAGCTCATAACCATGTTTTTGAATACTGTGTCTTACTATTTTCTCTGTGTGTGTGTGTGTGTGTGTGTGTGTATATATATATATATATATATATATATGTATGTCTTTTGTAATATGTGTATGTTACATATATAACATGCATATGATAGATGTTACAAATACATGTCCAATGTTACAGCAATATATGCTTCCTGGGAGAAAAGTATTAAATCACAAGAAGTATATAAATTTTAAATGAAATATTTCAGAAATTTTACTGCCAGAGGTAATCATTTTTGAAAGTTTAGTGTTTTATATTCCATATTTTGGAGTTGACTATTTTGTGAATTCATTACTCTGTTCCCTTCCCCACTTTGGTGTGACCTCTTTCCCTGGTTTTTTATTGGCCCTCTCTTCTCAATTTGATTCCACTTCCTGCAGTTACTCCTCTGGGTGGGCCCCATCCTGCAAGGGAGCTGCTGTTCTCAGGTCTGCTCTTTTGTGGGTCACTTTGTCTCACATCTTTCAGACACCTAGTTACTTCCCTCTTCATTTACCTGATGGACACCGTCTGTGGTTTGCCCCTACCTGCTTTTATTTTGTGGTTTGGAGGGCTATCTTATAGCCAGTTTAGTTGCATATGTTGTTCATGGGAATTTGGGTTTACTATTTCATTGTTCTGTATGTTTTTATGTAAAATACAGAAAGATTCAAAAGCTATGTTACTGTTACTTCCATCTTCCCAGAGTCTCCCTCTACCATCAGACTTCCTTCTTTGAATAACAGGTTAAAGCTAGTGATGGAAGATGATCAATGTTATCCTTAATTGGCCCCAGACTAATCAATTATGATGCTACTTAAGATAATGTTTGCCAACCTTGCATGTACATCAGCAACACCTTAGGACTGTAAAACAGCTGATCCCCAAGAGCTTTCCTGATTTAATTGGTCTGCAGTAGTGTGTTCTCACATGATTCCAGTGTGTGGCCAAGGTTAATAATCACTGATATGGAGGAAACAAAATTAAAGCATTTCAACTCTCTTAGCAATCTACTGAGACTAAGCCAGTTCTGTGTGCTCAATCTGCACATTAAGTGTGGTCCCTTTCCTCACTCTAAGCCCCTATGCCTCAGGTGAGGCTGGTTCATTCTCCAGCAACTACAGTAGCCAAGTCATCCATACATGGCCAATCAGTGTACTCCATGCTTGTCCAAGGATAGACATGTCACCCAAGCTGAACCAATACAAAATTTCCCTATGACATTTGCTGGAGTTATTATGCATCACTCTCTTTTTACAGAAATTGTGAGCTTCAAGATCAGTGTAAACCTACAAATTCCTTTTGCCATCTTTACCCCCAAATGAGAAGAATCTGCTTGGGAATGAAGCTTAGAGAGGAAAACATTTGACAGGTAGAAAGAGTAAAAAAGTATTCTGATTACACCATTGATGGGATTTTTAGGGGTCCAAATATAATACCTTATTTTACCTAAATTCAGAACAAATTTAGAGATAAATGCAGGCTAGGTAATTGGAAAAGAAATAGTTTTATGATTGAGAAGCTGATTGAGCTCATGGCTTTGGATTGCTGCCCAAAAGAATTTTCTAAAACTCTGCTCCTTAGTTCATCTTAGTTCATGCTTCTACTTAGTTCTCCTTAACACAACCGGCCATTGGCATGGCTGGAATCTTTGGACCTTGTCCTCCATTGTGGACTGCTTAGCACCAGGAAGGCAGATGATAAGACAGACAAACTGATCAGACAGAATGAAGGGCACTGGAAGAGCTGAACCATACCCAGATGCCAGTTTCTTTCCCAAACCCCCAGTTGGATAACTCTCCCAAGCCATGGCTCACAGTTTGGTGAGCTGAGTTTCTGCTAGATCTTAGCCCCCTCTTGTCTCTTCTATGCCAACACACCTGCAGACCCAGATCACTCTTCCTACCTTTGGGAGAAATAAATGAGCACACTGAGAGAAGGTGCGAGGGTTCTGTTCATGCTTGCTCATCCTGAGAAAGAAAACGGGGAATAAGTGTTCTCCACTTAAAATTGTTTGAGCCTCTGAATCCAGCAACATATGAAGCCAGATGCACTCCTGAATTTCTGAGTGGTGATCATACACCTTTTCTTTCTTTGTTTAAGTGAGTTTTAGTTAGGTGTTTGTCATTTGCAAACCCAAAGTCTTAATTAATACATTAACTAGTTTTCTTCTGTTTAATAAAATTAAATGTCAAGAGCCATAGATGGAGTAACTCTAAGGAGACACCATCCTTTCTTGTGCTGTAAGTGGGCCTCCTTTGAGTGCACATTAGGCTTCACATGTTGGATTTGAATCTGATTGTCCTTTGGGATCTTCATAACATGGCTTTGTCTGAAGGCCTTCCACTACTCCTCCACCCCTGCCTTTTGGTCTGGTGCAGCAGCAGTTTCATTGACACCGATCCCAGTGTACTGCACCATCCCTTGTAGTTCTGTACTTCCGAACCTTTTATAAACAGTCCTTTGATTAACCCTCCTCAAGTTATTCTACTTTTAAACTTTGAATGAAGCATCTTTTTCCATTAGAAAAGACTGATAGATCTTTTCTATATCTGACTGATAGATCAGTCATTATGTTACTTTGACACAGTCATATCTTGGCTGGCACTACAATGTTCTTAAAAGTGTTGACATATTAACTTTCAAATATATCTACTATACAAAGGTCAAAACCTTTGAATATATTGCCAGAGTTTTTTTCCCTCAATAAGTACAAAGTCTGGCTATTTAAAAGAAATCAAGTTTTCAAAAGAAATAGTTATTTTTTCTTGATTAGATTAACAAGAACAATAAAACATGAACATCTAAACAGGAAGAAATATTTGCTTATCTCATAATTCTTCTAATGGTGAGAAGAACTTAAAATTTTTATTTAGCTGATTTAAACTGTAAATATTATTTTAAGATATCACATATAAAAGAAAATTGAGCAAAAAGTTTTTCTGGGGAGAGGTGTAATATGCTGTGGCTTTTTGGGTACTATTCTTAGATGAGTGTATTAATTTTTTCTATTCTTTTCTCTCTTTATTCCTCTTTGACCAAGGGTGAAAAAATTCTAAAATGTTATTTCTAACCTCCATTTTTTTCTCATTATCTATCTACTAACCTCATTTGATATTAAAAGAGCATACATAATTAAAATTGCTGTTTGGCGGGGAATTTTAAATGGTACTAATGTGCCACTAATGTTTTCTTTTAGCTACTCAATGTAAACAAGTCAATAGCTTTTGCTGCATCCCCAAAAAACCAATGAGAAAACATAATAGGAAAAAGAGACACCCCATGCACAATAGTACAAAAGGGCATGAAATATTTATGACTAGCCTTAACAAGAAATGCGCATGACCTAAATGAAGACAATTATACAGCTTTATTGAGAACATAAAGAAGATGAACGATGACAATAAAAGTTACCCTTTCCGCATTCTTCATGCTAGGCTCAGTGCTCCATGCTCCCCTGTGTCACCTCCTTATCTATGAAGCAGAGAAGCCCTGTAGTAGCTGGCACACTGCTCGTGAGCCCAACTCAGGCCTCAGGCAATTTACTTAACTTCCCTGTGCTCCAGTTTCTGCATCTATAAAACCAGGACAGGGAAAATACATACTTCACAGGATTGTTGTGAGATTTAAATACGTCACTACAAAGTGTTTAGTATAGTGCTGGGCAAATGGCAAGCCCTCATTTATATTAGTTATGTTCACCATTTCTTATAACCCCATGACGCAGGCACCATTATTATAATCATGTTACAGGAGAGGAAACTGATTATCAGAGAGGATAGCAGCTTGCCTAATGTTATCCAGCAAGTAAGTGACTGGGATTCCTAGGCTGACCGGTCCAACTCAAGAGCTAGGACTTGTGATTTATTACATATCTGTGTTTTCAGAGAAGACAACGGTCATTTTTATGACACTTTCTGGAATAATTCTAGAGTTTATCTTAAAGAATAAACAGGTAAAGCTGTGTTTTATTTTGTTTTGTTTAATTTTTTTTTTTTTTGAGATGGAGTCTCGCTCTGTTGCCGAGGTTGGAGTGCAGTGGCGTGATCTTGGCTCACTGCAACCTGCACCTCCAGGGTTCAAGTGATTCTCCTGCCTTGGCCTCCTGAGTAGCTGGGACTATAGGCGTGTGCTACCGTCCCTGGCTAATTTTTTTGTGTTTTTAGTAGAGACGAGGTTTCACCATGTTGGCCAGGCTGGTCTCGAACTCCTGACCTCAAGTGGTCCCCCTGTTTCAGCCTCCCAAAGTGCTGGGATTACAGGTGTGAGCCACTGCTTCCGGCCAGGGTGATGGCAATGTTCTTTATCTTGATTTGGTGGTGGTTAAATGACTATAATCCTAGTCAATTTTTTTTCATTATACTTTAAGTTCTGGGATACATGTGCAGGTTTGTTACATAGGTATACACGTGCCATGGTGGTTTGTTGCACCCATCAACCAGTCATTTACATTAGGTATTTCTCCCAATGCTATCCTTCCCCTAGCCCCGCAACCCTCGACAGGCCCTGGTGTGTGATATTCCCCTCCCTGTGTCCATGTGTTCTCATTGTCCAGCTCCCACTTATGAGTGAGAACATTCAGTGTTTGGTTTTCTGTGCCTGGGTTAGTTTGCTGAGAATGATGGTTTCCAGCTTCATCCGTGTCCTGCAAAGGACATGAACTCACCCTTTTTTATGACTGCATAGTATTCCATGGTGTATATGTGCCACATTTTCTTTATCCAGTCTATCATAGATGGGCATTTGGGTTGGTTGAAGTCTTTGCTATTGTGAATAGTGCCACAATAAACATATGTGTGCATGTGTCTTTATAGTAGAATGATTTATAATCCTGTGGGTATATACCCAGTAATGGTATTGCGGGGTCAAATGGTATTGCTGGAAACTTTACATTTAAAAAGGGTGAATTTTATATGTGAAAATTATACTGCAATAAAACTTGGGAAAAAAGAAGATTTCTATTATTAAAAAGACAAGCAGTCAATTGGGAAGAAACTTATACAAATATGACAGAGTTACTATGTTTGCTATACCACCAATCAAACCAAAGAATCTATAACCTATGACCCAGCAACATCAGTTCTAAGTATACATCCAGAAATGACTACTTACATCTGCCTAAAGACTTGTAAAGAATATTCATAGCTGCCTTCTTTATAAAAGCTCCGTATTGCAAAAAACCCACATTTCCATCAACAGTAAAATGGATAAATAAATTGTGGTATACTCATGCAATGGAAAACCACACAGAAATGAAAAAGAATGAACTATACATGCAACCTGGATAAATTTCCCAAACATAATGTTGAATGAGAGAAGCTTGACACAAGAGTATGTACAGGATGTTTTCATTTATAAGCCTATAAAACAGGCTAAATTTATCTATACCAATAGAAATTAGAATAGTGATCACTTGGAGGTGGTTACTGCTAACTGGGAAGAGGACTGGGGAGCCTTAGTGTGCTGGAAGTGTTTTATATCTTGATCTGGGTGTTGGTTACATGGGTGTGTACATATGTAAAAATTTGTTGAGCTATATAATTAAAATATGTTTACTTTCCTGTATGTAAATTACACATAAAAATACCTAATCTGAATTAACGAGATGAGCCAAGGATGTGAGACCACAAAAGAAGAAATCAACTGACTTAACTATTATGGACACATAGATACACACTCCATCTCAGTAATCAGACAAATGTAAATGAAGTTTTAAAAAAGTATAATATCTGGGGTTAAGGAGGATGAAGAAGTTATGAGGAAGATCTTAAGATGAAGATTTGTGGGCAAATAATTATTAAGGAAGTTCTTAAGTGAGAAACCAGTAAGGGAGTTGGGGAAGTAGAATAGGAAGAGGAAGAAGCCAAGAAAGGGTCCGATTGCAGATGAGGTTTCATTCTCAGTCTAATTCCATGGGAGCTCTGGAGTGTAATTGACACTGCATAGTTTATTCTGCATCAAGGCAAATAATCTGGGTTTTCATACTCCTCTATAATTCTGGGGTTGACTACCTGCTGCCTTGGGGTGAGGGGTGGGACATCAACTCTGCCCCACCCCACTTCTGGCCCTCAGTGCATCCTGTCTAATGGTGTCCTGTAGCCCAAGGGTAGATCTCTGAAGAAGGGGACTGGTGAGTTAGGTTAGGAGCTGAGTGTGCGGAAGCTGGGAGATTGGGAGATAAGCACACAGAAACAATAAAGGGGATCCAGGGAATCCAGTCAGAGCACTTGTGTTGATGCAAGTTTGGAGATTAAACATGAGGTTGAAATGACTAATTATGAATGTTGAGCACAAAGAAATAAAATGAGGAATGAATGAATGGTCTTTCCCAAAACAATTCAGTCTTTCCAATAACTTCCCCATACTTTTTTTTTTTTTAAATAGGTGCTTTGTTTCCAAGTTAAACAGAAGATACATATGGGAGATTCATAGACAAAGAGGTGAGGAGTTGATTTGTTCAGAAAACATTCAGATCCTATTCAAATCTTAGAATTTGTTGAGTTATGTATGTGCCACAGAGAAGCACTTGGGTTGCGAAATTGTGTGTTTGTTCTCTCTGGCAGGCTATTTATTTGGTTGTTGTCCATTCTTGTCCTATCTTGCACAGTCATACACGGTCTCTTCTTTGCCAGAGTACTTTGCATTTTATTGCATTTGATTTTAATGACATTCTGTGAGGGCGTCGGCCAACTGTTTTCCAGATGAGAAAACCGAGGCTAGATAGGTTAAATTGTTGCCTCTCAAATTTAGCAGCACATCACACCACTTGAAAGAGCTTTGTAAACTACTATTTGCAGTGCTTGAAGGTGAGGACCAAACCTGGGTTTTGTTTTGTTTTAGTTTTTGAACTATTTTTAGAGACCGGGTCTCATTATGTTGCCTGGGCTGGAGTGCAGTGGATATTTACAGGTGAAATCGTGGTGCACTACAGCCTCAAACTCCCTTTGCTCAAGCTATCCTCCTGCCTCAGCCTCCCAAGTAGCTGGGACTACAGGTGTGAGCCACTATGCCTGGCTCTAATTTCTGTTCTTTAAAAAGCTCCCTAGGTGATCCTGAAGTACAGACAGATTTGGGAGCAAAAGGCTTAAATGATGTTCTTAGGGTCCTGAGAAAGGTAAGAAAACACTCATTCCTAAGTCATTAATGTATTGTTTTATTTATCCACCTATTTATTGAGCATTTACTTTGTGACAGGGATTCTGTGAAATACTGGAAATGCAACAGTGAAAAGAGAGTCAAAACCCCCTTGACCTCATACAAGATTATAGTCTGAGGAAGGATTACAGGTGTAAAAGTGGGAGGAGCAGGGTATTGCATGCTATTGTTCTCAGGACACTATTCATCTTATTGAACGGACAAAGCCTGCAGTGAACTTGGCGATAAAACAGACATTGAACTAATAATTCCAAAGGCTATTGGGGTTTTAGTGTATTTTGAGAATGATAATGTCAATCATATTCACATGCATCTTAACATATGGGAGAGTCACTGGTCATTTTGGGCCACTGGCATTGTCCTATCAAAATTGCTAACTGGTTATATATATCAAGTGCTCTCTTTTATGAAAACATTACAGAAGCCCATGCTTAGGCTGATGTATGGAAGTGTTTCTGACATTTTGGTCTCAAATTCCACAAAACAGATTAAACTCCTTACTGTAGGAGTTTTTTATAGTTATCTAAACCAAAGGCATTCCTGCAGATAAGTTGCCTAGAGTCTAAATAGATATACAATTCATCCTTTATTCCCCATCTTCTTCTAATAATACAGTAGAGGGAGGAATAGGGGAGGTTTTTTTTTAAGTTAAGACAGGGAGACATAATGGCATTTGGTGAGGTTGAGCACACAGATTTTAAGGTTTTAAGGCCTTTGGACAAGTATTCTCCAAAAGCAAGTATGAGTCATCTAAGGCCTGCAGCCCACTACATGGTGAGGACAATGGCCCTTGCATGGAGATTACAGTGTAAAGGCCTCCCTGGAGCAGGGTCTGAGTCAGCAGTAGCTCCTTGGAAAGTCCAGGGAAGAGATGGAGGGATCCCAATTCTAGCATATTTTCCTCTACACACACTATTACCAACACACACACACACACACACACACACACACACACACACACATACATCATTAGCCTATAAAGTTGGATTCTGTTTTTTTTTTTTGAGACAGGGTCTCCCTCTGTTGCCCAGGCTGGAGTGCAATGGCGTGATCTCTGCTCACTGCAACCTCTGTTTTTCAGGCTCAAGTGACCCTTCTGCTTCGGCTTCCCATGTAGCTGGGACTACAGGCACAAGCCACCATGCCCAACTAATTTTTGGACTTTTTGCAGAGATGGAGTTTCACTGTGTTGCCCAGGCCGGTTTTGAACTCCTGAGCTCAAGTGATCCACCTGCCTCGGCCTCCCAAAGTGCTGGGATTACAGGTGTGAGCTACTGTGCTTGGCCAAAGTTGGATTCTTGTTGTGTTTAAAAATATTATCCATTTCTTTAAAGCATCTTTATCATATTTTAAGTAGGCCTCATGGTAATTCTAAACCATAATTTAGTCTTACTAACACTATTCCTATAGGCTCTTGCCTTTCTGATTTATTGAGCTGTAGTGTCTTCTTTCATCTTTTTCATATTTTTTTAGTTCATCAAAACCCTCATGACAATCATGTTAACTTCTTTAATTTTTTTTCCTGTATCTTTCTCCTTAGTATCATTTATGATCTTATACTTGGGTCAGGAAGGGATGGAATGGTATTAAGAGTGGAGGTGGTTGGCCAGGTGTGGTGGCTCATGCCTGTAATCCCAGCACTTTGGGAGTCCGAGGTGAGTGGATCACCTGAGGTCAGGAGTTCAAGACCAGCCTGACCAACATGTAGAAACCCCATCTCTACTAAAAATACAAAATTAGCCGGGTGTGGTGGCACATGCCTGTAATCCCAGCTACTCAGGAGGCTTAGGCAGGAGAATCACTTGAACCTGGGAGGCGGAGGTTGCGGTAAGCTGAGATCATGCCATTGCACTCCAGCCTGGGCAACAAGAGTGAAACTCCATTTCAAAAAAAAAAAAAAAGTAGAGGTGGTTAAGTGCTATGATTTGAATGTGCCCCCTAAAGTTCAAGAGTTGAAAACTTGACCCCCAATACAACAGTGTTGAGTGGTGAGGCCTAATGAGAGGTGATAAGGCCAGGAGGGCTCTCTCCTCATGAATGGATTAATGCCATTATCACAGGAGTGGGTTTATTATCAGAGGAATGGGTTTCTTATAAAAGGATAACTTTGGCCTCCTGTCTCTTTCTCACCCTCTCTTTGCCCTTCCACCATGGAATGATATAATAAAAGACCCTTGCCAGATGCTGGCCCTTTGAACTGTGATTTCCCATCTTCCAGAACTGTGAACCATTTAATTCCTGTTTATTATAAATTACCCACTCTCAGGCACTCTGTTATAGCAGCACACAAGGACTAAGACATTAACTTTTGGATTTTAAAGTGTTTCCCTGAAGACAGCATAATGTCAACAAAGCAAGTAATTAAGCTGGGTAGGTGCTGACTGCGAGTGAAGAGAATGCCAAGTTGTTAATGCAGCAAGTCATTAAGCAAAGTGACTACCAAACTCAATAAAGCAAGATTTGCCCTGGATAAGCTAACCTGGGATAAAACAAAGTTGACGGCATTAGACAAACTTTCACCCAGGGAAAAGGTTAGAAACAAAGGATAACTCAGTCTCAGGGTTGGAGACCTGGAAGTGATGTCAAAAGATCATTGGATCCCTGCCTCATCTTTAAAGATTTGATTGACTGACTCTTCTGGCCTATATGCCTGGTCCATTCTATTTTTCATAGTTAATTAAAACAGACATATAACTTATTTTTAAAAGTAGTTTACGCCAATGTTCAATGCTTCTAAATTGTTCTTTCTTGTGTCCAGATGAAGGTTCTCTCAAATTTAAAATTATTTTTCTTTGGTGAAACTATCTGCTTTCTTGAAAAAAATTGCTTATCCGCATTTTCATGAAAGGGATTAAGCCAACAGGTTCTGGAGCCAGACTGCCTGGGGTAAGAATGCCAACTCAATCACTTGGGCCTATGGCTTCTTAACCACTTTCTTAACCTGCCTGAATTTCCTCATTGGTAAAATGGAAATATTATACTACCAGTTAGCTACCTCAGGGTGTTGCTGTGAGGATTAAATGGGGTAATGCATTTAAAGCTCTTACTTACTACTGATAGGTGATAAGTACTCCATAATGGTAATAATAACAATAATAATTGTTGGGTTTTTTTGAATGTTCTTTATTCTCCAATCTTACCTTGTATGCCAAATATTTTGCTATATACTATATACATATATATTTTACTATATATATATTTTACTATATATATATATATAGTTATTAAATACTTCCTATATTTGAAGGTAGTAATTGAACCCGTCAGTTGTCTTCTGCTGAGCATTAAAGAACTAAAATTCTCCTTTGAAAACTTTAGAGTTATCTAATTTTATCCCTGGACAATTGGTCTGAGGTTATTTAACATAGTAGTGGACATCCCTATACACTCAAAAGACTAAGAAATAGGCTGTATTACAGCATTTAAAAAATAACAAAGACCATGAATCATGAAAAGAAAGGCTGATGATAGTATATTCAAATTTTTCTGAATTTAAAGAAGACTTCATCCAAGATATATTTTTTTAAACCAACTCTAAAAGGGAAAATCAGCAATTACTCAAGTCCTGAGAATACAGTAGTGAGAAATAATACATGTATTCCTTGCTTTCATATTGCTTATAGTGTGGTGGGAGAGGCAGATATTAATCAAATAGACATAAAAAGAGGGCCTAATTAATAAGTGAGACAAATGCTATAAAGAAATGAAGCATGTTTCTGTATGTGTAAATTCAAAAGAAGAATGACCTCACTAGGTTTCCCTGAGGAAGTGACACTGAACAGAAACCTAAGGATTGACTAAGCAATAACCAGGGCCAATGAACAGGGCAGTTAGACATTGGGAGCAGCTGTAGAAGAGAGCTGTTCTGCCTGAAGGGGCTTTTAGGGGGAAAGAGTTTCAGACAAAAAGAGGATCAGAAAGAAAGGCAGCCCGACTAGGGAGCTGACACCAGGGGAGGAGAACCACTAGATAAAACCAGAGAAGGAATAAGGCCAATCCCTGCAGGCTTTTACAGGCCTTGCTAATGATTGTCACTCTTATTCATAGGAAACTTAGAGATTTTAGGCAGGTTGTGTAGAATATGATCTGGCTTGTATTTTGCAAAGGTGTCTATGACTGCAGTTTGGGGAATGGGCCAGTGAGTTGCTGAAAGAGATCAGTTAGGAGGCAATGGTAAAAGTCTAGGAGAGACGTGCTAGTAACTTGGACTAGGATCTTCATAGTAGAGATGAAAAGAAGTAAACGTGTCATAAACATTCATGACAGAACTTAGTGATGGGTAGATAAAGAGGCTGAAGAAGAAGGTGTTAGAATGACTCCTACATTTCTGATATGAGTAATTAAAAGGATAGTGACCATCTTATTACATGGTAATAAGAGAACACTGTAGCATCCAGAGTTTGAATGCAAGATTAACAATTTTACTTTGGACATTTTGAGTTTCATATAATTAGAAGATTTCTGGTAAGCACAGAATCAAAACAAAAAAAAAAATGATGGAGGTCTTGATGGATGTTTCAACCAAACTGTGGTCAACATATTTCTTTAGTGACTGCATTTGTGTTTGTTAGTTTTAGTACCTGTCTTTCTAGAAGAGTTAGAATAAACATTGCCAACTTTCTTATAACATAGAGAGTAATAATAGCGCAGGATCTGGGATGTTAGACTGAACACATACATTCGAATCTCTTTCCTTCTGAACCCAGTTGAGAGAACAATGAAATAATTGTTAACAAAACATAAATGCACAAGGACAAAGGGAATGAGATAGGAGACAACAGCAATAAAACTTTAGAAACTGGGAAGCAGACAGACAAGTAGTAACTGAATTAAGACAACCAAAAAAGCTGAATCTTCAGCTTGACGATAACCAACCCAGCTTACATTATAGAACCCCCCAAATTGGATCACATAGCTGGGTGTGGTGTTGCATGCTTGTAGTCCCAACTTCTTAGGCGGCTGAGGTGGAAAGATCACTTGAGCTTAGGAGTTCAAGGCTGCAGTGCTTTTGATCACACCTATGTAGAGCCACTGCATTTCAGCCTGGGCAACATAGAGAGACCTGTTTTTTTTTTTGTTTTGTCTTTTTCTTTTTTTTTTTTTTTTAAAAAAAGAAGCACAGATATCTTAGGAACTAGGAATGAGGGTGGTGCTTAAACATGGGATTTGGTGAGACCTCTTTGTAAGAAGCTGATGGATACCGAATTCCCCATTCCTATTCTTTTCAGGTGGGAGACTGCCTCTTCTTTTGGTGCCAAGAACAAATACAGGGACTCTGGACTGGGGTTACCAGGAAAGGATGTAGGCTACAATATTGCAGGCTGGGGATTAAGTATGTATTTATAAGTTGTATACTGAAACTTCCTCAATCTTTTTCCTTCACTTAGCTCCCAGAACACCGTTAGCCAGGCTTATGTTTTCTTAGCAGAAGGCTGGAAATATTGTCTGGGCAATCTTATCAACCTGAAAGAAAAGACACTGACAGTGGCCCAGTATGTTGGCCTATGTCACATCATCCTGTAGCAAACCCAATGGAGAGTCCCCTCATGCATACAAAACATCCTCTTTTCAATGCTTCATTCTTAAAATAAAACTAGACAGCTAGGAATCACTAGATATTTGAGGAAATCCTATTAACAAAAGATAGAGACCAAACCAAACCAAACAAACAGAAGAAAACAACTTGAAGGAAACAAGCTCTGCCAACAGAACAATAAGAAAATATATAAAATAACAGGATTATCTATAAAAGGAATATTCAGTGAGCTCAAAAGAAACCTAAATGTTAAAAATATGACATTAAAAATAAGACGTTTAATGTAAGAGATAAAAGATAAAGAAATCTCCTAGGAAGTAGAACAAAAAGGCTAATAAGGATAATTGAGGAGAAAGGCTGTATGAAAATTAGAGGATCAGTCCTGATGATCCAACATGTAATAATAGTATTACTAAAAGAAGAGAACAGAGGGTAGGAAATTATCAAAAATTTGTAACATTGAAATCTTACAATCTCAGTTTTCAGGTTGAAGGGCTCACCAACTACCAGAATGATGGGGAGAAATTTATGTTCACCTGAGAGTATCATCATAAAACTGTCATTGATATATCCTCAATACCTAGAATAGTGCCTGGCACATAGTAGTCACTGTGTAAATTTGTACTAAAGAATTTAAACATTCAGCACAAGAGGGACAAAAAGATGAGACTACAAACTTCCAGAATAAAACAGGTTTAATATATAAAATGAAGAATCAGAGTGTCATCTGTCTTCTCAATAGCAACACCTAAATCTAAAAGAGCAGTGCTTTCAAAATTCACAGGAAGAGACTTCTACACCTTGAAAGAGTATTGTGTAGACTGAAGATATTTTCAAATTTATAAGGTGTCTTAGTCCATTTTCTATTGCTATGAGTAAATACTATAGACTGAGTAATTTATAAAAAATAAAGTTTTATTTAGCTCATGATTCTGGAGGCTGGGAAATACAAAAGCACAGCACTCGTATCTGGTGAGGGCCTTCTTGCTGCATCACAGCATGACAAGAACATCACATAGCAGTAGGGCAAAAGCATGTCAGCTCAGGTCTCTCTTCCTCTTTTTATAAAGCCACCACTCCCATCATGGGGGCTCCATCCTGATGACCTTATCTAACCCTAATTACCACCCAAAGGCCCCACCTCCAAATACCATCAGCATATAAATTTGAAGATTAGGTTTCCAACATGTGAATTTGAGGGACACAGTCAAATCATAGCATAAAGCCTCAAAACATTTATTTCCTTTGCACTCTTTTTCGAGAAGCTACTGAGTTATGTTCTTCACTAGGAAACAAGCCGAGAAAGAGGAAGACATAGGAATCAGGAAACAAGATCCAAGACTAGAAATGACCAGGAGAGTCCCCAGGAGTATGACGAAGGCAGCCTCCATCAGCTGGGCGGGGTGGGGGAGAAAGTAGTTGCCTCTAGGGCATGAAAAATGGAAGATAGGAACTAGGGATGGTTGTTTTCCAAGCAAACCTTGTAGAAAAATATTTGATTTTTAATGCTGAAGAGCATCTTATCCAGATAGAAGCAAGTCAGATTTCCTTGAGAAGATGAAGTTGTTAAGTCCTAATGCATTTGAATATATTAAAAGGAGATTTCTACAATTGAGGTGGAGTTTGAATTAGTAATAAATACAAAGAAAACTAAGTGAAAAGCAATAAGATAACTAAGACAATACTTCCAAAAAGTAAGACAAAAGTGGATCCCCTAGGCCGGGCGCGGTGGCTCATGCCTATAATCCCAGCACTTTGGGAGGCTGGGGTGGGTGGACCAGCCTGGCCAACATAGTGAAACCCTATCTCTACTAAAAATACAAAAGATTAGTTGGGTGTGGTGGCGGGTGCCTGTAATCCCAGCTACTCAGGAGGCTGAGGCAGGAGAATCACTTAAACCTGGGAGGTGGGCATTGCAGTAAGCTGAGATTGTGCCACTGCACTCCAGCCTGGGCAACAGAGTGAGACTCTGTCAAAAAAAAAAAAAAAAAAAGTAGATTGTGTAGGAAAGAAAAAAGGAGGTTGTGTAGAAAAGAAAAGATCACTGTCATCTACAGGTATCAGCTATGAATAGCATTTGCCTCTTCACAGTAATGTGAACAACACTCACTATTAGATATAATAAAAATCATAGTATGAATATATTGGAAGAATGGGCAGAGAGGCAAGTGCTCATGGTGGGAGTGGGGAATGAGGGAGAAACACTGCTAATTCCTCACTTTCTAGAGTGAGATAACAATAGAGAATGTCTAAAATGGGAAATCCACAAAGTAACAATTCAAGCATATTACCTAGCAAAATTGAGGGAAAGACCTTAAAAATTAGCTGGGTGGGGTGGGGAGTGAAACTAGTTGCCTCTAGGGGGTGAGAAATGGAAGGCAGGAGCTAGAGATGGTTGTTTTCAAAACAAACCTTATGGAACTATTTGATTCTTCACATTATATGTGTGTATAACTTTAGCAAAAATAAAGTATAATTTAAAAAAATCAGGCTCTGGAAGTATACTGCTGGGGTACAGATACAATTCCTAACACTTACTAGTTTTATGATATTAGATAATTAACTTATTTAAGGATCAGTTTCCTCCTAGAAAAATGGGAATAATAATGTTAGGGAGATTGAGAGGATTAAATAAAATAAAGTCTGTAAAGCCTTGACCCATTCCTGGTCTACATTTTGGCCTTTTGGGGCTTCCTTTTTGTTTTACTTCTTGCCAATCTGACTGATTTTATTCACTGTCTTTCCCCCGGTTATCAAATTAACATCACATTTCAGATCAAATCAGCTTCCCAAATGTTATACCCAATTCACTTTCCTTAGAATTCTGTGTGCTCTCAAATATGTTGAAAGATTATACCAATATCTTGCTGAGTGTCAAAAGCAGATAGACAGGTTCCTATCTGTATGTAGATGATCAATTCTTCCAGAATATATTTGGAGATATATTCACTATGAATTATGAGTAAGCCAATCCTCACTTTGTTTTTATTGTCTAGATTTGTAAAAGTAAGATGAAAATTTAGTAATATTTGATCAGGAAAAAAGACTTGTTTTAAAAACTGCTCTTCCATCATAAATTGACAATTTTATTATTAATTTCTGAAGGTGGCTTTCTCATCTATTTTGTGAACTTTACTAGTTTTAAGAGTCAATGT
Organism: Homo sapiens; assembly: GCF_000001405.40. Classification (NCBI taxonomy): domain Eukaryota; kingdom Metazoa; phylum Chordata; class Mammalia; order Primates; family Hominidae; genus Homo; species Homo sapiens. Next base: position 191,655,988 of record NC_000002.12, read on the forward strand.
ATTTCCAAGTTTTTGGTGTCACTTCACTGTTCCTCCGCCAACAAAGCAACATTCACAGCCAGCCTTCCTGGTACATAAATTACTCCAATTTGCCAATACAGAAATTGAGGCCTGCTGGCTTGTCTGAAAGTCACAAGGAGAAAGTGTCAGGGTTTGGACTCAAGTTCAAGTTTTCTCATTTAAGCTGAGTGTTCTTTCTACCATGTAAGCTAAGTGCCCATAAGTGAGTGACAATCTCTCTAGTCTCAAATTTTTGATATGAAGGTATGGAGTAGATGATATTTAAACTCCTATCAGTCCTAACATCCCATAAATTACTGAGATAGAGGACAAGATTAAACTTGTATTACTATCAATATTTATTCCTTCCATATAGAGACTATGGATTCTACTAAGTGCCAAAAAGTTAATATGATTATGAAGTCCAGTTTACTTGCATGTAATTTTTATTCTCTGTCTTATTTGTAAATACCAAGGTTCAAAATGGCTTTGGATTTTATTTTCACTTTTGCAATCATTTGGGAATTTTATCAAGGCTGAACAAGAGATTTGGAAATTCATAATGCATTTCCCAAGAAGCTGCAAGATTGTGAAATTCATGGGGCTCTAACCTTTCTGAGAGAATGGGAGCTGACTGGACAAGACAGCTCATTTCCAGTAATGTTGCTGGGTAATTCTCTGGAAATAAAGGTGAGGCCATAGTAATCACAGCCCAGTTGTGTGCTTCTGGTTAGAGCCTATATTCAGGGGCTATAGTGGGATACCACACAGCCTTTTTTTTTCTCCCTCAGCCCTGGACATTCACTCAGCAAGGTATACTCAGTCATCTAGGAGAGGCCATAAGTGATACAGCCCAAACTAGTGCCCCATGGAAGCAAAGAAGGTACAAAAACCAAATTGCTGCCAATGATAAAGTTTCAAACTAGATACAGATCAGAGACAGAGTGAGATTGCCTTTTGCCTACCTCTTGGCTAAATTGTGTGTAATTAACTGTGTGACCCACTTCTTCAGGCATTCCATGCCACTTGCCAACCACTTGCAGCAACTGGGCAGAGATCTTCTTCAGTCTGAGTGGTTTTAGGTCTTGATAAGTGATAACTCATATCTAATGATTAAAGACCCAGGATCAAAATCTCCAAAAAATAATTTTGAAAAGCAAATGTCTATTAAACTGATCTTAGAGTTGATTATATTTAAAGTGGGATAATCTCAAACACCCTTCATAAGTACCTAAATGCAACTTCTGAAGGCTATCTAATGCATTGATTGGAAGTTTCTGATCCTTGAGCATGCCACTACTTAATGAACCATTAGTTAAATGTTATTATTATCAATACTTTGGAGAATCAAACAAAACCATTCTGGCCTTTGTTTTCCCACATGTTCATATCAGAGATTTATAACTGGAAGATGGGTAATAATGGTGATTATATTCCAGATACTACTCTGAGGCCAACTAAACTTTTACTGTGTATCAACCTTGCCTTTAAGTGCCCCCTTTTTAGCAGTACTCTGTCCCCACCTTCTAACGTATCTGCAGAGCTCTTCCTGTCCTCTCCTCATGAAGATTTTATCCTGGAAAGAATATGACAAAATTTATCAGAACGATGTGTAAAAGACTGGTCTGTTTACTGTGTTCCCTCTTGCAGGGATATTTTCATTTTAGTCACCCTTAGAAGAAATGAGAGAGTCTGACATCAAGGTTAACTTTGGGTTATAGAGTGGAAGAGGAAGGGATGAGCTTCCTGTAGACCCTCGTAATACATCTACAAATGACTGAAATTTAGAATCATGAAAAAGATTTCTAGATTAAATCTGCAAATGAATCAACTTTAGAATTGTGAAAAAGAATCATGAAAAGAGTGCTTTTAAAGCTGTTAGCAGAGCACATAGTGAATGCTCAATAAATGTTAGTGTTTTAATTATAATGTTATCATTATGGGTCCCACTACTGAGCTCCTGAGGGCACTGACTGAATGGAGCATTCATTGATAAGTCCCAGGTGATGGTATAATCCACATTCAGATCTTGTTCAGAGCACATTGGCTTCTGCCCTGGACTGGTAACTAGAAAAGAATGCATTTAGCTTTCCTGACCCTTGCTAATGGGAGCCAGCTGGAATACCCTGAGTATTACAATTTTAAGAACTCAGACAGAAAATTTTTACAAAACTTTGGATGTATACAAGTTTCCCTGGAGAGGGCCACAAACCTAGAGACTTTGCTGAGTTGTCAAGTTGAATTGAAAGGATCCCAAGGCCAGTGAGTAAGTTGCCATGCTACTAAGCAAGGCCAGGCAACCTCCTGGCATGTCTCATCTTCCTGGTATTGTTATCAACTTGTTTCACATTCAGTCAATGGTATTATTTTGTTATGTGTCCTCCAATTGCTAGTTCTGGTAATCCAAGTAAAGCTCTAAGAAAGTGATTGTTCTTAGTGAGACAATAGAGTTTTAGTGTAAATTAGTGTGTGAAATATATAATATGAAGTTGGTTTTGATCTGTGACTTGAATGAGTCTTTTATATTAAACAAACAAAGATTAGTGCAAGTTATTTTGTGAGTATTCTCACCCAGTGCAAAACTTGTTCTTGGAGTGAAAATAAAATTTTGGTGAGAGATGGAAAGGCAATAGTTTGTTCTATAGATATCCTCCTGGGAACGTGGGTAAAATGACATATGTCTCAGCTTATACATTGCAGCACTTTTTAGAGTTTATAATATCAAAAAATTGGAAATAACTCAAATGTTCATTAATGGGGGATTAATTGGATAAATTACAGTAAATCCATCAATGGAATAACATGAAGAAATAAAACAGAATGAGCAAGCTCTCTCAATATCACTATGGAAAGAGCAATAAGATATAAAGACAGAAAGCAAGGTGAAGAAGAGCATTGTAAAAAGAAGTGGATGAAAGAATATATACATATGTACACATTTGCACAAATTATCTCTGGAAGAATGCACAAGAAAATGGTAACTTGGTGGTAGAGAGGAATGGAAATTACTAGGGAACACAGGTAGTACAGGGAAATCTCACTATATATACTTGGGTCTTTTGAATTTTTAATCTTGTGAATGCATTTTATTCTCTAAAAAATGAGATTAATTTTTTTAAAGAAAAGGAAGTAATCTGTGGGGTTTAAATTTATGCATAGGAAACAACATGTCTATCAATAGAATGGAAAGAAAACCAAGAAATCATATAAAATTTTTCTGTTTTTCTGAATCTTGGAAATTTTTAAAGTTTCTAGAAATACCCTCTAGAAATGTCAAACAATTATTGTGTCATGAACATCTCTGGCTATTCATGATTAGTTATATTTGTGAGTGTCCTATTGGAGAATAATAAGGAAAAGCTGATTGCTTAATTAGGATTCTTTTCCCCATAGTATATCTTAGTAGATCCCTCATCAGAAAATCATGGTAGTGAATATGGTGATTGACTTGTCAACATCCATTAAACTTCACCCTTAAGGTTAGCTGGCATATAGTTGGGTTGCTAGTGGTTGGCCTGGATTAATTAAGTCAATCACAGCAATTCCATTTTCCTTGCCAATGTTTACTTGGTTCAGGAATGGGTAAACTAAACCAACCTAGAAAGGACATTAAATAAAAACTAAGGGAATCCTTTAGTTAATAATGTATTGGTTCATTAGTTATAACAAATGTTTCATACTAATGTAGGATACTAATAGGAGGGGCAACTGAATGAGGAGTATATTGAGAACTCTGTATTCTCTTTCATTTTTTCTGTAAATTTAAAGCTGTCCTAAATAAAAATTTATATAAAAAGAGACTAAAACCAGAAGTGTTAATTGTCACCAATTTCTCTATATTTTCAAATTAAGAAGAAATTCTTTACTTTTTAAAGATTATTCAGTTTAAAAATTTTTTCCCTCTTTATAATTAAACTATTTCCAGCTTCGTTCTTTGTTTTAATTTTTTTGCTAGTCATCCAAAATTACTTCTTCCATGTTACCTTGAAAATTAGACTATTGGTTCATAGGGCCAATCTAATTAACTTAAACTATCTATCTTCTATTCCAAAATTTTTTGTGAATTATTCACAATTTTAGTTCAGAGTTTTCCATCCTATTATTCTATCATGGTATAAAAACAAATAAGAAACACAGTGCAAATACAATTGATGAAAAGCATATAAACCTTTTTCATCAATTAAGTTTATGTATTCTTTGAACTAATTTAATGCAGGAAACATACTGATAAAATGATGTAGACTGAGAAGGTGGTTAACTTTCTTAACTTGGATATTCTTCATTTATCTGTCTTTTTGGGTCAATAAGAATCCTAATCTTTGATTCTGGCAAAGTTCAGAAACTCATTTTTACCAGTTTTTTTTTAGATATGATCAGATCTACTTAAGAGCTTCATACCAATTATAAATTCATTGTGTGGTGATTTTAAATCCAGCATATTAAACTGTTAACTTACAATTTGGCCATATTTTCACAGCAACTGTTATCGGTTTTTCTTCATAGTTGTTCTCAGTTATTATGGTACTTAGAAAATGGTATTTGTGATGAGATTCCTTGACGGATAATAGGTCAGGGCAAGGGGAATTTACTCACTTGAGTAAATGGGGCAGGGTCAGCAGATCCCCTTGCACTTATACAAGGTAGGCTTTCCAGTATCTGCTAGACATTGAATCTCTCTTCCTGGGACAACACTAGATACTGATTGACAAAAGTTCTCTTCCAGAGGTCAGATCAGCATGCTTTTTCTGCAAAGGGTCAAATAGTAAATATTTTGAATTCTGTGGATCATGTGGTTTCTCTCACAACTACTCAACTCTGCCCTCGTAGACTGGAAGCAGCCTTAGGTTATTTGGCAAGCAAGTTTGGGGCTATAATTTGCTGATCCCTGTTTAAATCTTTTTTTTTTTTTTTTAAATTTTAATCTTCAAGCAGATCACTCCATTTTAGGGATGAATTCCAGGATAGCTTACATTTAGTTAGAACTGTTTGTAGCTAGTGATGTGATCACATGGTCTTTTATATCAAGTGGTAGAGGCACAGACTTTGGAGCTGGAGAAACATGGTTGGAATTTCAGCTCTCCTCAGCAATAGGTGTGCAGCCTGGAGCTTCCTTCTCCAAGCTTCCTTTTCTCATCTGTGGAATGTGGATGATGACCTCTATGATAGAAGGGTGCTGTGATGATTAAATGAGAGCGTATGTTAAGAGCCTGGCACAAAGAAAATGTTCAAAAAATATTGGTTTCCTTCTCTAACTCTGCAACAACATTCTCTCTACACACATGTGAGAACTGGCCAACACCTCAACCTCATCAACACACATTTGCAAGCCCTCTCTCAGATGGCTGACCTAGGAAATTCAAAATTAATTCAAATGAGCTTGAATTTCACGGTCCTATTTTTAAAAATCTCTTTTCAGTTTTGGGGAATCCATTTTGTGTAGTTCAGTTCTTGCAACCTCTTGCATGTTGAAAACAATAGCCACCACAACCACAATATGTGATGAAAGCATTTAACCAAAGGCCTTGATTCTGATAACTCTCAGGGAGATAAAGGAAACCTATACACTATCAGATTTTAAAGGGTCACTACTCAAAAGAAATCACATGGAAATAGTAACAAATTTAGATTTTATTTGATGTTTGCCATGACCATGTCTAAGCTTTTAGAATTGGTTTTATTATAAAATTGCTTGGGGAATTCACTTTCAGTGTCATAGTAGTGGGTTGTGAAATCAATATTACTTGAAATATTTCCCCTTTGAAAAGTTTAACTTAAAAATATGCATACACATGTAAGCCACTAGAGGTAGAAAGTACTTTCACAGCAGGAGAATAATTGTGTGTGTTTACTTACTTGTATAAACATACTTAGACACTATAGAGTTAAATATATTTAGCATCAGACTTTTTAAGTTGGGGGATATTTAAGTTCTGCCATAATTTTTAAGAAAATAATTTGCTTCCTCACTAGGGAAATTGTTATAATCAATGCTAACACAGCTATTTAACATGAGTAAAGTAACGGTATCTTCAAAGAACTAGGGTGTACAAAAGCAATATAATTTGGAGAAATAAAAAGTACCCCAATAGATGAGAGATATTATTGTCTCAAGCATGAGAATTGAAAATTGGGTGTCTTGGTCATGGAGCCTTGTCCTTGATTCCTGGTGTCATAACTCTTCAATATGTGATTCATTGGATTTGTTTCTTGGTTCGTTCATCCATTCATTTCCTTGATACACATTTAGTAAAGACTTACCACTTGTGAAGCACTATGCTAAGTGCTAGGAACATAATTTATTCTGAGACAGACACATAAATTGTCAATTACAATATGTTTTATATGTGCTACTATAGAAATATGTACCAAGAACTGAGAGTAGTCCAGAAATAAAGATTCATTCTAAAGGGGCTAGACAAGACTGTATGGGGAAGAAATGGTCAGAGAGGCTTCATCGAGAATGCAAATGACTCGAGCTGGGTAAAGAAGCTCTTCAGAGTTTTTTGAGAATGACAAGGCCAAGAATTCTAAACAGGGTAAACTACATGATCAAAATCAAAGAAGCATAGAAGTGCACTTTGAATGTACTTGTGAGTAGTTTGATGTAGCTGGAGCAGGGGCTTTATGGAGTGGGGTGAGGGGAGGTTTTATGCCATACTATAAATCTTGGTCCTTTATCCAGTTGGCCAGTGATCCTTTGGCTACAATTCTAGTTTTTCTCTATAACATCTATATTTCAATGGCTAAAACCCTAGGTGTATTAGTGAAGTGTTTTTAGGTTTCAAGGAGCACAAATATGCCTCTGACTTTCGGTGATTTCAACTTATTCTAAGGATATGAGTACATTAGGAAGCAAGTATAGGAAACATTTTAATGGAATAATCAGGCCTCATGTGAAGCTGAAGCATTGTTCATTGATCTCCAGAATCATATATTAATAGCAACTCTGATATCCTAACAGCAATAATAGGGGTTGTCGTCCCACTGACTTCTCTCCTTGCTTCTTCCTCCTTCTGTTACTATTGTACTCTCTCTGTCTCAGTTTATCTGGTTCATGGTTTCTATTTACTCATTGCATCTACTAACTTATGAGCCTGGTTAGTCTCTGCTTAGTTTCCTGATTCCTACTCCACTTTGCTTTGTGCCTCCCTCCCTGTGTACTTTTGTTCAGGAAAGAATTAGCAATAGGCCCAAGACTGCTATTCCTAGAAATCTCCTTGCAAGGTTGGCTATTGATGGGTATCTGGAAATGTAGGTTTCAGCAGGGTTCTGGCCATTCCCTAAATGATAAGAGTGGCCCACTGTGTCTAAACTGTTAGTATAAACAGCATAGTTTATGCTCACCACCATGCTTTCCTTCTGGCAGTCAGGGCTTTGGTATATGCCAGGAAAAGGGTGCCTCTGTGACAAGCCCTCAATAAAAACCTTGAGCTTCCCTGGTAGGCAGTATTTCATACTGGTTGCCACACTTGATGTAGAGGACTAAAGTGCCTCTTTTTATTATTATTATTATTCTACTTTAAGTTTTAGGGTACATGTGCACAATGTGCAGGTTAGTTACATATGTATACATATGACATGCTGGTGCGCTGCACCCACTAACTCGTCATCTAGCATTAGGTATATCTCCCAATGCTATCCCTCCCCCCTCCCCCCACCCCACAACAGTCCCCAGAGTGTGATGTTCCCCTTCCTGTGTCCATGTGTTCTCATTGTTCAATTCCCACCTATGAGTGAGAATATGCAGTGTTTGGTTTTTTGTTCTTGCGATAGTTTACTGAGAATGATGATTTCCAACTTCATCCATGTCCCTACAAAGGACATGAACTCATCATTTTTTATGGCTGCATAGTATTCCATGGTGTATATGTGCCACATTTTCTTAATCCAGTCTATCATTGTTGGACATTTGGGTTGGTTCCAAGTCTGCTATTGTAAATAGTGCCGCAATAAACATGTGTGCATGTGTCGTTATAGCAGCATGATTTATAGTCCTTTGGGTATATACCCAGTAATGGGATGGCTGGGTCAAATGGTATTTCTAGTTCTAGATCCCTGAGGAATCGCCACACTGACTTCCACAATGGTTGAACTAGTTTACAGTCCCACCAACAGTGTAAAAGTGTTCCTATTTCTCCACATCCTCTCCAGCACCTGTTGTTTCCTGACTTTTTAATGATCGCCATTCTAACTGGTGTGAGATGATATCTCATTGTGGTTTTGATTTGCATTTCTCTGATGGCCAGTGATGGTGAGCATTTTTTCATGTGTTTTTTGGCTGCATAAATGTCTTCTTTTGAGAAGTGTCTGTTCATGTCTGTTAAAGTGCCTCTTGTGTGACTCCACTAGGAGAGGACCCTTAGAGGCTTGCAACTGGTTTCTTCAGACTTTGCCTTATATGCCTTTCCCTTTGCTGAATTTGCTCTGTATCCTGTCACTGTCACGGCTATAAGTAGGACTATATGTTGAGTCCTGTGAGTCCTCCTAGCAAATCATTGAACCTGGTAGGTGGTCTTGAGGACCCCTACACAGCTTTGCTTTGGGATTCTTAGAATATCTTATTCACAGCACATTACCTGGCCTTTACTAAGCTTGATCCCTGGCTATCTCTTCATTCTCATCTGATACCCCTCTTCTCATTCTAATTATGCTGGATTCCTTGTTGTTCCTCAAACTTTCCAAGAATGCTCCTGCTTTGAAACTTTGTGTTTGCATTTCCCTCTGCCTGTGCTTTCTTTTCACAGATATCTACGTGATTTGTTCCCTCACCTCCTTCATATCTTCATTCTTATCTACTCTTTTTTCCATAGTAATAGAACCACTGATTTTTGGCTGGGGACACAGCCACCAGAAAGCCACCTTCCTGATCCCCCTTGATGATAGGTGTGTATACATGAGTAAATGCAAGCCAATGGGATATGAAGAAGTTGGGTGTGCAACTTTCAGGAAACATCCCAAATTAGAGTGGGCTCTCTTTTCCCTTACCTTTTTCCTTTCTATTGAGTGAAATGGGATGTATGATGCTTGGAGTCTTGGCAGCCATTTTGAATAATGAGGCAACCTTGGAAATGGAAAGTACAGTCAATGGAGCTACAAGATAGAATAGGCTTGATAATGTGGAGGCCAATACCAAACCCCTAGAATCTACCTCTGTACTTTAACAAGAGCCAGAAATAAACTTCTATTTATGCCCAGCCAATTGGGGTTTTCTCTCACTTTAAGTTAGTACTAATCCTAACTAATAGAAGTACTTATCTCCAGTCTGACTTCTTGAAGCCAGGAGGCAGAATTATATGGTACAAAGCAAGGTACCCTATGAACTGCACTTTGTTTTAAAGGAAGTTGTGGGCATGACAGGAAGGCTGGAAGATAGAATGTTATCATGTGGGAAATGTCAGTTGTGGAAAAGCATTACAGTGATGACTCCTTCTCCCACAACCCAAATGAATCACACTTCCTTGTGTCCACATGCTTCTTTGCAATATGATGTTGCTGCTCCTCCCATCTAAAGGCAGAGGTTACCTGACCATCTCCTTGAATCTGGTTTGAGCTGGTGACTGGCTTTGACCAACAGAATATGACAAATATGACATTATGCTAGTTCCAGAGTCTAGGCCTTTAGAGACCTTGCAGCTGTGGTGCAACCATGTAAACAATACCATGGGAGTCCAGAGGTGGGAGGATCTAACTGGGTATAGAGAAGGAGATGATGGTGGGTCCAGTGAGGAGAGTTTACAAAACCTATCCTTGAGGTGAGATACCATCTTCGATGTTAAAGGAGGAGTAAGGATAGTACTGGCTTCTCTGCTGACCCTCTGTGCTTGGTTGTCACATGGAGCATTAGTTCCCAGATAAAGATTTCAAGAATCAGTAAAATCTCAACAACACACACACACACACACACACATAAATTGGGGAATGGGTATACTGATGTATTGTTGCTAATACTCTGTTTTAACTTTTTTTTTAAGAAAGGACATTGGAAATGCTATCTACCATCATCACCATCTCATTAAATATATTTTAACATAAAATAGGAGGAATATTATCTCATACTAAAGGACAAACCTTTAAACTGCATGCTTTCCTCCCTTGTCTTTGGTTTTTGTACTGTACATGTATAGTAGTCTTAGACCAGCATTTGGTGGCCATTAGCCTTTCAAGTTTTACCGGTTAGGTTAACAACACAATATTTGGTTTCTTCATATGGCAAAGACTTACAGTTTTCCTCTAAAATCCATACTTCCCTTTTCCCATAGAAATAAAGGCTACTCTAGGTACATGATTACTCATCTAGAGACTACATCTTTAGCCTCTTTCACAGCTAAATGTGACCACGCGATTAAGTTTTGGCTAATAGGATATGAGCTGAAGTAACATGTAAGCTGACAGTATGTGCAATTTCTGGGTCATTTGTACCTTTAAAAATAAGCTGTTTGCCTTGGCGTTCCTCTATTTTTCTTTTCCACAGATGGGAACCAGTGAGTGTGACCACAACCCACTAATGATATCACCTAAGGGAATGGTGGGTGGAAAATGGAAGGAATTCGAGTCCTTGAGTGACTTCATAGTCTCCCTGCAAATCTGCATTGCTCTTTTTGGGACTATAACATGAGGAAGAAATGAACTTCCATCTTATTTAAGCCTCTGCATATAGATGTACACTTCTTGGTGTTTCCTTTTTTGAATAGTTTAGGCTTTACCTTAATAAGCAAGAACTCAGCTTTCCCTTGCTTTTGCAGTGGTATTTGCCTACCAATTTCCCCTTCAAAGGTTCCACGCTACTCCTATTTATCCCACCCACATGGGATAGCTGAGCTACGAGGTCACCAGAGAAGGACATTTACATTTCCACTTAGGTGTGGAATTCCCCTAAATGGAGAAGGCCAGTTATCTTCTTACTGCTCTTGCACAGTTTCTTTCACTGTTCTCCACTTGTTCCTTTTGCCCTACTTAGGCTGCAGTTAAAGAAACGATCCCTTGGTGGTTTGGCTGCTCAACCAATGGGCATAGCTCACCCTCAGGACTTTCCATCTTGCCTAGCTCACTTCCTTTTTCTCCCTTCTGAGCATTGCCTCTTTTATTTTTCAGATGCTACATTATACACATTCCCTTTCAAATCATACAGACACTTTCAAACAATAGTTATTGAATATGTACTTTGTAAGGTAAAACATAAAATGAGAAACAGGAAAAGTACCTGACTTTTTGGTCTCCTTGGAATACACAAATAAAGAGGAAATTATAAATTAAAGTCAAAATTCCTGTAATTGGGATATGTACAGTGTGTTATGGGACTACGTAGGAGAGATGCCTGATCCAGTGTTGTACAAAAGGGATGTGGTCAACCATGTCAAGTGAAATAAAGGCATAAAAAGGTGAAATAAATGTGTACATTGGCTATAAAGAAACTGTACACCTATGAATAAAACATCATTTTAAAACTTCAAATAATTTCAGAGTATATAAAATTAAAAGTGAAAGTTCTTTCTCTCCCACATCTTAATCCCCATAGTGATTTGTTACTATTTGGTGTGTGTTCTTCCAGATATATAGTATGAAAATAGATATATTAATATATTGATATATATATAGTATGAAAATACATCTATATATAAATATATAGTATGAAAATGAATCTATACATCTATAGTAACATATATATCTATATTTATTATAGGTAGTAAATATCTATATTTACTATAGATATATATCTATAATAAAAACCAATTGATATATAGTTTTTTATTTTATAATAAGCTAATCATCGTATACTATTATTATGTAGCTTTTTTTGCATGTACTTGTTTCCTTATCAGTATATTGACCTAATTTATAAAATTACATATACTTCCCTATTAATAGTTCACTAACTTAATCTCTCTTTTATGACACTTAGGTTTCTTTTTCTTTCTTTCTTTCTTTCTTTCTTTCTTTCTTTCTTTCTTTCTTTCTTTCTTTCTTTCTTTCTTTCTTTCTTTCTTTCTCTTTTTTGACACGGAGTCTTGCTCTGTCGCCCAGGCTGGAGTGCAGTGGCACGATCTTTGCTCACTGCAACCTCCACCTCCCGGGTTCAAATGATTCTTCAGCCTCAGCCTCCCAAGTAGCTGGGACTATAGGCATGTGCCATCACGCCCGGCTAATTTTTGTATTTTTAGTAGAGACGGGGTTTCACCGTATTGGTCAGGCTGGTCTTGAAATCCTGACCTTGTGATCTGCCTGCCTCGGCCTCCCAAAGTGCTGGGATTACAGGCGTGAGTGGCCGTGCCCGGCCTCTTTCATTTTATCTCTTCTAAAATTGGTGTTTCAAGGAATATTCTATCCATTGGATTTAATTATAAATATTAAGAGAAAAAAACTACAAGTGGAAATTCTATACCTGCCCCAAATATGTGAGAAACAAGTTAGACATTTTTGCATATGTAAAGTATCAGAAGGTACCTTCTTCCTCTTTTCTTTCTGGGGAACTTACTTGAGGAATCACCATTCTAGCAAAATGAAAATCAAAGCAAAACTATGATTTCAAGGGGATTTAAAATATATTAAAAACGTGAATGAGTAATCAATCCAGTAAAATTTAAAAGACAGGAATACAGGATCATAGCTTGGTTCTTGAATGGGGAACTTGAATATTATAAAGAAATTGGTATGTCCCAAATTAGTGGGACATACCCTTCTTTCAATTCCAAACAAACCCTGAGAAAAGTCTGTTTTTAAATCATGACAAAATAGTCTAGGAAAATAAGGTAAGCAAGAATGATTAAAGAATGTTTATAAAAAAGGGGTCTGAAGGTTGATATTTGCCTTATCAATTATAAATTTACAATAGTTAGAGCATGTTAAATACTAAGAACAGACAGATAAATCAGATAAAAGTGATAAACTGGAACTCGAGTTTATAAAATAGAAAAAATAGACAATATTTTAAAAAATAAATCTGAGAAATTGTTTCTTCAATAAATAACATTGGACAAATAAAGTAACTTTTTGATGAATATTTTATTAGAGCTTTGCATCACAGCATACATAAGAGGTAAATATTTAGTCATAAAGAATTGAAGAAGGTATAGAAAAAAGTTTATATCATCTCATCATGAGGAAGGATTTCCTCAAACAAAAAAGCAATGGAAGACATCCTAGGAAAAGATAATAAATTTGACCATATAAATATACAAAGTTTCTACACTAAAAATACAGATAAAAGGAAAAGGCAAATCACAAGTGGGAAAGATGTGTACAACAAATGTTGCAAAAACCAGGATTACTATCATTTGTGAAAACTCTTGATACTGGTAAAATCCAACTCTCAGCCTGGTCTGTGCCTAAACTCTCACAGATGAACGTGTCTGAAGAAAAATACAAAACCATGTGCGTTGGTCAACTTTAAGTTAGCTGTTAACTTCCTTCATGTGAAACTTTAGTTGGCTTCTAAAATTGTAATAAATTTCCCCATTTAATACAGTCTCCCACATCCCCAATGACTATTTCTAACCTCTTCTTACACTTCAAACTTCCAGCATCTCCTCCCCATTCTCACTCTAAACTGATGATCTTGTTTATTTCATTGGGAATAGTAGCTATCAGAAAAGACCTTCCACACACTCTTACCATCATAGCAACTCAGCCTCCTGTTCCAGAAAATCCCTCTACGCTCCTATCCACCTCTCCACAGCAGCCCTAGCTCCCATCATCTCTCACCTACTCAAGGGCAAGAATTTGTTTTCAGCAATTTGACTTTTCCCTGTCTCTACTGAATCATGCCATTCAGCCTAGGGTCATGTTACTATTTTTTACATTAAAAAAAATCTCTTTTGTCCCACTTTACCCTCAAGTGATTAGCCCATTTCTCTGCTGTCCTTTGCAAAAAACCTCCTAGGAGGAGCTATATGCACTTACTTTCACATTTCCAATTTATGAACTTCTGTTCTCTCTTGAACTCAACTTATTTAGTCTTTCATCCTTCACCAACTTCATTGTCAAAGTCACCAATGATCTTCGTTTTTGCTAAACCCTGTAATCAATCCTGTTTCATCTCACTTGATCAGCAGCATTTGACACAACTGTCACCCCCTCTTCCCAGAAACATTTGATTCACTTGGCATCCAACACACCACTCACCTTGCTGTGTTCTTCCCATCTCACTTCTTATGTCTAAAATGATCCTCCTGATCTTTCCACATCCCCTAAACTGCTCCACTTGTATTCCTCCCCATTTCTGTTAATGACAACTCCATCTTACCAGTTGCTCAGACCCAAAATCTGGAGGTCATATTTGACTCATCTCATTCTCTCATGCTCCACTGCAGCCAGACAGTGGACCTGTTTGCTCTATCTTCTACATAGATTCAGATGCTGATCACATTATACCATTGTCACTGCTACCACCCCAGTGCAAGCCACCACTCATCACAAGTGGATTAATATGATGCCTCCTGATTTTCCTGCTTCCACCCTTGCTCCTTTTGCTCTCCACCCAACAGTCAGAGTGACTCTTTTAAGTCAGGTTAGCATGTCAAGTCTTTGCTTAAAACACTCCAATAGATTCCTGTCTCGAATTAAGAAGCCAAGATCAGCACAAAATCTTCATATATGATACCCCTGCCCTCTCCCCTGGTCCCTGCATCTTCTAAACTTTCTGCTTACTCACTGCTTCAGCTACAGCAGCTTTCTTGCTATTCCTGGAAAAAGCCAGAGATACTTGGGTCTTTTCAATGGCCCTCCCTATGTCTGGAGTGCCTTATACTAGATACCCACCTGGCTCCCTCCCTCCCCTTCTTTGTTTCTTTACTCAAATATCACCTTCCCTCACCACTTTCTACACTCCTACCTGCTAAATCCTCATCTCTTCCCCTGCTTTATTTTTCACTAATATATACTACATAATTTTACTTATTTATTTTATTGTCTATCTCTTTAGACTGTAAGCTCCATGAAGTCTGGGATTTTTGTATTTTTTTTTTTACTGATGTAGTCCCAGTGCTGGCATGTAGTAGTAGTTCAATAAAATTTTGTTGAATAAATTAATGAATTATGTTTAATGCATATATACAAAGGGAAAATGGAGTGCAAATCTCTTTTGAAATTCCTAAAATGTAATTTGATAATACATACCAGAAGTCTTAAATATATACTTAATAATTTCACTCCTAGAAATATATCAATGCAGGATTTCCCTAACTAATATAAAGGAAACATTGCTCCAGCATATTAATAGGTATTTGGAAAACAAAGAAAATTATTTAAAAAAAAATCTTAGCCTGGTTTTCAGACTTGGTTGCACATTGTCATTACTTAGGGAGTTTTGGAGTTTTAAAATATGTTGATGACTGCCCAAAATCTCCTTAAGCTGATAAGCAACTTCAGCAAAGTCTCAGGATACAAAATCGATGTGCAAAAATCACAAGCATTCTTATACACCAATAACAGACAAACAGAGAGCCAAATCATGAGTGAACTCCCATTCACAATTGCTTCAAAGAGAATAAAATACCTAGGAATCCAACTTACAAGGGATGTGAAGGACCTCTTCAAGGAGAACTACAAACCACTGCTCAATGAAATAAAAGAGGATACAAACAAATGGAAGAGCATTCCATGCTCATGGATAGGAAGAATCAATATCTTGAAAATGGCCATACTGCTCAAGGTAATTTATAGATTCAGTGCCATCCCCATCAAGCTACCAATGTCTTTCTTCACAGAATTGGAAAAAACTACTTTAAAGTTCATATGGAACCAAAAAAGAGCCTGCATTGCCAAGTCAATCCTAAGCCAAAAGAACAAAGCTGGAGGCATCACGCTACCTGATTTCAAACTATACTACAAGGCTACAGTAACCAAAACAGCATGGTACTGGTACCAAAACAGAGATATAGATCAGTGGAACAGAACAGAGCCCTCAGAAATAATACCACACATCTACAACTATCTGATCTGCGTCAAACCTGACAAAAACAAGAAATGGGGAAAGGATTCCCTATTTAACAAATGGTGCTGGGAAAACTGGCTAGCCATATGTAGAAAGCTGAAACTGGATCCCTTCCTTACACCTTATACAAAAATTAATTCAAGATGGATTAAAGACTTAAACGTTAGACCTAAAACCATAAAAACCCTAGAAGAAAACCTAGGCAATACCATTCAGGACATAGGGATGGGCAAGGACTTCATGTCTAAAACACCAAAAGCAACGGCAACAAAAGCCAAAATTGACAAATGGGATCTAATTAAACTAAAGAGCTTCTGCACAGCAAAAGAAACTACCATCAGAGTGAACAGGCAACCTACAGAATGGGAGAAAATTTTTGCAATCTACTCATCTGACAAAGGGCTAATATCCAGAACCTACAAAGAACTCAAACAAATTTACAAGAAAAAAACAACCCCATCAAGTGGGCGAAGGATATGAACAGACATTTCTCAAAAGAAGACATTTATGCAGTCAACAGACACATGAAAAAATGCTCATCATCACTGGCCATCAGAAAAATGCAAATCAAAACCACAATGAGATACCATCTCACACCAGTTAGAATGGCGATCATTAAAAAGTCAGGAAACAACAGGTGCTGGAGAGGATGTGGAGAAATAGAAACACTTTTACACTGTTGGTGGGACTGTAAACTGGTTCAACCATGGTGGAAGTCAGTGTGGCGATTCCTCAGGGATCTAGAACTAGAAATGCCATTTGACCCAGCCATCCCATTACTGGGTATACACCCAAAGGATTATAAGTCATGTTGCTATAAAGACACATGCACACGTTATGTTCATTGAGGTACTATTCACAATAGCAAAGACTTGGAACCAACTAAAATGTCCAACAATGATAGACTGGATTGAGAAAATGTGGCACATATACACCATGGAATACTATGCAGCCATAAAAAAAGATGAGTTCATGTCCTTTGTAGGGACATGGGTGAAGCTGGAAACCATCATTCTCAGCAAACTATTGCAAGGACAAAAAAACAAACCGCATGTTCTCACTCATGGGTGGGAACTGAACAATGAGGACACTTGGACACAGGAAGGGGGACATCACACATCAGGGCCTGTTGTGGGGTTGGGGGAGTGGGGAGGGATAGCAGTAGGAGGTATACCTAATGTAAATGACGAGTTAATGGGTGCAGCACACCAACATGGCACATGTATACATATAACTAATCTGCATGTTGTGCACATGTACCCTAGAACTTAAAGTATAATAAAAAAAAAATATATATATATATATATAAAATAAAATAAAATAAAATATGTTGATGACTGAGTCCTACCTTGGGAGATATTGATTTAATTGTTTTGGACTGGTTGTCTCTCTTTTTGTGATATTAGCAGCCTTTGGTGAAGTTACTGAGATCCATTAGTTCATTAGGGGCTCTAGGTGGTAATCTTGTTAACATCTCTGGGCTTGTATTTTTTTCATACACAATGTGAAAGGGTTAGCGTACATTACCTGTAAGCATCCTTCCCACTGGGATATGCTGTGCTCCTATGGGTAATACTCTTAATTAGGGGTTTGTTTGAAAGCATTTACTCTTTCTTCCTGGTGATTTACTGGCGTATGTTTGTGTGCATGTATGTGAGCTTGATAATGCTCCAAAATAAGAAAAGGCATCCATCTTTATTATAGAGAAACCACAATAGTAAATCAGAATTCTAGAAAGAGACACCAAGCCTTCTACTCCAACATGTCAGGCATGATATTAGTCTCCTATACATACTGTCACATACTCCTTGTAGGGCCTGTTAAGGAACAGGGCTCTGCAACTGGGCCAGCTGGATTTTTAAAAACTGTTATTTATTTATTCATTTTATACATAGGACATGGGGAAACATCAGAAAACAGTAGCAAGCAACTCTTTTTGAAGCATTTTGGCACCGTATGTTGTCCCATCAGTCTTCAATTAGTTCATTTGCTAATAATATTTTCTTAATCTGAATAAACAATAAATCCAGGTACCTATTTGAGGTATGATACATTTGAAAAGCTTTTTAGAACACAGAAGCCAAAGTTGTTCACTCTATCATTAAATATCATTAAAAAGATGCTGGGCACAGTGGCTCATGCCTGTAATACCAGAACGTTGGGAGTCCAAGGCAGGAGGATTGCTTGAGCCCAGGAGTTTGAGACCAGCCTGGGCAACACGGTGAGACCTGGTCTCTACTAAAAAATAAAAATAATCAGCCAGGTGTGGTGGCATGTGCCTGCAGTCTCAGCTATATGGGAGGCTGAGGCAGGAGGACTGCTTGAGCCTGGGAAATCGAGGCTGTAGTGAATTGTGATTGCACCTCTGCATTCCAGCCTGGATGACAAGACCCTGTCTAAAATAATAATAATAATAATAAAAAAGATAATGTAGCTGAGTTGAATTAACCCATTTAGGGATGCATTTTTTCCCAAGGGAAACTACAGGGTCATTCCTCACAAGTAGATTTCACTATCCCCACGCAATCAGATTTGGGGGATCAGATAACATATTAACTGCACTTATCACTGTGAATTACAAAGCCTTCGAAAAATGCAATTACCCATTTAGATAAACAAAGACATGCACTTTTTGGGGCAAATAACCTTTTTTTGTAGAAAAAGTTATTACATGTAACAGGCAGTTATTTTGAAATGCAAGCTTCATAACTTACTATAAAATGAGATCAATCACTTCACATAAGTAACACATCAAAAAGTGTAAATCAGACCATGTCTGGTGGCTCATGCCTGTAATCCCAGCACTTTGGGTGACTGAGACGGGAGGATCGCATGAGCTCAGGAGTTTGAGACCAGCCTGAGCAACACAGTGTGATTCCATCTCTACACAAAATAAAACAATTAGCTAAGGCGTGGTGGTGCACACCTGTAGTCCCAGCTACTTGGGAGGCTGAACCTGGAGGATCACTTTAGCAGAGGAGTTCCAGATTACAGTGAGCTATGGTGCAGCCACTGCATCCAGCCCGGGTGGGTGACAGAGTGAGACCTTGTCTCCAATACAAAAACAAAACCCAAAATAGTGTAAAGTGCTTATAAGTGTAAAATGCCTGGCCCATAGCAAGTGCTCAGTGTATTTGCATTTATCACTATAGGGATGATTTGTGTGGCTGTTGCTGCAATCATTACTAAACATTACTTCTGAGTCTTTTGGTTAAATTGTTTTAGGGAAATTAAGAAAATACTATTTGTTTGAGTTTTTTTTTTTTGTTTTTTTAGTTGCCAATTATGTTACAAAGTGGATTATACCTGTAAGGTGAGTGAGCACACTGTGGTTCTTGTTAATTTTTTAAATTGTTAAGTTTCACTATACAAGATATTTAAAATCAAACAGTACTTGGTACAAACAACTGTTTCATTGATGTTGTAATAGTTTTAAATAGATGGATAGTGAAAACAAAGTGAAAATAATTTTGGTAATTCCAGAAACCAAAACCTGGGAGTGAGCATGGGTACTGAGTGCTGGGTAAAATTTACAACAAAACCTTTATCAATGAGGACCCAGATAACAGAACCTTCTATGTCCAGGATTCTAATGGATGCCCTTCTGTATTACAGTGGATCTCACTAAGCATCTTTACACTAAAACATGGTGTTGAGGTTCTGGATGTAAAGTGGAAGAGTCCATCATCTCAGAGTAAGCTTATGTTTAGGCTGTGAAAAATGAAGGCTTGAAGAACAACAGCCTTAGAGAAAAGAAGACCATGAAGTAATCTTGTGTATGTATTAAAGAATCAGCAATATAATCATTATGACCTAAATGAGTAGACTGAGTGGCAGATCTATTTCACTGAATGGTAATATAAGAAAAGATATCTGCCTAGCAATAATTGTCTCCTTGACATCTCCTTTTTCTTTTTATTAACCACATCTTTGGGAGTGATTTAGAGGTAGCTGAAACCAACTAGCCTGGGCTGAACAGTTTCTGTATTGCCCAGACCATCTTGTTTCTCAAGGCTGCCTTTCGTTTTGGTTAATGAGAAAGCATATGGTTGCCATTTCCTTTCTGAGAACTGCTGAGTTAGTAGGGAAGGAAGTAGATGTTCAGCTGAGTTCTGTCCTGTGGGGGAAGGGAAGGGCTGAGCCACAGCTTGGAGTACCAGCTTCTGCTTTTGTGGGGCTTGATTTTCTGTGTCTGATTTCTTTTTATAAAATGTTCATATAATTAGCCTGAACAGCCCAACCTAATCCCTTTTCTGGGGGCAAATGATTGAGAGTTGAGTGGCAAACTTTCTTTGCCCAAACTCTTGGCCGTAACTCTTAACATTCTTAATTGGTTTCCTGTCTATTCTTAATCTTTTGAAGATCTTGTCAAACCTTAAAAAAAAAAAAAAAGAGCTCTGCCTTAAATATTGCTTCTGTGAGAATATTTTGCCTGTTTAAGAAAATACAGCTTTGAGTACAATCCAATTGAAGTGTCAAGTCCTGCCAGATAACCATGGTAGAATTAGAGCTTCTGAGCTGGATTGGGATTGAGGTTGGACGCTGGCTCTGCCATTAACTGGCATGTTTCATCATTTGTTTTATTTGATGTTGAAATTATGCTTATAATTTTATTTTACACCACTTTCCAGTATGACATCAGTGTCTTTGGCACCTTGGGCTTTATTAGTTCATGAAATGGAAGCTTCTGTTTCCTTAAAAATGCCTTGACTCTCTTGCTAATGTTGTGATAATGTTTCCAACTCTTTCTAGGGCTATAATATCTATGCTGCTTGTTTGCAAATACTTGGGAAGTGGTGGTTGATCTAAAGATACTCAGAAAGAATGGGGAGAAAATTAAGGCTTCTGACACTTTTCCCAACATTTCTGTTATCATCACCAAGAATTAACTAGATGATTCTTTAATGCCCCACTACTTTATTCTGCTATTTTATTTCTTCAGTCTGTTTTTGACTCTTATAATGACACCACTGGAAGTTAAGTCTAAACATTACCTTTAGGCTGGAGAGCTCTGGGGTCAAGATTGACTAGATTTAAAACCCAGCTCAGCCATTCTCTAGCTATCTGGTCTCTGGTGAGTTCCATCGCCTGTAAAACGGGGATTAAAAAGGGGAAAATACTGAGTATGTACTATTTGCTAGGCACTAGTTGGACAATTTATGATCCATTTAATCAATCTTCTGCTAGGCAGGGATCCCCATTTTATTATGGTTAAAAAGCTGTAATAAAAGCCAATTGACCTAAAGCTCTCACAAGTAAATAGCTGGAGCCCAGGTTTGTCTCTAAAGCACATGCTCTTTTCACTACGCGACATAAAAAAAACTTTATTAATCTTTTTTTCCAGATTATGTTTCAAGGGTTCCCACTGCTGTTGAATAATTAATTCCTTTTAGATGTACAAAAGCAAGTGCAAAGTAAAAGAAGAAAAGCTAAATGGGGAAGGTGTGTAATATGAGAGGCAGGGGGTAAGGAAAAATGAGAAGTCTGCAAAGGAATTTACGTCCTATCTGCTTAGCATTACACAGTGGAAGCCCACGTCAGACATTTGTGTTGCAGTCCTGCCTGCTCAGGGGTTGCTGGGTGACCTTCTGCAAATTACCTCATCTTTCTGGGTTTCAATTTAAGTATGCCTGAAATGAGGCGGTTGAATTGATCTCCAAATTCCCTTCTGGTGCTAAACTTCCAGCCTTGTAGCCACTGACGCCTTCACCATCCCAGCCTGTTTTCCCTTGGTACCGGACCAGCTGCCCTTGCCCGAACCCTGTTCTTCCTCGACTGCGAACTTTCTAACGTACTCACAGGTTCTAAACTCTACCGTTCCTCGTGACCGAGGGACTAAAGGGCCCGGGCAGGGGCTCAACTCTGAGAGAAAAAAAGGCAAGAAAACTCCAAAGTTGGACAGCAAGCGTCAAAAGACTGCACAGCAGGAAGGCGAAACCGAACAGAACTGCTGCTGCGCGGCGACAGCTGAAGTGGGTGGAGAACGGGAGGGCGGGGGAGGCGGGGCCGAGAGCGATTGGAAGGACGAGGGGGCGGAGCCCGCGCTGACAGCCCCCGGGGAGGAGCGAGGGAAGCTCTGCGGGCTGCGGCGGCCGGGTCCCGCCCCTTTGCTTCCCCTCCCCAGCACCAGGCGGGCGTGGCAGCAGGCGTGCCGACGCAGCGTGACTTCACAAGGGGAGGGGCGGGCCGAGGGTCCTGCCGGCGCGCGGGCGTGTTCATCAGTCGCTGTTTGGGACGCTGGGTGTGCGGTGTTCTGTCTCCGCTCCCGTTTCGCTGTCACAGCCCGTTCCTTCCCGGAGCCCGGGACAGGCTGGGCGCGCGCCCGTGTGAGTGAGCGGGACTCAGGGCAGAAGTGTCCCCTCACTGCGTTTTTTTTTCCTTTTATCCAAAGAACGGGGCAGTTAGTACGCTTGCCTTCCTGTCGCCCGGTTGGGAGCGGGGTTGGTGTGCGGAGTGGTTCGCCTTTTTTTCTTTAGAACTTGTGAGCCTTTTTTTTTTTTTTTTTTTTTTTTCTTTTTTTAGGCTCAGTGCTGTCCGGGCTGGTTTGCCCGGTCCCTGACTAACGGCTTTCTGCCCCTTCTCTCGCCACCCCTGCCCAAGGTCGCCCCTCTGCCTTCGCCCCTGTCCCGGGAGGGTGGGAAGCTTTGACCCCGCCCTGCCCACTCGCGTCTCCGCAGCCGTAGCCGCGCCTGTCCCAATATGAATAGGGTCAACGACCCACTTATTTTTATAAGAGATATTAAGCCCGGACTGAAAAACTTAAATGTCGTCTTTATTGTCCTGGAGATAGGTAAGTGGGGTTTGCAGCCTACTCCACCGCCCGCTGTGCCTCCCGGGGCGGGAGACAGGGGCGCCGGCCGCTGCGCGCCCGGGGCTCCCCTCCTCCTCCCTCCCCTCCCCCACCCACGTGGCTCTAGTGGCCTCCGCCCGAGATCGGATCCTACCTGAGGCGGGAGCCCTGGGCTTGGTCACTTCCCACCTTCCAGATGTATTAAAATACCGGAGGAGGAGTTAGCCTTTCTGGATGTCCTCATTATCTAACAACCCCTCCCTTTGATTTTTAAATCCTCACAGGACGCGTGACCAAAACCAAAGACGGCCATGAAGTGAGATCGTGCAAAGTAGCAGATAAAACGGGCAGCATCACTATTTCCGTGTGGGATGAGATCGGAGGTCTTATACAGCCAGGGGATATTATTCGGTTGACCAGAGGGTAGGTGTGCAAAAAAGTCGGGGGACCTAACAGTCTGCAGAATCGGGATTGGCCGGCTCCTGGGATCTTGGCAAGCCCTGAAGTCCCCCGCCTTTTCTGTGGGCCACTCTTGAGGAGTTTTGAACTCCTTTGGTGTTAACTTTGGGTGGTGGGCAGCGCTGGGATGTAACAGACCTTTGCAGTGAAAGGCAGTCGGTTTCAGCTGGGAAATCCGCGCCTCTACCCCGGTTTACAGGTTAAGTAGATTTTTAATTATTATTATTTTTTGGGACCGAGTCTCGCTCTGTCGCCAAGCTGGAGTGCAGTGGCGTGATCTCTCCTCACTGCAGCCTCCGCCTCGCGGGTTCAAGAGATTCTCGTGCCTCAGCCTCCCAAGTAGCTGGGACTACAGGCGTGTGCCACCACGCCCAGCTAAGTTTTGTATTTTTAGCAGAGACGGGGTTTCAGAGTGTTGCCCAGGCTGGTCTCCAACTCCTGACCTCAAGTGATCCGCGCGCCCCAACCTCCCAAAGTGCTGGGATTACAGGCGTGAGCCACCACGCCCGGCATAGATTTTTAGTTCTATTCTGAGTCAGTGAGTCTTTTTAGGAGACTGGTATAGTCCATATTTTTTCTTTTTTATAAGTTGTTTTCTCTAGTGTAGTTGCCACTCAGTTGTTTCCCACCCCTTCTCCATTTTTAATGACTTGAAATCCTGGCCAGTATTTTACATATGTTATTTAGAAATGTGGACATAAATGAAAATTATAGGTAAAGGATTTAGCATATTCTGTGATATGTCAAATTTGTACTTGGAAAAAGAGGGAAACTTTACAGTATCTGGAAGGCTCATTCTCCAAAATGATTTCTTGTGTCTTCTGCTGTAAGGTGGATGTTGCGCAAAAACCAAAGGGATACACAGAAAATGTTTGGCAGAAAGGCATCTACAATACCTTCATCCAAAAGAGTCAGTTGGCGGATAGGTGGCTTTAAAAAATACTAGAACTTTTTTTTTAAAAAATAGATTGCTTTTAGAAATTTACCAAATTTTTATCTTAGGAAGATAAAAGGGCAGAAAAGGATCTTAAAAACAGAATTTGGAAGCTTTTGAGATCAATAAAATTGTAATAATTTATCATTAACTGCAGGGAAAGTGGTGGAGATTGATGTTGGCCTAATAAGTAGAATCTTAGAAGTATTGGAAAGCACTGAGAGTAGGAGCTTAGAGCTCCTTGGTGTTACCTTGCAGGCTTACAACATCTTCAGGAAGTGAGGTAAAGTGTCATCAAAGCAGGAAGTGAGAGTCAGGACTTAGACATTTTCTTCTCATACACTGACTCATGACAGTAATTTAAACTTCCACATCTTTAAAAAACAAAAGAGAATTCCTTCTTAGGGAAGTATGGTGAGGATTGATTAGTATAATTGGAGTTTTTGGCTCCCCAAATATTTTTCACCCAATGATTGAAAGTATTTTTTACGCTAAAAACGGCATCTTATTTCAAGTATTTCATGTTCTGTAGTGACAGTCATAGGTGTTTCCATCAAAAAAATTATTGGAAAATTAAACTTATTAGTTAGGTACTATAGAATTTTAAGGGGAACAATTACCTGGGAGTACAATTTAAACGAAAATTAAAAACTATAGAAACTCTATTTACTACTTCAGTATGACCTTGAGAAGTTACTACACCTCATACTTCAGCTTCCTCTTCTGTGAAATGGGAATAATTATACCTTATTTACCAAAACAACACACTCAGCTTGGAGTCTGGCTCATTCTAAGGCCCTTAAATTCTGGTTGAATCTAAGAAAAGTAGCTTTTGAAGAAAAACATACCTAACATCTAAATAATGGTTCAAATATCAACATGTTTATCAGAATACCCTGAAAACTTACCTCAGTGTTCTCATTTCTTAAAGTGAATGTTAAATATTTTAATTGTAACCAAATTTTTTCTCAAAATATGGGTTAATTTTTATTTTAGTAAGGTGAAATGTTAATGCACTGTATCCTAAGCCACTCTTTGTATAACTTAAGAGTGGTGAATGGTGTCTTTAATAAATAACCCTTTAATTAAAGTAAAGAGAACTGTATAGTAAGTTAAAGTCATGAAGTTACCATAGTAGTTGTACAGAGAACCATTGAGAACCAAACCTTGGATTGATTTTATAATATTAATTTACCTTTTTCTTAGATATCTAGGATTATTTTATGTAGTGATGCTGTCTGCTTTCAAAATTGTTCGGAGTAAACATTTGCCAGTTTGTTTACTACAAACCCAGCATGGTATTAAAAATCACATGTTTGGAAAGGCAGATAGGTGAAGCTTTGTGACCTTAGTGTTTTTTTTAGCACTTTGAAATTCTACCAGATCTTCGGTAGCTTAGGAATCCTGTGTCTTTTATGGAGGCAGAAGGAAAACTGTTATATCATTATTTGACTAGACTGTAAATGAAACATTAGGATGATTTTACATATCTTGTGGCTGAAAAATAGTTTCTGTTTAAATTTCTGCAATTAAAAGCTTTTGTTTTGTTAATTGACTAAAGATGTGATCATTGGGTATAATAATACTGGCTTTGCGAAAAGACTTATTTTCCAGAATTTGTTATGATTTAGATAATTATGTCAAAATTCGACAGAATTTTTGTATTCTTTTGTAAATAGCAAGTTATCAAAGTTAGATTTATTGTATTTGATTTACTATGGTGGATAGAGAGGGCTTGATCCTCACTTCTACCTTAATACAAAAAATATATAGTGTGAAGATTTACTTGATTTAAATAGAAGAAAATAAATATATTTCTAAAGAATTAATGTTTCTTTTCTCTCTAGGTATGCATCCATGTGGAAAGGATGTCTGACACTTTATACTGGAAGGGGTGGTGAACTTCAAAAAATTGGGGAGTAAGTATTAAAATGCATTTTGTATAATTGCATATATTATAAATAATATCTACGGAATGATTGGTAGGTATGAATTGTAAACCTCTTTGGCTTTTTTGACTAGTAAACTGAATGTCTTTGGTAGCTTAATTGAAAAAATAACTTCGTGTATACAAATTTAACACTTGTCAGTACTGTTTTCTGTGGTTAAAAGTGTCAATTTTTCCTGGCAAAGAGCAGTAGAAGAAGCTGCAGTTGAGACCAGCCCTAGTGGAAGCATTTCTGTAGGTTTTAGAAATGTGCATTTTTTAGGTGTCACAAGAGCCATTTGAAGTAGATTCTCTTTTGTAGTGATTCACCATATACGAAGCTAGTGATTCACCAAGTTTCAGGCCATAAGTTTAAATTTTCTTTTTCTATGGTTATGGGTGAATATGTACTCATGTTAAAAAGGACTTGCAGCAACGAAAACTGAAGTCCTCTATTTATCCACAGTCTAGGTGCGGTGCAGGCAGCCGCAATGCGAGATTCCATACACTACTACCCTGGTAATGATCTCCACCCTGACCTGGAGGAGCCATCCTCTCTAGGGGTGTAAGGTAATTCAGCCTCCATGTTAGCCTAGACATTGGGTTGTATTCATAAAGTATGGTACAGGCAATGAGCCAAATCATCAGTCCATTCTGTTTGGTTAATGCTCTGCCATCTACTTAATGCCTGTCAAATTGGAAGATATTTAAAAAGAGAAGCCACAAATGGCACCAGATAAAAAAGGAAAACTGTTTGCCACTGAGGGAATAAGATGCTTATTTGGAGAACCTGTGGTTAATAATGAAGGAAAAGAAATGATCATGCTAGCTTTTAAAGATCAGAAACACTTAACGCTTTGCCTTTGTTAGAAGGGAAGTTAGGATTCACTTAGAGTAGCATTAATAGAGTTATGTGTTATGAAAGGTCTTAGTGTCTGTTACTGAAAGGTTCAGGATTCTGTCCTGACCTTCATGTATTCATACAGAGGTGTTGATAATAATGGAGGTCAGTTACGTGAAAAACCGTTAGAGGTCACTCATTTCTTAATGACTGCTCTTTGTCAGGGTCAGTCGAGGATTTACCAAAACTGGTTCTGATTTGTCTTCAGTATGGTGAGGAGTAATAAAATGCTTCTTTGTAATGTTAGTACACATTATATGGTCAACTTACAGGAAGCACTTGGATAAACTGGTGGCTATGTAGCCTGTTGTTATTATTTATTGCCTAGAAACCACTCTTAACCCTAAATGATTATCTTTGCAGATCCACAGTGATCGATCAAAAGAGGGACTGAATGGGAGTGGGTGAATGGATCGGTGCAAATCCATTACCACTGCTGGAGAAACCACCCTGGAACCCTAAACATGGTTCACTCTCATGTTATTTTTCCTTTGATCAGCTTTTGTGGAAAAACAGGACAGAGATGTTTTTGTGTCCTTGATTTTTGATGTGATTTTTTTTTCAGCACTAAAGAAGAATTTAAATACAAAATAGAATGTTATATATCTTGTAGACAGTCAAATATTTGATGTTTTATGGGACATAATCATTTGGGAAGTTTTTGTTGTAAATGAAGAGTTAGTTTGTTGCTATTAATTTGTTTGACACATAAGTTCATTCCTAAAAGTTAGAGATGTTACATAAAGAAGGGTTGAGGACTTTATTTCAGAAGTCATTTAATTTTTTCTTTATTTTCTTTCAGATTTTGTATGGTTTATTCAGAAGTGCCAAATTTCAGTGAACCCAACCCAGATTATCGAGGACAGCAGAACAAAGGGGTAATTGTGTAGTATACTTTTATGATTAGGCTAATTTTGACTGTGTTATAATTCTATGATTAGGCTAGCCCTGTTGATACTTAGTATAAAGAAGATAATTTTTAAAAGGATACTTAATTTTTATTGTATGTTTTGTGAGGATATGTATCTGAGGTGTCATCTACTAGATATATGTGCCATTTTGCACTTTGTGGTGTGCTGAGTAATTATCAGGAAATAGGATGTAACAGAGCTCTGAAAGGTTTGGGAAACGTTTCTTAACATTATAACCTTTAATGACCTAGGAAAAATCTTTAAAAAATTTGTTAATTAAAAAAAAAAAAAAAGCCAAACCCAAAACTTTAAAAAAGAAAGGATATAATAATGTTGTAATAATATAATTGTGTTTTTATTCTCGTTTGGTTAAATTAAAAACTTTTTTTTAGGCACAGAGTGAACAGAAGAATAATTCCATGAATAGTAATATGGGTACAGGTACATTTGGACCAGTGGGTAAGATTTTGTTTGTGTGTTTCATTTGTGATCAGGTATAAGAATGAAGAGAGCTGTAAAGATTCACGTGAAAAGCAACGTCTTTAGGCATAAATTAGTGATAAAGGTGAACTACCAGTAAACAGGGAATCCCCAAAGGGCTGATTTTCTAGAAAGTTGATAAACTTAAGCCAGTTTATTGAGAATTCTAAGTTTTTGTGATGTCCGTGAAGAGATACCATGCTATTTTTTTTTTATTGATTCCTATAAAATTTCTATAATCTAGTGATTACTTATAGTAGATGCAGAATTACTGGTTATTTTGGTGCACTGAAAGCGTTTTATCTTTAGAGTCATAGTTCACCTTAATTTTTCACATACAAGTAGCTGCTGCTTTAAAAGATGAGCTGAGCCGTTTAAAGGCTAGTGACCCTCAGATGTCATTTAACATGACCCCCAGACATCATGTTCATGATCCTTGTAGCTCTGTTAAAGGTCTTCTGAAGTCTTTTTTCTTAAATATATGAGGAAAAGTCAGTCTTTTGTGATTAGAGTTCATTAGGATGGCTCATGTTTTGGTTTTGTTTTGTTTTTGAGACAGGGTCTTACGCTGTTGCCCAGACTGGAGTGCAGTGGCGTGATCTTGGCTCATCGCAACCTCCACCTCGCAGGCTCAAGTGATTCTCCTGCCTCAGCCTCCCAAGTAGCTGGGATTACAGATGTGCACCACTACCACCCAGCTAATTTTTATATTTTTAATAGAGATGGGATTTCACCATATGGGCCAGGCTAGTCTCGAACTCCTGACCTCAAATGATCCACCTGCCTCGGCGTCCTAAAGTGCTGGGATTACATACAGGCGTGAGCCACTGAACCTGGCCAGCTCATGTTTTATTTGACTCGAAGGCTACATGTCTTGGCATTGCTGATCACATTGTGGGAAACGCTGCCTTTGCCTTTAAAAAGTTAGAATAACATTGTCTGTTTTGAGATATTAATCATATTTGAGCCAAATTCCAATATTCACTATTTTGCCCTTTCTTTTTCTTTTATAGTGTAGGCAATGCATTTTTTTACTCTATTAATTTCTAATTTTGATGCCCAAGTTGGCTTTTTTCTCTCTATTAATACAGCATCAAGTTAGCATATTTATAGCAATACATTTGGAAAAACTTAGAGCCCACATTGTTTTTTTTTTCTGTATAAAAATAAAAGTGTGTGCTTTAATATTTTTAAGCATTAATAACATGTTGGCACTTAAGATAGTTCTACTTCTATAGACTACCTCTGAAAATAGTGATGAATTTTTGTATTCTTTTTTAGGAAATGGTGTTCACACTGGCCCTGAATCAAGGGAACACCAGTTTTCACATGCTGGCAGAAGCAATGGCCGGGGACTTATAAATCCACAACTACAAGGAACAGCTAGTAATCAAACAGTGATGACCACAATAAGTAATGGCAGGGACCCTCGGAGAGCCTTTAAAAGATGACCTATGCTAAATACTCATGTGTAGTTTTTATACTACATGCCCTACTTGAACACTTATTGCACTTTTATTTATTGTTAACTGTGAAAAGTACGTCCTTTATTGGGTTTCCTTTTATATTCTTGGTTTGTTAAGAAGAATGGTTTGTTTTTATAGCAAAACTGTTAAGCTGCTCGAGTCTCCTGTTGAAGAATGGGAACACTGAAAAGTAGGGGCATTTATTTTTAGAGTAAAAAGATTATTGGATAGCCTTTAAAAAACCTGCACCCATTTCATGGGTGAGTTACTTAAGACATCAGCTTTATAGCCTCTATGAGTCTATCTTCTGTATAAGTTTTGTAATATTTAACATAAGGCTTAATGGGAGATGTTCTTTTGTCTTGTATTCAGATATTGCCAACTAAAGCAATAACCATCAAAAAACACAAGAACTTGTCAATGCTAGCAGTAATTTTTGAGTGTTTGTGGCTCTCGGAATGATTGACTTCGTTCAGTGACTACTATTAAGATTTTCCAAGGACTGACTCATCCCAAATTTTTGTTGTATTACCAAAAAAACAGATTCCTTATCAGAATTTGGAATAGAATGTGATCTCTATTGCAACAAGTAATTTTAAAAGAAAGCTACATTTATTTTAGAGTAGTGCTCCTAACATGTATTATCAACTTTGTGGATTACATTGGAGGAAAATTTAAAACTGGGGCCTTGAATATTTATTTTTTGAAACTACCATGTTAAATACTGAAGTATAATTTGGGGGAGTTATAAAGTTATGATAAACATTCATCTGATTATTTTAAACAATAGTTGTGGTAGATAAACATACTGGAGGTGAGTCAAATTGAATTCATATAGTAACATGCAGTCTGAAGTCCTAGTTACTTAATAGGTACTCAGCCTGGAGTGAAAATCCTGGGTACTGACTTTGAGAGGAGTGAGTGTGCATGTTGTCAAAGTTTCTGAACACAGTTCACATAGCCTTATTAGCAAAAGTTTTAAGAAATGGCTCTATCAAAGAAGCAATTGCAGCTTTATTCAGAAATATAAAAGTGGAATTTATGTACATGTCATAAGTGGTACCCACTTCCCCTTTTTACTGTAGGGTGGATAACTCTTAGGATTTAACTCTTTGAATATTATCTCTTGAATAAAGCATGTGTTAATGTTAACAAACCTACGTAATTTTTGCCCTTTCAATGACTTACAGTGGAGAGCCAGTACATCTTAACTACTGTTGTAGTGATGGTATCAACCTCATGGTTACTTAGCTCTGCATTTGTTGCTTTGTTTTTTTTCCACTTCAAATCACAAAATAAGTAGATTTTGTTTTCTGAAAACTCCATAGCATTTGAATACAAAAAGTTGTGCCAGATTGTTTGCCCTAATTCACTGTGTTTAACAAATATTTCAGTACACACTATGTATTAGGCACTGTGTGGAAAGTGTTAAGGGGTAGACAAAATACCGAATAATCTCCACAAGTTTATTTGTGGTCTATAGTACTTTTGTAACTGGGGTTACAAAAATTATAGAAATTTTTTTCCTTTGTTCATATGCATATTCATGATTATAATTTGGCTTTGTTTGTGATTAATGTTTTCTTAAGATTTTCACATTATAGAATACCTCAAAAGAAGTTGTCTAAGGACTGGGATAGAGAGTATGTTTCATAAAATTGTAGATGTTTAGAATTTTTAAAAACCCTACAAATTAGTATATGATTGTTTTATATAAGTAAGATAGGAGCAACACTTTAAATTATTTGTGGGAGAATACAGCATTAAAGGTGATTTTAAAAGAAAAAAATTTGGAATTTTAGAAAATTTAAATGCTGTCAGGTATGGAATGCTGGGCTTCCAATCCTGGCCTCATTGTCTCCTCACCTGTGATGTTGGATGAGTTATTACACTTGAAATGTCTTTAAGCCTTAGGTTCCACAAGTATGAAAACAAGTAAGTAACAGTATCCTTTCTAGACTTGTTTAAGATTTCCATGTAAGTAATTATAATGACTTCTGACACATAATAATGTCGTCTTATACCCCAACAGTAGGAAAAAAATGCAGAATTCAGTATGAAAGTATTGTTACCCTTTAACACAGTGGTCCCCAACCTTTTTGGCACCAGAGACCAGTCTCCTGGAAGACAGTTTTTCCGTGGGATCGGGGGATGGTTTTGGGATGAAACTGTTCCACCTCAGGTCATCAGTCATTAGTTAGATTCTCATAAGGAGCGTGCAACCTCAATCCCTTGCATACTCATTTCACAATAGGGTTCATGCTCCTATGAGAATCTAATGCCACCACTCATCTGACAGGAGGTGGAGCTCAGGCAGTAAGTCTCCCTCGCCCGCCACTCACCTGCTGGGCGTTCCTGTTCCTAGCAGGCCAGAATTGATACTGATCTAGGGGTTGGGGACCCCTGCTTAACATGTTGAGATTAAATGGAGAAAGACTTAAGCTTTTACTTTTGTGATTGACACTTGCTTCAATAATGTAACCTTGTTCTGTGTTTTTATCATTTATTAACAAATTTCTTTTTTCTTAAGGGAAGCCTCCAAAATCAAAGAAAAGTGAGTTACAATCCATAATGAATATTTGCCTTACCAGCCTACTGGAACACATTCATCAAGAACTTAAGAGGAAGAAAGTTTTCTGCCTTCCTCCTTCCTAGTGCTCTCAGCTATCAACTTTGAAATAAGTTTAAACAACACCTACTGAAAACAAAAACCACTTAGTATAAAAATATCCCCCACCAGAATTGGGTCCCCCATATCATTTCTACAAAACAGTTCTGGAGTGGATCAAAGTCTCATCAGATCAGCTTGCCCCTTCTTGTTTGGGCAGGTTCTAGGAGAAGCTGCTGTAATACAAAAACTGAAAGATGAAATCGTAAAGCTAGATAATGATAATGATATTTAGTGGGGAAGGCTACAGTATGTTTTCCCATAGGCATTTAAACACTCACTTTTTCCAACGCTTTATACTTTGTCCCTATAGCCTTTGTAATTTTAACTTTGATGACAGTTTAACTTAGGATAACCTGAATATGGGTATTACTGTTAGTCATTTGTATTTTTATCATTTAACATTTTAAATGAATGTTTAATTTGCTGGGTTGAGTAATGCCAAGGGAATGATGCTAAAAACAAATAGATGTGAGGTTAGTAAAAGATTAAAGTTACAATTTATGATACGAGAACTTCTTAACTATAGGAAAGTAGGTAAATGACCCTAAAAGGTTTTCTCAGAAGGTAAAAGTTTTACATCAGTCTGAAGACATATAACTCTAACATTTCAGTTTAGTTACTGAAATGACTTTTTCTGGTGTCATTGAGATACTGGCTGTTTGTTCCAAGCCATTTTAGGCTGAGAATGACTCTTAAGGTCTTCTAATGCATTTCAGAGGGTTCTAGAAACAACAAACTGAACATGATATGAAACTAACAACATAGAATGCCCCCCAAACAAATTCCTCTAACCTCACTGAGTTTACTTGCCCTATTACTATTTTTTTTTTTTAAGATCTTCTGTCTCTTGTTTTTGTTTTATCCCTTACCTGATGAAAGTGAACATTTCTAGTGGAGAAAGAAGATCACAGTTCTCTAATATGGGCATTAAGAGAGGGGTACAGCTAGAGGGGAGGTGAAAACCTGCCTCCACTGGGGTGAAAAACAGTGTGCTGAGGTTTCAGCCAGTGATTACACTGGGTAATCAACCAGTCCCATGTTTCACAAAGGAGTTGTAATGATTAACAGTTCAGGTATGCTTCTGAGGAAATCTAATTGAGACCTTTGGAAAATAGCATTGTTATGAATGGTGTGGTGTTACGCCCTGAGGGAAAAGCTAGAAAAACATTTTACTTTTCAAGTGTATTTAAATTACATCCAAATGTTTCAGTGTGCTTTACTGGAGACTGCCTGAGTTTGGAATTCAAATATTGTAACCAAATTACTCCAGGTTTCTGAACTAAAATGATCTATTGATGTTTCTCAAAGTATAGATCACAGAGTAAGAAAAGAGGAAATCAAGTCTGGTTTATGACAAACTTTTTTCCATGTTAACATTGGACCCAAAGATGTTACTAAGAGCTTTTTACTACTGTGAGAGAACCAGCGTGATGTGAAGACAACGAACATTTTAAGAAGTTTGACTAGTAGACATTTCGTTTAAGTCTTTTGGAGGGTCTTGGTTGACAACCCACAATTTTATTGTGGCTCCCCAGGCTTTGAGAACGTGTGGGCTTGGATGATCATTGTTGACCTATAAAAGAGCACAGGTCTCTTGAGAGTTTATTGACACACTACTGATCAGACCCCCACAATATGTCTCAACCTCTGTTGAAGGGCTAGTGATGTTTAAAAAAACCTGTTATTTCCAATCAGAAATTGAAGTTATGTCTCTTACTCCATCAAAATTTATGCTTTTCAGCATTGGGTAAGTCTAGTTTCTTGGTTTGTATATTAAATGCATATTGAGTAAAATTCTTAGTGATTTAGAAACCATCTACATGAGGCTTCCCAGGAACTTGTTAAAAGTACAGGTTGCACCTCTGCATTACTAGAATAACATCAGTGTACATTTGGGAGATCTGCATTTGAAACCCTGAGGTTGTCTGCCTCCTGCCCTTGAGATCTTCCCTTGTATTGAAATTATATATATATATATATATATATTTTTTTTTTTTCCCCTCAGTTTCTTTTACCTTTGTGAGGCTAATATATGCTGACGTGTTGGATTGTAAAACAAAAAATTGTGCTTAAAAGAATGTCCCTCCAGAGGGCAGAATTGTTGGGTAAAGCATATAGCGCAGAGCAGAATAAGAGGTTCAGTATGGCCTCTGGATGAGGGTATTGCAAATTTTGAATTAGGCTCAAATAAAATGATTTAAATTATATATCAATTCGAGGATCAGATATTAATTGGGAGGTCACATGACTTTCCTTGAGCCTATCTAGATAAAAGTAAAATGCTTTTTTTCCTACGTTTTTGAAAATTTAGAGTTTATTGTTGCTCATCTCAGCAAATTAATGTTACCAGCATCTTCTGCCTTCCTCCTGTCCCTCAATTCCCTACTTTACTAAAAGAAGGCTGGCCAAATTGAAAAGTAGTTGAGTTGGAGACTTGATAAATACTTTTGAAAATACTTAGAGAAACCACCCTTCATCTTCCACGTAAAGATCTCAGTTCTGTACAGAGAGGCAACTACAATGAGTATTTTCTGCAAGTAACATGGAAATCATGATTTGATTGCCATGTGTTTCTAATGTTCAGTATTAAATGTTTATAGCCCTCGTAGGAAACAAACTTCTGACCTAAGTTGCTGGACTACTTGAATAGAAAGGTAGTCAGCACAACTAGTGCCATCTACTGGGTCATTGCTGCATAGTTTCTGTCTGTTTAGAAATCTGGCTTAGTTTAACACGTGGGGGAAATGGTTCTGTTCCAATGAATAGCGATTTTTGCCTGATAGTGGTGTTAAGTATGATATGGAAAATCCTTAAGGGGCAGTTGGGCCATTTGTTTAGTTTATGAACAATCAACACTGACATTAAATTTCAGTTAAGTAGATGAAACCCTGAACTGCCCCTAAAGCTATAGAAAATATGGGAAAGGTTGCCAAGTTTTGTATTCTCATCACATTTGTCAATATTGTTGGTGAGAAGTGTAAACTGTTAAAAATGCCTTTTGGTGAGTGGTGGTTTGGTAAAAACAATTGAAGTAGAACACGACACTGCCCTTAGAAATTTCATTCCTTTACCCAATGGTATTTGGTAAAATCCTGGCCAAATGACTGCTGCTGTTGTAATTATGTGAGCTTTGCAGAACATAACCTATTTTAAATGCCAGAATGTGCTTCCATGAAGAAGAACATGGTTTTGGGCTGAGGAGATCTTGGTTTGAGTCCTGGATCTATTTACTGGCTCCAGGACCATGAACCTCGTTATAAAATGATAGTGGGGCTATGTACTCATAGTGTTAGGAGGACTATGTGAGCTAATGTATGCAAAACATCTGCTCCATATCTAAGGGTCAACAAATGTTAAGCCCTTTCTCCATCAGCATTGGAAATAAGTTAAAATACTGTTCATTTCTCCATGCCATTATTAGAAAACAATCTTCTATAATTTAAAATCTGAAATATTAAGCAATTTATGTGAATTATTACAATTATGTTCTTTTTTAAACAGTCAAACCAAGTTTTTCCTGTCTTGTCTGGGCACAGACAAGCACTTATGCTGACGGTTTACCGTGACAGCATGTAGGGTTGGGTCTTCATTACAAAGATCTGCCCACTAGCTGAGTACACTGGTGTTTTTCCATTCACCTCTGCCCAGCAGGACAAGATGATGAAAGTACAGAGAACTTGTGGGTCCAGGTTTGTGTCAGAAAGGAGGTTAGTGGCTTGCTTAGGGCCAGGCAGAGGGCACATTGGAAGGAATTCTCTGTTCCCGGTGACAGCCCTTGGAATTGCTGTGCACCCAGAGTTGCGGAGTAA
Organism: Homo sapiens; assembly: GCF_000001405.40. NCBI lineage: Eukaryota > Metazoa > Chordata > Mammalia > Primates > Hominidae > Homo > Homo sapiens. Next base: position 191,692,264 of record NC_000002.12, read on the forward strand.
TTTATTGGCTTCTGATAACTATAGTATTGGATAACTTCCCAACATTTTATTAAAAATTTTAAACATATAGGCATGTTGAAAGAATTTATACTCACCACCTAGATTTTGCCACTATCACATATCTGTGCATCCTATTAATACATTTTTAATTATTATTTTTTTGAGACAGAGTTTCTTTTACTCAGGCTGGATTGCAATGGTGCAATCTCAGCTCACTGCAACCTCTGCCTCCAAGATTGAGGCGATTCTCCCACCTCAGGCTCCTGAATAGCTGGGACTACAGAGGGGAGCCACCATGCCCGGTTAATTTTTGTATTTTTGGTAAAGAAGGGGTTTCATCATGTTGCCCCAGGCTGGCCTTGAACTCCTGGGCTCAAGTGATCCTCTGGCCTCAGCCTCCCAAAGTGCTAGGATTACAGGCATGAGTCACCGTGCCCAGCCAGCCATTAATGCATTTTTAATATATTTTTAGTCAATTGCAGACATCGTACAATTTTCCCTAAACGTTGCAACATGCCTATTCATTACAGTTCAGTATTTTTCAGGATTTTTTTTTTTTGTAAAATTTACAAAGAAATGTGGAAATCTTAGTTGTGCATTAGTTGAGTTTTAACAAATACCTAGGCTTTATCGCAACCTCTATCAAGATACAGAACATTGCTGTCATTCTAGAAGCCTCTGTAATGTGCCTTCCCCAGTCAATCTCTTTTTCCATGGCCCCAGCAGCCATCATTCTTTCAATACTTTAAAAAACATTCTTATCTGAAGGGAAATTTCATATGTGCCAAAGTCATCTCTAGATTTCTCCAAGTCTTAACCATGCCAGAGTACAGCCAAACCTAGCCCTTCATGCATCTCAAATAAAGTTCTAAGATCTTGGTATTTTATTCTTCCCTGTTTCAACTTAGCTCCAACTCTTTTTTTCTTTTTTCCATCAAGATTTAAACCTGTCATCCTTGACATTTGGGGCAGAAACTGCTGAAATGAAGGAGGACTTGCCATCAAAGAACTGGCTGAAAGGAGTTAGCACACCACTCCTCTGCCCTGAACAGTTCTAAGCAAGAGGAGGAGCCTGTGGCAGGGCGTGATATGAAGTCCTCAGAGATAGAGTGCCAAGAGTAGAGGGAGTATCCTGGAACTTCAGTGTTTGCAGGTCAGTTGCTCAGTTCTTCAGAAGATATTGATTCTTAGGCTCTAATTTTCTTAAGGTATGAGCTGAACTGAAGTGCTCTCTCCTCCTTAGGATTTTGTACTCCAAGGTTGGCATTCAGAATCCGCATAGCCAGAGAGTGTAAGTTACTTGTCAAGTAAAGACACCCCGCCCCCCGCTACAACCCCCCACCCTGAGTCTACAGGGAAATATTCCTGAGTGAAACAGACTAAAAAAATATAGTCATGTGTTCTTTCCCAGTCCATGTGCACGTGCACGTATATACACGAACACATGACACATTATCACTGCCATCAGAGGTGTTTCTGCATTGAACTCCACATATCTGAGTCACATGCATATCAGGTCTTTGCTTTTCTTTCTCATCAATTGTTTAAGGATTCTCTCCTTCCACTTCTTTAATGGGCTGCCTATACTTTGTTGAGCACTAACTATATGCCAAGTACTATGCTAGTGAGTTACCTATGAAAGACCCTGAGAGGGAGGTTTTGTTATCCCCATGGGAAGGATTGAGTAGTTTGCATGAGATCACACAACTAGGCGGTGACTGAGTCCAACACACCAAAGCCTATACTATTACAGTTGAGCAATAGTGAAACATTGAGGCTGCTGCTGACAGTGGATGGTGCTTCATAGAGGATATAGAATTGGAGTTAGTTTTGAAAGGGAGTGTATGCAGAGGGGAAGATGGAGAACAAAATATGGAATTTGACTAATTTACATTTTTACCTGAGATTAGTCATACTTTAAATGTCAACTTATTACAAACCCAATTAGTCAAATTTAAGTCTACAGAAGTGGTATCAGATCAACAGGGAAATTATGGACTCTTGGGTATTGGGATAACTGGATACTCTCCCTAACCACCACACAAACAGTAAAAAACCATGGGTGAATTCTATTAAGAATGGAGAAAATTTTCCAAAAATGGCTCAAAGTCCAGAAGCATTAAAGGAAAGATTGATCAATTTGACTACATTTACATGTTAAAAAATAAAATGACAACTGGGAAAAACATTTGTAACATCACAAAGGGCTAATATTCCTAACATAAAAAGAACTTGTATAAATAGAGAAGACAAAACACACTATGGAAAAGTGGGCAAAAGATATGGACAGTTCACAGAAAAAAAGTTCAAATGGCCCTTAAGTATATAAAAAGATGCTCAACTTCACTCATAATGAAAGATGTAAATTAAAATACCACCAAGATAACATTCTTCACTTTTAGATTGGAAAAAATATGAAAGTTTGGCCGGGCGCGGTGGCTCACGCCTGTAATCCCAGCACTTTGGGAGGCCGAGGCGGGCGGATCACGAGGTCAGGAGATCGAGACCATCCCGGCTAAAACGGTGAAACCCCGTCTCTACTAAAAATACAAAAAATTAGCCGGGCGTAGTGGCGGGCGCCTGTAGTCCCAGCTACTTGGGAGGCTGAGGCAGGAGAATGGCGTGAACCCGGGAGGCGGAGCTTGCAGTGAGCCGAGATCCCGCCACTGCACTCCAGCCTGGGCGACAGAGCGAGACTCCGTCTCAAAAAAAAAAAAAAAAAAAAAAAAAAAAAAAAAAAAAATGAAAGTTTGAAAACACACTTGCTTGGCCAGGTGTGGTGGCTCATGCCTGTAATCCCAGCGCTTTGAGAGGCCAAGGTGGGTGGATCACCTGAGGTCAGGCATTCAAGACCAGCCTGGCCAACATGGTGAAACCCCGTCTCTACTAAAAATACAAAAATTTACTGGGCATAATGGTGCGCACCTGTAATCCCAGCTACTTGGGAGGCTGAGGCAGGAGAATTGCTTGAACCTGGGAGGTGGAGGTTGCAGTGAGCCGAGATTGCACCTCTGCACTCCAACCTGGGCGACGAGAGTGTAACTCTGTCTCAAAAAAGAAAATATTCTCTTGGTAACACTATTGGAATAGGAACATTCACTGATGGAGGAAATGCAAAACTGTATAATCTCTGTTATAGGGGAATTTGGCAATTTTACATTTAAATTTGCCTTGTGACCCAGCAATCCTGCTATATTATTCCTTTCATATTGCTATAAAAAAATCTGAGGCTGGGTAATTTATAAAGAAAGGAGGTATTTTTTTTCATGGTTCTTCAGGCTGTATACAAGCAGGGCTGTTAGCATCTGCTCAGCTTCTGATGAGGCCCAGGAAGCTTTTGGTCTTGGTGGAAGAGAAGAGGAGCCAGCATATTACATGACGAGAGGAAGCAAGAGAGATACCAGGCTCTTTTAAGCAACCAGTTCTCATGTGAACGCATTGCTACTGAGAAAGTGCCAAACCATTCACGAGGGATCCACTACCTAGACCCAAACACCTCCCCCTAGGCCCCGTCTCCAACAGCGGGGATCATATTTCAACATGAGACTTCGAGGAGACAAATATCCAAACCATATCGCCCACGTTTAGGAATGTCTCTCCATGGTAGATGATTTGCAAATAGACGGTGGTATACCCATTCCATGGAAGCAGGGAAATATGTTTGCACGTCTTTGGTTAGTCCTCTTCTTTTCTACTGACAGTGGGCTTGTCCATGTGTCCTGCATGATCAAAATGACAATAGCAAACTTGATGGCCACAGAAGATTGAAAAGTGCTTGGGCATTGAGCTTGCTCTCTCTTGAAGTGCTTGGAGCCCTGAGACTGCCATGAGACCACATAAATGATCACTAGCTAGCCTGCTGGAGGATGAGAGGTCACTTGAGAAACCTTGGCTCACAGCCTGCTTACACCAGACACATGGATGAGTCTGTCTTAGACTATCCAGCTCCAGCTGAGTTGCCAGCTGACTTCAGTCACATGAGTGAGAACAACAGAAGGACAGCACTGAGCTCTGCCAAAATTGCTGACCTACAGAATCTTGAGCTAATGAATGATTGTAGCTTTATGCCATTAAGTTCTGAGGCAGTGTGCTATACATAGCAAAAGCTAACTGATACAAAACTAAAGATACAATGGCACAAACATGAAAAGACATGTTCACCGAAGCATTGCCTATAATAGTTAAAGACTGGAAACGACTCAGATGTCCACCAACTCAGGAGTGGTTGAACCTACTACAGTGCATTCACCCCGTGGAATACTAAGCAGCTCCAACAGGGGTAGGAAATTTGTATACTTTCATAAAATGATCTTTAGGATATATTGTTAAGTGAAAAAAACAAGGTGTAGAATAGTTAATAGAGTATGCTACCTCTTATTTAATAAAGGGAGAATATAAATATGTATTTTGCTTTTATTTAGAAAATGAAAGAATAAGAAACCACTAAAATGATTTTTTAGAAGAAAGCAAGGGGACACAGATGGAAGTTAGATTTCTCTAAATTTACTTTGTTTTGTAGCTAGAACTTTAGAACCATGTCAATGTTTTACACACGTCACACTTATAATCAAGATAAAAAATACTTATACAGTGATGTGTCACTTAATGACAGGGATATATTCTGAGAAATGGTGCCGTTAGGCACTTTTGTCCCTGTGCCAACATCATAGAATATACCTACTGCACACCTAGGCTATATGATGTAGTCTATTGCTCCTAAGCTACAAACCTGTATAGCATGTTACTGTACTGAATACTGTAGGCAATTGTAACAGAATGGTAAACATTTGTGTATCTAAACATAGAAAAGGTACAGTAAAAACACAGTATAAAAGTCAAAAAATGGTACACTTGCAAGGGCACTTACCAGGAATGGAGCTTAGAGGTTGGAAGTTGCTCTGTATGAGTCAGTGAGTGAGTGGTGAGTGAATGTGGAGGCCTAGGAAATTATTCTACACTACTGTAGAATTTATGAACATTTGGGCTACACTAAATTTATAAAAAACATTTTCTTCTTCAATAATGAGTTAGCTCACTGTAACTTACTTTTTAAACTTTTTAAATGTTTTTTAAGTTTTTAACTCTTGTAATAACACTTAGCTTAAAACACACATTGTACAGCTGTACAAAAATATTTTCTTTATGTCATTCTATAAGCTTTTTAAAATATTTTCAAATGTATTTTTTTTTTTAAAGCTTAAAAAAAACATGTAAGAGGCCGGGCGCGGTGGCTCACGCCTGTAATCCCAGCACTTTGGGAGGCCGAGGCGGGTGGATCACGAGGTCAGGAGATCGAGACCATCCCGGCTAAAACGGTGAAACCCCGTCTCTACTAAAAAAATACAAAAAATTAGCCGGGCGTAGTGGCGGGCGCCTGTAGTCCCAGCTACTTGGGAGGCTGAGGCAGGAGAATGGCGTGAACCCGGGAGGCGGAGCTTGCAGTGAGCCGAGATTGCGCCACTGCACTCCAGCCTGGGCGACAGAGCGAGACTCCGTCTCAAAAAAAAAAAAAAAAAAAAAAAAAAAAAAAAAAAAAAAAAAACATGTAAGACACCCACATATTAGCCTAGACCTACACAGGGTCAGGATCATTAATATCAGTGTCTTCCATCTCCACATCTTGTCCCACTGGAAGGTCTTGAGGGGCAATAACATGTATGGAGCTGTCATTTCCTATGATAACAATGCCTTCTGGAAGGCTTCCTGAAGGACCTGCCTGAGGCTCTTTTTGAGGCAGTGTCACTCTTTTCAGAAATATGTCCATGGTGGTTTACTCAATTTGCTTCTTTTTTATTCATAGATTTGCATATGTAATGCATTGCGCTATACCATTAAGACAGCTATGATGTCACTGCAGTTACAGTGTCACTAGGTGATAGAAATTGTCCAGCTCCATTACAACCTTATGGAACCACTGGTGCATACGTGGTTCATTGTGGTCCATTGTTGACTGAAACAATGTTATGAGGTGCGTAACTATATATCCAAAGCAAAAGCTAAATGAAATAAATGAAACTAATTGTGTTGGTGTCCTAAACACACAGAGGAGAATTACTTCAAGTATTTTTAAAACACAGTCACTTGTCTATGCATTTTTAGTGGATATGCCCTAAAGTATGAAACTAAATTAAAAATAAATAAAAAATTAAAAATAAAATTAATTTACAAATAGTATTAATATTGAATAATAATATATGTTAATATTGTTACTCTGAATCTATTATATACATTTTGGAGGATAAATAACATGCAATTTTGTTAATATTAGGAATCAAGAAACTATATATATAAAATCAAAGCTGCTAAATAAAATTATAAATTGTGTTTATAATTACAAATTTGAATTGGAAATATCATTATAAAATCATAATGTATTTCCTTTACAGAAGCACATTTTCTAGCCCTGTTATTTGAAAATCAGTAATGAGCACCCTTAGAATGCAGATTATAGTCTCTAAATGCAATTTTCTGCTAAAAGGAATAAGAATTCCTTGGAGAAATGACGAATGTATGAGATGAGCTGAAAACATCTTGTTGAACATGAAATAAAGGAAACCCTTAAAAAATACTGCATTTTTAAGGACTAGGAGCCAATTTAAAGGGATTATTTCTTGCCAAAGATGGGAAATTGTGTATACCAAAACAACAGTTGTGATAAATTGAAATTCATATTAAAATCTGAGAGTTTAAAATTACACTTGGCCAGATGTGGTGGCTCATGGCTGTAATCCTAACACTTTGTGAGGCTGATTGGGAGGATTGCTTGATCCCAGGGATTTGAGACCAGCTTGGACAACATGGTGAGACCCCATCTCTACACAAAATTAAAAAAATTAGCTGGGTGTGGTGGCGCATGCCTATGGTTGCAGCTACTGAGGGGGCTGATGAGGGAGGGTCCTGTGAGCCCCGGAGATCGAGGCTTCAGTGAGCCATGATCATGCCACTGCATTCCAGCCTGGATAAGAGAGCAAGACCCTTTCTCCAAGGAAAAAAAAAAAAAAAAAAAAAATATATATATATGTATATGTACATATGTGTGTATATATATATATGTATATGTACATATGTGTGTATATATATACACATATGTATGTATACACACATATACACATATGTATGTATACACATATGTATGTATACATACATACACATGTATGTATACACATATGCATACATACACACACATATGCATACATACACACACATATGTATACATATGTGCACGCATGTGCATACATACACACGTGCATACATACACACATGTGCATACATACACACGTGTACACATACACACGTGTATACATACATATGTGTACACATATACACGCGTGTATACACACATATGTGTACACATATACACACATATGTATACACACATATGTATACATATACACACACGCATACATATACACACATATGTATACATATACACACACGCATACATATACACACATATGTATACATATGCACATATATACACACATGTATACATATACACACATATATGTATACATACACACATATGTATCCATACACACGCATATGTATACATACACACGCATATGTATACATATACACACATATATGTATACATATACACACATATGTACATATACACACATATATGTATACATATACACATATATGTATATACACACATATATGTATACACATGTATATACACATGTATGTATACATACACACATATATATGTATACATATACACACATATATGTATACATATACACACATGTGTATACATATACACACATATGTGTATACATATACACACATGTGTATACATATATATACACACATATACTCAAAACACACACCGAAAACTCATTGTTCTGAAAATAGATAAATAAAAAGAATAGAATATTTATATTGTCTATCCTATAAAAACCATGCCTCAGGGTAATCTAATAGTTGATATGGAAAAGTTCTTTTTTATAAGAAATTCCAGCTAATAAATTAAGAAGGAATGACAGCATTATAATATCACCATTTTGCTACTTCTAATGAAATAATGAATCTATGAAATGATCACCAATGTCCTCTAAATCATTTTGGAAAATTGATGAATGCTTTCTAATAAATGGATCTAGTTGACAATTCAGAACCACCTTGATCAATCACAAAACACTAGACAACCATACATTATGCACCTCCTGATATGAAGCAATAAGAAGAACTAACACTAGTATTCTTTAAAAAAAAATTGATCCTGACTGTATTCGGGTCTCTATATCTACCAGTTTATGGAAATTAGAGTGCAGAGAACAAGTTAAATAATCCCATAGGAAACAATGTCTGAAACCCTGTAAGATCAACAGCCATGTTTCTTCAACAAATAAATTGCAAGGAAATTAAACGGGTGATGATTGTGGAAAGTCCTCTCAAGGGAAACATAAACTAAATGCAATGTGTGAACCTTATTTGAATTTTGTTGTGAAAGAATCCACTGGATAAAAGTATTCAATGGACATTTGGGAAAATCTGAACTGTGATTAGATATTGATGATATTAAGAAATGGGTCACTTTTTTCCCAGTGTGACATGGCTTGTTGTCTATGTTGAAGAGTCCTAATATTTTGGAGATACCTGTTGTGTCCTGTTCTAGTTTCCAGTTCCACATTTAAGGAGCCTGGACGTCACCACTCTACCCTAACGACAAGTAAAAAAGCCGAACAAACTGAAAAGTTAACAGCTCTTCTTAGATCTGTAAGAACAGTGAGGTCATAGAGCAAACCACTGCCCCGCAGAGTCAGGCAAATACAAAGAATCACAACTTACCAGAGCAAAAACCCAGGAGCAGAAACCTCCATGGGAACCAGTGCAGGATAGGAAAACTTGAACTGTAGTGGATGATTTGCTGGAGGCTCAGAGTGACAAGTCTAAGAGATTAAAAACACCAGGAAAATCCAGTCACTGAGGGGCTCCCACACTTTTGTGAGTTTTATCTCCTGGAGCTCTACCAGATTCTCATAGTGAATATCAAAGAAAAATCCTCTCCCGCTTCTGGCAGAGGGAAGGGAAAAGTAGTCATTTTGAAATAAACCAGAGAATTCTGTTCTGAATACATGAATGATAAAAAAGTGAAACAGCCTATTGCTGATATATAGAAAGTTTTAGTGGTCTATATAGAAGATCAAACAAGCTATAACATTCCCTTAAGCCAAAACCTAATCCAGAATAAGTCCTAACTCTCTTCAATTCTGTGTAGCCTGATAGAGGTGAGGAAGCTGCAGAAGAAGAGTTGGAAGCTAGCAGAGGTCAGTTTATAAAATTTAAGGAAAGAAGCTAAGTCCATAACATAAAAGTGCAAGGTAAAGCAGCAAGTGCTGACGTAGAAGCTGCAGCAAGTTCTCCAGAAGATCTAGCTAAGATAATTCATTGAAGAAGGTGGTGCTATAGTTTGAATGTTTATCCTTCTAAACCTTTTGTTGAAATTTGTTCCCCAGCGTTGGAGGTGGGACCTAACAGGAGGTGTTTGAGTCATGGGGGCAGATCCCTTAAGAAGGACTTGGTGCCGTCCTTGTGGAAATGAGTGAGTTCTTGTTCTGTTGGTTTCTGTGAGCATCTGGCACCTCCCCTCTCTCCTGCTTTCCCTCTTGACATATGATCTCTACACACCAGCTCCCCTTTGTTTTCTGCCATGAGGGGAGGCTTCCTGAGCTCTTCATTAGAAGCAGATGTTGGCAACACATTCTTGTGCAGCCTGCAGAACCATGAGCCAAATAAACCTCTTTTCTTTGTAAATTACCCAGTGTCAAGTATTCCTTGATAGCAACACAAACAGAGGAAGACAGGTGGCTACATTAAACAACAGATTTTCAATGCACAGTTGACCCTTGAGCAACACGGTTTGAGCCTGTGCAGGTTCACTTTTACATTAATTATTTTCAATCAAATGCAGATTGAAAATACAGTATTCATGGGATGTGAAACCCACATATATAGAGAGCCATCTTTTCATATATGCAGGTTCCACAGAGCTGACTGTGGGACTTGAGCATGTATGTATTTGGGTATAGGTAGAAGGTCCTGGAGGCAAGACTGAAGGATGATTAGACAAAAGAGTTTTCTGTTGACAGAAGATGCCATCTAGGACTTTTATAGCTAGAGAGAAGAAGTCAATGCCTGGATTCAAAGCTTCAAAGAATAGGCTGATTCTCTTGTTAGGGGATAATGCAGTTGGTGATTTTAAGTTAAAGCCAATGCTCATTTACTGTTCCAAAAATCTTAGGGCCATTAAGAATTATGCTAACTCTACTCTGCCTGTGCTCTATAAATGGGAAAACAAAACCTGGATGACAGCACATCTGTTTATAGCATGGTTTACTGAATATTTTAAACCTACTATTGAGAATTACTACTCAGAGAAAAGGATTCTTTTCAAAATATTGCTGCCCATTGACAAGGCACCTGGTCATTACAAGATGAAATGATAGGATATTAGTTATTTGCCTCAAAATAGTCCTGTGGGTGGGAGTATAGATGAAGTAAGATTATTCATAAGATGATAATTATTAAGGATTGGGGACTAGTATAAAAGGGTTTATTATATTTTTCTATCTTCTACTTATTTTCATTTTAAAAAAAGTTTAAAAATTTGAATGGACACATTATCTGCCCTGAGAAAGCTAAACCTTATACTATGATATAACAATCTAGGAATGCTCAGAATTTGGGACAAGCCAGGTATTAACCTCGTGCAATCTTATTATATCCTGAGTGGGAAGACGGAAATATCACTCTGGATGATGATGGGAAAGCAAAGTATTTCCCTTCTATTGGAAAGTTTAGATCTGGGTCTAGGAGGCCAATTTAGGTATAAGCATGCTTTTAACATTGAAAGGGACTGGCATAATAATTGTATTAAATTAATGTGTGCCAAGCATTTTAAACAGTTCCTAGAAGGTTCTAAGTGCTATGTAATTGTTTGCTGTTGTTATTTCATGTTAATGATTTCCCCATGATCAGCCATCCTGAAATAAGCACTAGTGCTGGGAAGACCTCCTCCTACCTTTGTGAGGTGGTATTATTGAGACTATACAAACCAGGAATTCAGACCTTGGACTTTTGAAGGACAGAAAGCTGACTAGTCCCTGAGAGTGCCTTGTTTTCCCCTCCATTTTTTTTGTGTTTCTAGAGAAGAGAGACAGTTTTAGGACTGGCTTTCTCAGCAAATGCAGCAATAATAGAAGCTGCCAGCAGCGCTGGAGGCAGAAAGGTGGCGGCTGCAAAATGCTGGCAGCAAGGAGGGCAGCAGAGTGCACGGCAGGGACCCAGCGAGACAGCGGTGCAGATGGAGGCAAGGAGCTCAGTGCCAGCAGGGCACCACAGGGACACAGGGGAGTAGGAATGACGACTTGCCAGATAGGAGGGAGTTGATGTGGGGTTGGGGTCACAGACACCAAAGAGTTTACCAACTAGTGGGGGAATACGTTGATTCATCATTGATTGGAGGTTTTGGAGGATGGTGTTTCATTCACTGCCTTCTTGGTGGTGCTTGTGTGGCTGCTTGAGTGAGAGTGTGTATGTACCATGAGCATGCAGATGTGTATGTGTTTGTATGGATATCTGGTTGTGCGGCACCAGTGATAACAAGAGGACTCAATCCCCTGGTAAAAAGGAGCCTAACTGCATATTTAGATTAAATATTTGAGTAAGCAAACATTGCTGAATAATCAACCTGATGAATATTTTTCCCTCTACAGTGAAGTTGCATTTCATACACATTTAGTTTATGAGAATTCACTAAGAGTACTTGGCTTAGTAAACAAGAAAGCCAACAAAACCCAATAAAAATAAGACAGAAGTGGGAAAGAAAGACAAAAATATTCATTTTAATAGTGCACCCACCATGACACCAACAACTGGCGCCCCCCGGGTTGTCTCAGCTCTGACATGGTTCTTAGAGGGCAGCATCTTGCTGCTCTGTGGGACTCTAGCCCTTGAAAACACATCTATCTTTTTGTTTTTAAAATAATGTAAAGCAACTGCCTTACCCAGAACTCAGTGAAGAATACCCACTTCTAACTCTCACTCTATAAAAATAAAATTTTGAAAATTAGATTTTTCATGTCTCTGTTATAGTAAGTGGAATCATTTGTAAGTGATTTATTGTATAGGGCTGCATACATAAAACTGTGCATCCTAAGTTAATTTAAAGAAATTTAAAAAAAATTTAGGCAATGCATGGTTTCATTTTATATGCTGACTTTAGACCCTATCCCTGCAAAAAACATGAGTCCTCTCTATGATTTATATTATACACATTGAATCAAAATAAATGCCTCATTTGAATGTGGTGAAACAGTGTGGCACAGAGGGTGTGTCGAAATTTGGTGTTTATTATTTTGTTTCATACAAAACAAAAGTAAGTCCTTAAGAACAGGGTTGGGAGAGCACTGAAAAGTGAAGATGAAGCTTAAATGCAGCATCTGGGGAAGGAAGGGCCAAAGGATGTGGGAAAATTACTCTTGGTAGTGTCCCAAAGGGAATAGGCAGTAATGGGTAGGGGTAGAAATGTGATAGAGCTGTCAGAGAACATGAACTTGGCTATGTAAGTTCCGAAGCATAGGTCTGGTTTTACCTGCTCTTACGTGACAAATTGTTTATCACATTTGAGCCGTCTGTGCAGACCCCCACCCCTATGTTTTAGCCGTGCTGTGAAATGGCATGAAGCACCCATTGGTCCAAAGCAACCTGGTGGCCACTGCTCAGTAGGAGTGAAAGTGCTCTTGGTGCTGCCTGTTACCTTCCCTGTTCTTTTTCTGGATCCTTCTTTGGGATTATCAACATATCTAGGGTTTCAGGCTTGTCTGTGTTTATTGTCGATTGGAGGCAGAAGAGCTTCCTGGGAAGAGAAGTCAAGCTAGGCCCATTGCTGGGGTTCAGAAGCATCTGCCCTTGCAGGGCCCACTGGTGAGATTGCCCAATAGGTGTAATTTGAGTGGGAGAGGAAGGTGGTGGGAAAGGGTGAGAATATCCTAGGAAAAAACGATCTGGACATGTGGAACTTGACCAGAACAAAGCCTTCCTTGACAGGGCAAGAGGAGGCGTTGAGTACAATGCAGTGACTGTTCCCAGAGTCCATCCTTATCCCTGCTTGCTGGCTGGGTCCTGGGGAAGGAGAGAGCTTTGGGGATAAAGGGAAAGGGCTGACTCAGTAACCTATGTAACATAGTAGAGCGCAAGGTTGCTCTGAGATGCCTGTCGCACAGGTTCAAACACCTGCAACCAAAGGAGACATTATTCATCCACTTGCCCTGCTAGATTCAGCTAAGGGTTCGGGAGGTTGCCAACTTATATGTTTACTGCTGGACCTGTGAGAGCATCAGGGCTGCTCCTGAGCTTGGAGCAGGCAGGGGTGCGCATGCAGAGAAGTGGGGGCCCCCTGGATTGTGAAGGGGTCCTGGAACTCTTGGGTTGGGTGAGTATTTTGCAGGGAGCTGGAGTGCCTGAAGGAGCCCTCCATGGTGAGTTAAAGTCAGTATTAACTTTTTGGTTTTACATTTTTCTGGGGCTTGAAATTATCTCCTTACACATCCATGGAATTAAATGACTTCATAAAAAGTAGTCTCAAATGTGTTCATGCAAAATAGATTTATTATGCTTTAAAACTCTAACTTGTCTTATCTGTGGGTGATTTAAGCCTCTTTTGTGGTATAAGCGTGGGTTTCTTGGCTTTCTTGTAGCATTTTCTTTAGATTTTGGAATGTTATTAATGAAACTAATGTTTTAAAACAAGAAAAAATTCTTTGGAAGATTCTCCAACATTTTCAAGAGCAGTTTCAGAGAAGAAAATTAGTTTTCTAAGTTCATTTTATGTGATTTCCACACAGACCTCCTAAAGCAAAATCAATATGCAATAAAATCCTGGGCACTGGAGCTGTTACTGTCAGTTTCTCACTAATAAGTGTACTAGACCTAATCCCCTGTCCTATTCATGCACCTTTGCCTACATTTGTGTCCAGGTATACTTTGAGAAAACCAAATGTAAAAATGTCTTGCTACATGATAATTTCCACCTTGTACCCACATTATTTCTTGCACTTTCTTTTTCCTGCTCCAGTAGAAGTTTTGCAAATTTGTGTGAGATACATTTTTTTAACCTTTTCATGATGAAAGGAGAGAAAGTTAATTTATAAGAATTGGCTGCTTTTCTGATTATGGAGGAGGGAGAGAAACATAAGTCAGCAAGCAGGGATCTATTCTTCATTGTTTACTTCTTACCTCCATCTTCCCTGTTTCAAGTTGGGGACAGGGCTAATCCCAATTTCAGAGGAGGCTGACCTGACAGCTGGGCTGCTTAGAGGTCTGGTCCTTCCTTGCACCAAGGGGGCTTGGGCAAAATTCTGAAACCTGCCATGCAAACACTGCTGGTTAATCCTGGCAGGTCATGTCTACTGGCTTCTCTTTTTCCTTTCTTCCACAATCACACACAGAGCCTTGACTTCAAGCTTCCAGGAATTAATAAAGGCAGAGACAAACATTACACTTCCGAGATTCTAATTAATTTTGATATGGATTTATGTGTAAAGTTGGATGAGTCACTGATTTTAATAAACAGGAAAGAAAATCTTAAAGATTAATGTAATAGCTGAGAACACAGGCACCAGAACTTTGATGCTTGCTTAATTTTTTTCTCCCAGCCCATGTCATTTGGAGAAAAAATATCAAAGACAGTTACGAAGGGAGAAAGGAAAGGGGATTATGCAAATTAGAAGTGAACAGGACTAAATCATTACTCTTGTGCAAATGAGCTTCTCCTTCATGCGCTTTTCAGGAGTGTTTTAGGGCTATATTTGCTGAGGATACATTCCTGAAGGTAATGAGAAATGGAAGCATGATGGAAAGAGCCTGATTATAAACTAATTGATCTTTCTAAGTATTACTAAAGGTTAAAAGGGAAAAAAAAAAGAAAAAAATCTGAAGTCCAGTAAGAACTTCACCTTGTTTACATTAATATCCATCTTTTTGAAAAAGTGGCAATAATGAATTAGTGACATACACACTTTGAGCTTCCCTTTCCCCACACCCAGCCTAGGCAGTGTCAGAAGTATAGAGCAGTATGGCTATTTTTCCAGCTGACCTTCCTAGTGGTCTAAGCTCCTTATTAGCTTCAGAGCTGCTGCTGTCCTGCTTCATCTGTCTTTTGCCCTGAGTTGGGGACTACGGCAGAGTGTAGGTTTCCAACTGTTAATCGAAACTTGTCATGTTAGGTGCAGTGGTTAAAATCATCAGCTTTCTGGTCTCTCAAGCCAATCACGTTCCCATTTGATGGAATATTCCAGTGTTGAGCATCACCAAGATTAACTACTTTAGCCTAAAGCTCCCTTTGGCCTGATAGAAGACAGTAATACATATACAGATTCATTTTGAGTGATTGTACAGATTAAGTATTCAATTTTTTCCTAAATAATAAGCTAACATTGTGTTAGATTTGAAACAATGCACAAGGCCGTATTGTGTTTGATTAACCTTGACTGTGGGTGCTTTTGTAGCTTAGGCAGCTGGTTTGAACAAACTTGCAAATTCACAGCCTTACAAAGAAAGTCATTAATTTTTTATCATTTTATAAAGTAGGAACTTTGTATGTATTTACTGATAATGAGGGGACATATGTAGGTTGACATAATTTATTGATACTTTATTTCACATTTGAGTTTTGTGACCAAATACTTATAAATAACATCCTGGGATGTACATATTTTCTCACCTATAGTATTTTTTCTTAGAATAAAATCAATGAGAGTGTATTGCCACTGAGACTTCTGAAAAAAGCAACTAATAGTCGTTAAGACTTTGGAGGCTGAATTTTGGCTTTGCCTCTTATTAGCTGTGCAACCTTGAGTAAATCACTTACCCTCTCTAAGCTCAATTTCTTGAGCTTAAAAACGGAGACAATATCACTTGCATGTTAGGGTTGTTCTGTATTAATTGAAATAACCTATGCAAATTGCTTAGGCCAGTGTTGGCCACATAATGAAGCACTTAATTAGCATAGCTATTATTATTATTTCTAGAAATAGGATTGCTGGCTTAAGTGTATGTAAAAATATTGATGCATATTGCCAAAGTTTATTTTAAATTTTGAATATAAAGTTGTGGGTCTCATTAATGAACATATTATAGTAAGAGGTAATAGGCATGTCCACAAATGCAAGAAGCTGCTCCTACTATTCACTTGTTTGTTTTCTCTGTTCTGTCTTCTTCTTATAACAGCACCTTGGTTTTCCTTTGGAGAAACACCTTGCTCCCATTCTCAGTCCATGTAGTTCAATGGGGTTGATCCCATCCTCTGGCTTCAGAAGGGAGCAAAAGTATATGAGGTGGTCCTGGGTAATAAAAATATCATACCCGACTCCGCTCCTGGACACAGTGATTGGCTCAGTAATAGGCATGTGACTTGAGCTGGGCCAATGAGAACCCACTGTAGGATGTTTACTGACTGATTAGGAAACTGTCCTCATCCTTTTACATCCTTAGCATCCTTAGGAGATGCTAATCTTGTTGACCATCTTTGCTCCCATACAGAAAAATTCTTCTGGGGAATAAAGCATAGAGAAATGAAGAGCTAAGATACAGAGGAGCTTCCCAAGACCATGTTTGAACATTTGTAAACAGCCATGCCTGGACTTCTGAGTTAAACGAGTCAGTATATTTCCTTTATTGCTCAAATCACTTTTTGTGTTGGGTCCTTTTTGAAAGGTGGCCAGATCTGCCCAATCATATTATGCTCCTCAAGGACACACCCTGTGTGAGGAATAAGCAGGGTTTCTACCAAGTCAACTGTCAGAGTGATTTACCTTCCATGATATTTCTGAATGATGGTAGACTCAAGTTAATGTGAGTTATGTGATGCCTGTCTGTCATTGGATGAAGATCTACACTGGACAGTTTCAGGTTTCTTTCTAAACCATGACTGAAGCCATAGATTACCTGATAACCAACCATGGTTCTATAAATGTCTGTACGTGTCTATAAAAGTCAATGCAGAAAATTAAAAAAGAAGTCTGGGTCGGGTGCGGTGGCTCAAGCCTGTAATCCCAGCACTTTGGGAGGCCGAGGTGGGTGGATCATGAGGTCAGGAGATCCAGACCATCCTGGCTAACACGGCAAAACCACATCTGTACTAAAAAAAATACAAAAAAATTAGCCGGGCATGGTGGCGGGCGCCTGTAGTCCCAGCTACTCGGGAGGCTGAGGCAGAAGAATGGCGTGAACCCAGGAGGTGGAGCTTGCAGTGAGCCGAGATCGCGCCACTGCACTCCATCCTGGGTGACAGAGGGAGACTCTGTCAAAGAAAGAAAGAAAGAAAGAAAAAATCCGAATGGGCTGTTAAAATGAAAATCTGCACACTGCATCTATTGGTACTAATTTCAAAGACTTCTTTCCTGTAGGTTTGCATTGCAAAACATAAACATTGCTTATATTTGATTTTTTCATTTGTCCATAGTGATTATACAAAGGCTGATACAGAGCACCCATGTGGAGGGGTCACAGAAGGTAAAGCCAAAACATAACATGAAAACCAAATATGGCAGGGCTTTGAGCACCAGTACAAGGCATTTGCATGTGATTCTTTGCAAAATGGAGAGTTGTTAAAAGTTTTGAATAAGGACGCTTCTAGAGGATTAATAGGGCAATAATATGCAGATGAGCATAAAAGGGAAGAGACAGATGCCTGTTATTGGGCCATTGCAATATTTCAGAATGAGATAAAGAAGTAGGGCAATGGGAGTGAAAAGAAAATGATGGATGGGAGAGACATGGAGAAGGAGGAATAAATAAGAAGACTTGGCCTCCACAAGAATATGGGGCACCAACGGAGAGAGAAAAGTGAAAGATGAGCATACAGTGATGTTTTAAAAAGTGAGTTTGGGAAACTGCTTTTGTTCAGTGGAGGAGCTTGCGGAGAAGATAATGAGTTTAGTTTTATACGTATTTGAGCCCTTTTCTGTTTGGCTGTCAGCTCTCCTAGAAGCTGAATGTGGTATGTAGAGTGGGATGTAACCATGAGGTTACCCTGGAACTCAGAAACTGCTATAGCTATAAAGAGAAGTATGAAAAGTAACTTAAAGAACAACGACCTTTATCCATAGCCTGGCATTGTCTTAACATATGTAAAGAAAAAATGGCTTCTTTAGGAATTGTTTGGTAGTGAAATAAAGAAAATGGTGAGTCATGGAGACAAAATTTGGCAGTTCAACAAGAGCACCATTTAGTGGCATGCTGCTTAGGTCTGGTGTGATTGCCAGATGTGGCCCAGTGTGTTGATGGATGGATGCACCAGTCTATTTTAACCTTATGCCACTTCATCATTTGTTCTAATTTTATCCTAACCAAATCTACCTTCTAATTATACTTTGGTTCCTCATCTAGTTTCTAGGGCAGAAGAAAAATTCCTTGTGAGTAGCAGATCCCTTTACATTGTTTGTTATTAAATTGTCACTTCTGAGTTTCCACAGTGTTGAGTCATCACCCTCACCATTTATCCAACCCTGGGGTGCAGGCAAGACTGAATTTCCCTCTTTATAAGACTGTAGTCCAGTCTCTGCCTGGGGGTGACCTACCAGGTCAAGGGCTCCCTGCTAAGCCCGCATGGTAGATAGGTGACTGACCTTCCTCCTGATATGTTCTGGCTTTTCCATGACCACTTCTGCTCTCTAACGCCAAACATACCAGGCAACCACGCATTCAACAACAAGGCCTCTAATTTGCTAGGAGGGTTGTCACAGACTGCAAGGATTAACAGCTAGAACATTTTTCCACTTGGGGAACTTGAAGGCACCACACAAATCCTATTTACTTCATTCACTCATTTGTGTGTGTGTGTGTGTGTGTGTGTGTGTGTGTAAAATCATAAAGTTATTCTTAATCGCTATAGGAAAAAAAAGAGAAACCAAACAAACAAACAAAAACTGTTAATGTCCCTATGCAGAGGCAATATGCACTTTGCCTGCATAGTTTGCACTTTTGCCTATTTCTTCCTAGGCAATTTCATTTCTACTTTAAATTTATATGAAATTTTAAAAGCTTTATTATCTGGTTCTCAATACCACTGTAGATTAGAAGTAGCAATTTAGAGAAAGAGAAGAAAAAGAAAAGTCATAAAAAGTAGATATAATTTTTTAAAGTGAAGAGTGCTCTGGGGTCACACACAGCTCAGTAATCCTGAGGTCAGTCACTGCATTGTGACTGATGTAATAATACATTTATATCTTGATGACCTCAAATTGTCATTAAATGGTTAAATTAATTTTGGTATATATCTTTTAAAAGTCAGAAATACAAAAAAATACACTTTTCAACTATATTGTTCAAACTGGTTAAAAAACATAAGAAGTGAACCCTTAGCTGTCTAGAAAACCTAGCTACAGAGAATTATTCCTTTTCACTGGGTTACAAATAAACAAGATCCTATAGTTAAAACTACTGGTTTCTTCCCAGTATCCATTCCACCATTCTTCTGCTATTTAGAAGCCATGCTCTTGGTGGGACTGACCACACCTCTGGCTCCAGACATAGGCTGTACTTGGCCTAAGCTACTCATGATAATCACATCTGCCTGCCAGAGTAACTAGTCCAGGAATGAGCCTGTAGCCATGCCGTACACCAACAGCTCATAGCATTTCTCTGATCACAGGGATCATACATCTGCAAATTGGGGTAGACACTGGCCCCAATTTATCAGTCAGAATAAAACCCTTAGCTTCTGTTCGGTGGCTGTGGAAGAGAGGCTCTCTTCCATCATCTGAGATGCACATTTGAGTCCTGGAACTACAGCAACAATTATCTTACCATGAAAAAGCCTGCCTGAGAATTAAAGCAACCCATGGAAGACAGCAGAGCTGAGGGAGATAGAAAAGAAGCCAGAATCCTGAAATCTACTCTATATCTGGGCTTGAGTCAATAATTGTCATCTGTGTTTAGGCTGTTTTGACTTGCAAGAAAGCACAAATGTTGTACTGTGCTTTGATGGAGGTGATGGTAGGCCATCAGCAAGTACATGTCCGGCACTTGTGTTACGGACATGCATCTAAAGTTCAGGACACCAACTGAGGATGGGCTTGAGTAACATGGAGGGAGATGGTAGCATGCCACACAGGAGCTGCTCAATATGTAAATATTAATTGAGTGTGTTTTGAGTAATCAGAATGGGTTGGGACTTGCTGGGGGAAAAGATAAGATGGAGACTAGAGATCTGAAGACTGAAAAGTCACTTAGGATCGGGAGAAGTGGGAACTAGTGAAGGAGGCTCTGGAGTAGATAGGAAGTGAGCTCTAATATTGCCACATTGTTGTGCCTAATGAGAGAAGAGAACTGGTGAACTACAATGTCAAATCCTTTAGAGACACCAAGAGAATCAATAGACAAGCTTGGTAATTTGGAGGCTATTGCTGACTGGGTGGAATGCATAAAAACCAACAGTAAGTGACTTTGAATGTTGTTAGGTTTATGATAAATATGGTATAAACAAAGTTTCCCAGAGACACTGGCCCAACAAAATATAGTCACAATGACAGACACAAAATGGATTTTTTTTTTCTGGTCCTGCTTCTATTTGCTCTGTAGATAAATCCAGAGGATTAAAAATTCTTCACACCTTTCTGGGGGACTCCAGAGTTTTTTTGTATTCATGACAAACCACTGATTCCAAGTGGTATCTGCCGTTTTCCTCCTCTCCTCAGCTGGCTCTCTGTGGGGACAGGTGATGCTTACAAAGGTACACAGTAAAGCAGAGAGGTGACTCCTGGGAGGCTAGCCAGTCAACAGCTGTAGCCAGTCAATGTCCGTAGCTTATGGCATTCATCCTGGAAGTATGACACCACCATCAGGATGTAGCTAGTCCCCAGCTCTGGAGCTCAGAAGTCTCCTTTCATCAGCATACCAAGACAGGGCTATCCCTTTGGTGGGGCCTGGATTAACCTAGCTCTCAGAGACTTGTCTCCTATGGATCCATTTGTTAAATTTTAGAGAGCAATACAACCGTCAAGAGATGAGAATGCCTGGACTGGCAGAGGTTTGGTAAGCAAGGAATCCAAACATTAGGACTGATTTGATTCAAGAAGTGTCTCCTTGCTAAAACAGATTGAGGTACTCTAGGGATGGTGTTGCCTAGAAATTCAAAATGTTAGTGCTTAAGCAAAATTTTTTTTTCTGTAGGCAACAGTTGCATAATTATTTGCCAACATTTTCTTCCTCTGGGACCCTGTTTTTTTCCCCTGCTTCTGTGGCTGATCATCTTCTATTCATGTGTTTTTTCTTCCAAATTCAGGTCTGATATGCTTGATTAGGATTCTGCTTACGACCAAATGCCCATTCTGCCTCCTTGAGATTTCTCTCAGTAACCTTGACTGGAATTTTAAGTGTTCACAAACATTCCCTTTATACATTTTTAAAGGCCATGTTTGGTGTGTATTCCCATAGTTGAAAAGGTATATCCAGTGATGTGGATATTTTCTAGTTCAATCATTCATTCTATAAACATTCCTACTATGTGTCAGGTACTGTGTTAGATGCTGGATAATAATTTAAGATAGACACAATCCTGTTCTTCTCAGCTTCTAAGAATGAGTACTGAGAGAGATTTCCCTCTAGTCCCTGGATATTGTGATAGTTCCTGTTGCTGCTGGAGTCCCAAATGGCAACGCCTCTGGGAGTACCCATTGATGTCTGTCAGTGTTGGTTGGTTCTCTTGTTGGTAATTCCATGGACCTATGTCCCTGGCAGCCAGAGGGTGCTAGTGGGCAGCTGGGTCTGTCCCTAAGCCTGGGCTGAGGGCAGCCAGGGCTATGAAAGCATGCATAATGCATACTGAGGGCACCATCTTCTGATGCTGCTGAGGCTGATGTCTTCAGTGCTAACCACTCTGCTCCTCCAAACTTCTGGCTGTTCTAGCATTTCTCATTCTTACTGTAGCCCCTTTGTCTAGGACTCACTGTCCCCTAATCCTACAACCAAAACGTACATATTGACTTTTTCTTCCCTTAGGATGAGTTTTTTTTTTTTTGTCCTCTGGAAAGTAATTATTTTTCCTGCTGCAAATAGAATGTTGGCTTGCCTGCTTCACCATTCCTTTACATATATGGAGATATCCTAAACCCCTCAGTAAACACACCTCAGGGTCAAGTCAATGCACCTGTAACAGATTAATTTAATTCTATTAAATATATATATATATATATATATATATATATATATATATATATATATACACACACATACATACATACAGAAAATTAATCCAGGGCCTAGCAAAGGACCTTGCATAATAAAAGGAAGGACAAGAGGGAGGTAATGAAAAGGTGGAGGGAAATAAGGAGGAGGAACAGAATAAAGAAGGAATTACTAGTGCACAATTCAAAATGTCTAGTAGTACATAATAAATGCTTAATAATGAAAGAGGAGGAATGGATGATAGTAATGATTTACAGTTTTCTAGAGATTCTGATACTTTTTAAGAGAATATATGTTATGTAAACATGACATCCATTTTAGGATGAATGAAGAGAAACAAGGTTATTAATTGCCAAGAGACAAAATGTAGCTGGAATATGTAACAAAATATTTAAAGCGAAATCCTCAAATACATTTACAAATTACTTTATATTTACAGGGATAAAAATGTCATTTCTTCTGAAATTTTAGATGGCAAGTTTGAGCCAAATTCATATTAGCCATTTCCGGAATCCATGTGAGAGAATAATAGTACAGAAATTGCTTATCCAGAGTGTAAGGAGGCTGCAGCATCAGCTGGAAAGTGAGTCTGTGACAGGCTTTTCACCTCATTGAGAGGCAGAGCCACATGCTGTGAGATGCTGAGGCCCCTGCTGTGAAATGGTGTACTGCACATTTGCTGGGTTTGTTGTATTGCTACGCTCTTTGCATTTTGTGGTTCAGGCAATAAGCAGCAGAATATGCGAAATGAGGACAAGTATATTAAAGATATCTTGTAGCTTTTGGTTGCACATATTTAAACTGCTAGAAACAGTAGCTCCGGGTTCATACTTTCTGTCCTTTATATGTGTTTAATCAGTTAGAAAGCCTATCTCTGCTTTGTAAAGCAATAACTAGGAGGCTGATCTTTATGTTCAGAAAAAAAGGGACATGTCAGAAACACTGTTATCAGGAATCTTATGCATATGGAATGGTGTGTAGTAGGTAGAAAGAGACAGATCCAGAAAAGCTATTTCTTCCTGAACGGAAATGCTTACTATAAGATTAATTGCATGACCCTAAGCAGAGACCCTCTCATCCAGCTATAGGCAAAAGAGTTTCCAGAGAAAGTGACATGTGTGAACTGCTTGTATGAGCTCTATCTCTGAAAGGAAGGGGCTTGGATATTTCCTACTATATCCTTCCCCTGCTTCAAGACTTTAATCCAGATGAAGTGACATGAGAGTGACTCTGTCTGGTAGGAGACAGAAATGATTCTATGACAATAATACAAAATATTATATTAGCCTTGTTTCCTCATTCAGTGGTAAGTAGTAAAAATTCAGCTTGCACTGTCTTAAACAAAGAAAATAAAATATTGACTCCAGGGTATATGATCAGGCAAAGCTGGATCCTTCTACGCAGAGATTGCTATCAAGAACCTAACTTACTCCATTAACTTGACTTGTTTTTTGCTTGGTGTTGGCTTTGTTTTTAGGGTCTTTCTGAACAGCTGAACACTTATAATCCACCCTCTTAGCAACACCAGCTGAAGTATCTTTCTTTTCTACTACACATCCAGAAACAGTTCTTAAGTTGATGCTCATTGGTCCAGATTGGGACGTGTATCCATTCCCGAACCCAGCACCATCACTCTGATTAACAGAACCTGGGTCATATACCTTCTCTTTCCCCTCAATCAGATTAGTCTCAAACCCACCCACACCACTGGTCTGACAGTGAGAGAGGGATGGCTCTATGAACTCCGTGGGAAAAAAACAAAAGCACAAACAAAATAAACCCAAAAACAAAAGAGAGAAAACTTAAGCAAGTGGAAGGACATTCTATATTCTTGGATAGAATGGCTTAACCTCACAGAAATGTCAATTCTCAAGTTAATATATAAATTTAAGGCTTTCCCCCACTACCCTGCCAAACTGCCACTGAATTTTTCCCCTGGAGCTAGACAAGTGGAATCTAAAGGTAATTTGGAAAATAAACAAAAGAAGAACAACTAGGTAAATGCTGGAATAAAGAGTAATGAAACAAACCATGCTTTATTGTCTCATTAGTGTTTCTAATATTACTTGTTACAAACAATAGAGCATTCTTTACATGTATTCATGTTCATGTGTGCAAGCTTTTTCTCTGAGGTATCTCTTTAGAATGGGAATTAGTAGATTTAGGATATGTTCATTTACTAAATAGTTCTTTTTTAATTTTAAAGGTTTAAAAACTTAAATATAATGTGACTTATGCATATTTCTGTGTAAATATTTTCCCAGTACAGTTTACATAGTTATTAAAAGTTCTGGGAATGATAGAACTCACCCCACAGAATGAGAGTTAATTGAGAGTTGAGTTTACTGAACGATTAATATAATTACACTACAGAAAATCTAAAAGTAGCACACATTGTGATGTAATTAACTGAACTTCTAGTATCTTTTCAGTGGGCAAGTCTTGTAACTCTTGGTTAGCCTTTTTCTTTTTCTTTGATCATTTTGGTTCTCTGTGGCCCATGATTTCCATTCTGGTCCTCCTCCCATCTTTCTTGAATTGATCAGTCCCTTATATCAAACATTTAATTACTGGAAAAGAATTCTCAGACTCTTTGAGTTTTTTTAAAATCCACACATGAATGAGTTTTCTGTTTCAAACATGTAACACAGTGCTTGGCTAATAAAAGACCTTCTGTTCAACTAAAGTGTTCATCAATTATAGTTTATAGCTCCAACCACCCCTGACCTTATTTGCATAGCACCATGCAAAGTTCCATACTGGAACTTCCAATGATGTTTGAAAATAATATTGCCAAATGGTTCCAATAAAAATACTAGGATCACTTGAGAAAAAAGTATTAACCACAAACCAAAAATACACATGCCATGGGGAGCAGTTTGTTGATGACAATCTATTTTACATCTTATGCTTTACATTGGATCATTTCTAACCAAATGTTCATTTTTTCAAGAAAATACTATGTTTTCAAACAAGTGAATTATATATCCCAAAAAAGAAAGATTTTTGGGGTCAACATGTACTGTGCTGTATTAATTGGTCCATATATTTACCATGAAGAGTACTGATTTTGTCAAGAAACTTCTCTGAAGTTCATTTCAGAGTATTTTTCTGAGAATTTTGCAAACCAGGGTAGCATTTTATAGCTGAATTTTAATTTTCACATTATATGTGTATTACCTATTATTGTGTAATCAATTGCCCCAGCATTTTTGTGTCTGTAAATAACAATAAGCACTTATGGTCTGACATAGCATTTATTATTTTTGTGGATCAGGTATGTGGCCTGGCTGGGTGGTTCTGGCACAGTGTTTCTCCTGAGGTTGAGTCAGTTGTTCATTAGGGCAGCAGCCATGTGAAGGTTTAACTGGGGCTGGATGATCCACTTGCAGAGTGGCTCGCTTACATAGCTGGCATGTGGCTCCTTGCCATATGGGCCTTTCCATAAAACAGCTTGAGTAATGGTCTCATGCAGGAGCATGATTCCCTATGGCAAGCGTAACAGAATTTCCACGTGGAATTGTTCAAATATCACCTCCTGTTTTGAGACTCTGATAGACTACTTCATTGTACTGATAGGTATGACATGGGAAAAAATTAGAACTAATAATGTATGTAATGAAAGGAATTACTTGTATGTCATGATTTTCTGAAATCAAAGTCACTGGCATTATGTTGGCCAATTTTTGGATTTTATCTCAAAGCCATATTTATGACAATCCAGTGAAGTGAGTTTTATTTTCTCCAATTTGCAGATCAGAAAACTGAGAAAATGTCTGCTCAGGTAATTGTTCCATGAAGCTTAAATTTGAATTTAGGCTGTTGACTCTGAAGCTTTCACTCCTAAAATTATATCAGACTATACTGTCTCATCTATAGCTTTTATTTACAAAACAGAAAGCTCCATTTTATTAGGAGAATTTTGAATATACAATAACAAGTAGACAGAGTAATTTTATGAATCAATATGTACTCAACACCCAGCTGCACTATCAATACTTAGCCATTAATATCTCTTCTATGTTTTTCTCTCCTTATTTATTTTGAAGGAAATCTCAGACATCATTTAATTTTATCTATAAGTAAGTACTTCAGCATGAGTATCAAAAAAGATAAGTGCTTTTAAAAACATCGATGATATCAGGCCAAAAAAATTAACACAAATCTTTTATCATCATCAGATATTCAGTCAATGTTCAAATTTCCAATGTTCCATAAATGTTTTTCTTTGAAATTTTAAAATTTGAATCATGATTCAAATAATGTCCACACAATGTAATTGATTGGTATATATTTTAATTTTATTTTAATCTATATGTTTCCCTCTGTTTTTGATAATCAATAAACATGTATTTTCAGAATTTGCTTATTATGAAGAAAGCTGCAATAGATCTTGTAATTGTTTTTCTGGGAACTGATGCTTCATGTCTTCATACATTTTTTATTGCAGTGGTTTTTAAATACTGATTTATGAGTTCTTTAAATGTTAAAGAAATTACCTCATTTTCTGATGTGTGTGTTACAAATATCTTTCTCCAATTTGTTGTTTGTCTTTTAACTTTTTTGTGGTATTTCTTCTTCTACAAAAGTTTAAAATTTGTATGTGGTCAAAATTTCAGTATTTTCTATTATAATTTTGGGTTTAACATCTTGGAAAGGCCCTCTCCATGCCATACTTTGATATGATTCTAGCAGTCTTTAATAGATTCCCCTCACCCCCACACAAACTTGGTATGAGAAAATTTTCTAGGCTTATCTTATGTATTTCTGCCCTAGACTTGGACTCAGATATTCTTCAAGGATGCTACTGCAAACTCAGAGGGGTTCAGTGAGATATTTAAATTTTTGAGCAATACTCAATATCTATTGACAGGCAATGAACTACTGGCACAAGGTAGTTCCCATTTCAACATTAGGTGGCACTTTAATATTTTCAGTGATGGCATGTATTTGCAGCATTAGGTGTTTGTGGTTACTGGGATAAAAGCCAAGTGCCTCCGGAAATCACTGTAGAACAGAAAAGGTGGTGTGTCCAATTTGATTCTAAGGTTTGAGAAGCTGTGCAGTTCCCAACAGGTGCATATATCCTATTGGTAAGCGTGTGTCATTGTTAAAGAAGAAAATAAGTTTTTTTTTCCAATTTATGTGCATTATTTTTTAAATGGCTACTCAGTTGTTAGGAAGTGGGTATTTAACAAGTTATTTGAACTTAACTCCTTAATAAATGAAACTGTTGAGTATTTTAAAACTTTTTGTCTAGGGGCGCTGTGAAAAAACACCAAGACACCAAGACAAACCGAGACACCAAGAACGTTATAAACTATGAAAGTCTGGGAGCCTCTGGATAAGACTCTGCTTGTTTTTGTCTGCATGCAGCTGAGTCAGAGCTCTCTTCCAAGTGTCACCACTGCCATTTTCTAATTTACTCCTGCTTGCCTTATTAGCGTCATCTTTGATCCAGGTTTGCTTTGTGGCAACTCCTTTAACTCACTTGCCCAACATTTGAGGGTTCATTTAGCTAAAACGACAAGATGATACAGTGGAACGTGGTTGGAGTGCTAGTCAGGTAAAACCTTAGGTTTTATCCATTCGTTTGAGACTCGAGCTCGCTTTCTGTGATGGTTGACATATGGTGCTGCATTAATTTCCAGGGGCCGATTTCCTTACTGAATAGCCACGTCAGCAAATTTCAGACCAACCTGGCTGCTCTATCAGGCACAGATTAATGACAATATAATACAATATGCCGGAGGCAAACGAACAACCCGGGCACCACTGCCGACCTCTTGATTCTCCCACCTTCCCTCAAGACACTAGGAATTTAATGTGCTTATGGCTACTGGACAGACAGAACGAGGCAGGGTGCTGGGGCGAATTGGTACACGAAATACTAGTGAAGTTTATCTACTTTATTATTTTTCTTTAGATAGAATAGAATTAGAAATAATAATGTGGCTGGGTGCGGTGGCTCACGCCTGTAATCCCAGCACTTTGGGAGGCCGAGGCGGGTGGATCACGAGGTCGGGAGTTTGAGACCAGCCGAGATCAAGCCACTGCACTCCAGCCTGGGCAGCAGAGTGAGACTCTTGTCTCGAAAATAAAATAAAATAAAATAAATAATAGAATTAGAAACAATCAAAATATAGTTTTTATCGTATTTTTTTTAGAACGCCTGCACTGTGTGCCCCCTCTTTGGAGACCACTACTCCAGGGCACTTAGTTCCTGAAAGGTCACGTTTTTGTTGCTACAGCTTTTCCTGAGATAAACCAATGAAGCCATTTATTGGCTGTCACGCCCTTCAGCAAGTAAGCCATGGCCAGGTTTGCCTCATCTCCTGACTCCAAGTGTGATACAAGAAGCTCTACCTGGCTGCTTTGTTTAGAGACAAGTTAGGTCTGCTAGGCCTGCGTTTACGAGTTTTTATAAAACTTCCAGCAGCATATTCTGTGTGGCAGAACACATTCTGGAGCTATTAGGGTGGGTTTGTTGACCTGGGTTTGCTCCAACTTCCTACACTCTGCTCCTTCCCCCTCCACTCCCTCACCCAGCCAAAGCCCTTCAAGATATTCATTTGCCCTGGGCATGGCCACACACAGAAGAGTAAGGAAAGAAGAAAAAGTTATTTACTTTTCTAAATACATTGAAAAATCTATGGTAGAACTACATCTTGAAAGCCAGGTGCTTTTGGTTTGCAAGAGCTTTTTGAGAGAAAAAAAGATTTTTTTTTTTTGAATTCCATAATCTTCACTTTAAGCATCAAGCATCAAAGGAAATCTTCGGTAAAGCTGATCCATTAATCACAAATGTGAGATAATATTACCACCCACCCCTACCTCCCCCAGGCAGAGATATAAAATCCCTTTCTGCATGGAAGATGAGGAAAAGAAACTTCCAGAATTCATTATGTACCAACTCTCCATGGTTCAAGACAGCAAGGGTGATCACAATCCTACATAAAGATCCTATAGAAGATCCCACAGAAAAAATTTGCATGTGACTCCTTTTCAAGTGCAGCCCAAGGAGACTGTCAGCTTCTCTGTGAATCCACTGGCTGGCTAAGGGCTGCTGTGGTGGCTCGGCAGTGAGTCCTTTGCAAGCAAATGGGCTTGCAGGCAGCTTCCTGCGTTTAGGCAGCAGAGAATTCCTGGTCTCTGAGATGGTGTTGGGAGTTGGGGCAGAGAGTGAGAAAATCCAAAAGGACAACACAACAGGGATGAGGAGGCTGCAAAGTGTACAGACTATTCAACTGGAAATCATAATGAGTGCACAGGTATTTCTTGTTATTTATTTCCTCTTGCCTTATGACTATCACGTCTGACAACTATGGACCAGGTACCCTTTCCCCTGTTGCCATGACTCTACATATGTCCAAGTAGAACAAAAATGCAGCCCCCAGGGAAGAGGGAGGAAGGCCCAGGACCTTGAAATGACTGAATTGAGATCCTGAAATGACCAAGAGGGAATAAACTTATTCAACGTGCATTTTTGAGTTTCTACAAAGGGCAGGCATTGTTCTAGGAACTGAGGATACAGAAATGAACACAAGAGGAAAAATTTTGCTTTTAGCAGCTTACATTTTCAAGGGGAATCCTAGACAATAAAAAGACAAATGAGCAAAATATACAGCATGTTTGATGGTTTGCTGTGCAAAAGATTAAATCAAGGAAATAAAATAAGTTGACTAGTAGAATGGGGTCACATCAAAGCAATACAGGTGCCAACCTGAAAGATCTGGAACAATTTGAGTAATAAAATAGATAACATAGTATTGGATTTTAACCCTGTATAGGATAAAACTCTCTCAAACCATGTTTTTCCTCTGCTGGCATAACACCACAGCAATCAACACAGAAGTCTTCTATGACCAAATTTGGGGGGGAATTTTCCCCACATGCCAAGCAGCAGATGCCAGCTGGGTGTCCTCCAATTCAGTTCTGACACTATCTCCATCTATCTGGAGACAGTATCCTATCTCACAGGTTGAAGGCTCAGTCCCTAAGACTGTTCCCCACCCCCTACTGCAAACACCAGTTACAAGTCCAGGCCTCTGGAACTTCTGACCAGCTGGTTTCAAGTTGGGGTTCCCATGACTCCTGTTTGGGTTTGATTAATTTGCTGGAGTGGCTCAGAGAACTCAGGGAAACACTTACTTATGTTTTCTGCTTTATTAAGAAGGATATTTTAAAGGATACGAATAAATAGTCAGATGAAGAGATACATAGGGTAAGGTCAAAGGGGTCCCAAGTGCAGGAGCTTCTGTCCCTGTGGAGTTGGGGTACACCACCCTCCCAGCTCATGGACGAGTTATTCTTCATCTTCCTGTGAGCCTTTATGTGTTCAGCTCTCTGGAGGCTCCCCGAAACCTGTCTTTTCATGGACAACCTTGTTGAAACATGGCTGGCCAAAAAGTGCATTTTCTAAACACAATGAGGCTTGTCTGTTCGGATTCCTTGTGGTCTGTCTGTGAGACTTTCCTTCCTTGAGAGTACAAAGCAGGGACCCTGTCTGGAATGAGGGTCTTATGACCCACAATCAGATTAGAGTTCTACCTTGGGCAGGTGAAAGTAGGGCAGAAGAAGGTCAGAGAGAAAGATTTTGTCTCCTGAGGCCTGCTTCTGAGGCCTAAAGTGCCCCAACATTATAACAAAGGACTGTAACAAAGGTTATGGGAGTTATGAACTAGGAACCGTGGAGGAAAATCTGGGTGTGTGTGTGTGTGTGTGTGTGTGTGTGTGTGTGTGTGTATGTGTGTGTATAATCATAATATCAAAAACCCAAAGTATAAAATAAACATATGTGGTATATACTGATAGAAATAAATAGTGATGAATAAATAAATAAATAGAGACAAATCTTACCTACAAAAGACTTCCATTTAGTATATGTTACATACTCTCCCCCTCCAGGAAGTAGAACTCCTTCTTCTTTGAATGTAGGCTAGACTTAGTGAGTAGTTCCAAATTAACAGACTATGGAAAGGGGGAAATGTAATTTTATAATGGAGAAACCTGGCAAACACTACCTTAGCCAAATGATGAAGGTTATGTGGTTAGAGGTCAGGTCGATATCACATATCCTCTGATAAGGTGAAATGAGAGGGCATTTCTCTCCACCTTTCTTTCCAAAAATGTATAATCCCAGTCTAGTTCTGAAAAATATCAGACAAACCAAGACTGGGGGACATTATACAGGATACCTGGCCAGTACTCCTCAAGACTATCAAGGTCATGAAAAAGAAATAGCAGGAAACTGTCATAGACCAGAGGAGACAAGGAAGACAAGCCATGACATGACCAGTAAATGAAATGTGATACCTTGGATTGAATCCTGACACAGAAAGAGAATATTAATGGAAAAACTGGTAAAATTCAAATAAATCTGGGGATTTGTTAATAATGTATCAATATTGGTGTTTTTTTGTTTTGTTTTGTTGTTTTTTTAGCTCTGACAAATGTACTGTGGTAATGTAAGATATTAATGATGAGTGAGGGGTATACTGAAACTCTCTGTATTATCTTTCCAACTTTACTGCAAGTCTAAAATTATTCTAAAATAAAAAAAACTTTATTTAATTAAAACAAGACACTAGGAGAAAGAATCCCTTCTCACTTAGAAAAGGCCTTCCCAAGATTCTCAATATTGGTTGGAGCTCTGAAGTCATCAAAGATGTACATTATGGCTGAAAATATAACCTTGGACAGCACACCAATGTGAAATAGGTAACCACTGCTAATATCAGTTGCCTTGGTTACAAGGGACTTGCCTCTTACAAGCAAAAAAGTCAAGTGGATTCAAGCTTGACTTTGCTACATGTGAACTACAAAAACGAGAACACCAGTCCTCCCCAGGGAATAATAGAATAATACAGCACAGACCTACAGGGCCTGGGAGGCTGGGGAGGAACAAGGGATATACATGGGGCTACATAAAACTACTTGCCACTTTCCACATCTTCCTGTATGATTATGTGTTTTCCTTGCTGTGGGCCTATTTTTTCAAAACTAGAATTTGAGTTTAAACATATTCGAAATGATTTATCTTCTATCTTGAACATGTGCTACCAATATTGTTATAATAGGTTATACTCATTAATTTATCATTTCTTTTATGTATAAAATGTTTCTATTCATTAAAATAACAATAAAAAACCATAATAAAAATACTAAACATAATATGGAAACCTGGGACTTCTGGAACTTATTACGAACAGGGCATAGAATATGTTCGTAAATTCAATTTCTAGCTTCACCATTGACTATCTACTTGATTCTGAATTTATTTGTCCTATTTCTCCAAAGTATTTGGTTTCAGATTATTTTTCTTTTCATTATAAGTGAACTTTAGGGCACGTCATGTTCCCAGTGTATTTGCTCAATTTTGTCATTAAGCTAACATTTTTTTTACCTTGCTTAGACATGTAAGGCACATATCATATTCTAATCTAAAATCCTTGGGGACTTATGTACCTTGGGAAATAGTATTAACTCTTGAAATAGTAATATTTTATTCTTTTAAAATCACATAAACATATTTTAATGTAATTCCACTTGAAAATATCCAGGGTCTGTTGATATAATAGTAAGGTGAAAGGTGATGATGTCACCCTTGGCTTTTGAATATCTCCTTGGCTTAGATTATATTTGACATTTCTAGTTTAGAGCTTTTTTCTTTATTTAACAAAAACCATTTTTCTTTGCCATTTCTGTTCCATCTTCTTTGTGAAGCTGGTGGACACAACAAAACCTTCAAATGTTCAAATGTAGCATTTAGCTAGCCTTTCATGCCCTTGGCAGAAAATCATAGCTAATTTCCACCAGCTTTCACATTTAAATCTGTGTAAGTAACCACTCGGTGTAGGATATTCAAGGAGTACCAGGGAAGAGCAGCATGGTACAGTCAGCCCAATCTATCAATTCACTAGAGTAGGTCAAAGCGCGACCTTAGCGACCTTAGCGACCTTGTATCTGAGTTCCGGTAAGGGATTTTATTTTAAAAATGATACGTATCTCTCAAGATATAAATTTCTAGTGGCTTTAAGAAGGTCTAAAGGGGAAAAAAAAAGGGTCAGCTGGAACACAGAGATGATTCAATGGCCAAAGGACATTTTTGAGACTGTGACTTTCACTTAAAAAAACAGATTTCTGGATTTTGGGATCATGGTGAATTTCAGCTCTCTTGTTTTTCAGAGGCATACCCTTACACACAGAGTTAATTCAGATGCTGAAAAAAACAGAACAGAACTATTGTTCATTTGTCATATTTTTAAGAACAATTGGAAACTCTTTTTAATTCTAGGGTAATGGAGATGCTGGAGTTTTCCCAACTTAGAGAAAAAATATAGTTAAAAGTTGATTTGTAACAGAAATTTTTCTAGAGACTAGGTATTTCTACTTTCTGGGATGGCAGACAGTAATTTAAACCTCCTTCTTTCATAACTACTCATAGAAGATTAAAGGTTTTAAGAATGGGTTGGGCTATTCCAGGGGTGGTTTCTCAATCATAAGGATCCCTGCCCTTTGAAGGCTTTGGTTTGTCATATGGTAACACAAGGTCAGTTCCAAGAAGACACCAACTCTGGTCACTCACTTGTGTCAAACCAGTCATACTTCTCTTTGTTTAGTTTACATTTAGCCAGAGTGAAGGAGAATATAAAATTATTTGAATGTGCCAAGAAAACTTTTGGGAAATACTGCTTTGGACAACTTAAGCTTTCCAAGTTTTATTGAAAAATCTGTTCAGTAGTTCGGTATTTGGATATATTCATTTATTTTAAAAGGTGAATGTTTGACCAGGGTCAGTGGCTCATGGCTGTAATCCCAGCACTTTGGGAGGCCAAGGTGGGTGGATTGCTTGAGGTCAGGAGTTCAAGACCATTCTGACCAACATGGCGAAACCCCATCTCTACTAAAAATCCAAATATTAGCCGGGTGTGGTGGCGCACGACTGTAATCACAGCTACTTGGGAAGCTGAGGCAGGAGAATCACTTGTACCCAGGAGGTGGAAATTGCAGTGAGCCGAGATTGCACCACTGCGCTCCAGCCTGGCTGACAGAGCAAGACTCTGTCTCAAAAGAAAAAAAAAATGGGTGAATGTTTATTAACAACCTTGAGAGAGCAGAACAGCAATGGCCAGCTGTCATTTAAAAAGCTTTTTATTCAGTACTTTGGATAGGATATTTAGGATATTTTAATAAATAGGTTTTGAATTATTTAGGTTGGATAGTAAGTATTATGCCTGCCCTTTGGATTTAAGTTAATTATAGGAAAATGTGGGGTTAAAACTTGAAATGTAACTGAAAGAGTGTACTCTTGATATTACAGCTATTGCTAAACTTTTCATAATTCAATATTCTAGTTTGGTTCATCCTATTTTTCTGACAGCTTTTCTCTGTCTCCATCAATAAAAACATGGATATATTTTTAAATTAATGTAGATTTGCATTAATTTAAAATTGTGTGAAGTCTGTTGTTCAGACATGCTTTAAGAATTGCAGAATCCAGATGGCAATTAGCAAACAATTTTAAACACTCATAGAGGCTTACCTTCCAACCCTAAATTCTAGGTTTTAACTGAATAATTTTAGGTACGTTGATAGGGGAAGAATCAGAATTCCACAAGTTAATAATAGAAGAATATTATTGCCCAAACATAATTACTGTGGCTGACATAAAGACTTTAAAATAAGTAACAAAACTGCCTCTCTCAACACTATCAGGCCATCCTGTATTTAAAATTCAATTGTAAATAGGAATTAAAAAGAAGCTGAGGAATGGCATGCATTCTAATCTGCTGTAAAAAGTTATTCAGTCATCAAATTCTCTTGTTTTTTTTTTGTTTCATAGTACATACTGTATACTCTATCTTTTCTAAAACTGGAGCCTTATTTTCTAAAACGAAAGTGTCTCTCTTTCTCAAGGAGGCAGATTTGTCTTTGAAAAAAATAAACTTGTGAGAAAAAAATTAGAAAAGAAGAAAATTAAGTTATAAAAGATAAAACAATTTCAGACTTGCCAATTTAAATAGCGTGTGTCTAAGCTTCAGTCTTCTTTCTCTCTCTCTTTACTGCAGTTGAGTTAGCCTATTTTTTTCACGGTACATCTTCTTGGAAAAAATTACTATAGGGACTCAGAACACGATACCTCAAATTGTGGGCCCTTCACATATGGAGTATTTTAAGCTGATGGAAATTGAGAAAAACCACAGAGGCAGGAAGGTGACTCTCTGACCTTCTCCCTCCCTTCTCCACGAGAGGCCCCCATGTGACAGGTGTCCTTCTGTATACGTGGAGGAACGGAACAAAGACACAGAGAATCCAAGAAGAATCTGAACTGAAACAGGCCTTGCTAAATTTCTCTGAGTTTATTACTATTAGATCATACCCTCTTTTGTCCAGTTGTACTTCTACATAACTGTCCTTTCCTCATCAAACCTAAGCACAAAATTACAGTTTTCCCTGGGTCT
This sequence comes from Homo sapiens, assembly GCF_000001405.40. Lineage (NCBI taxonomy): Eukaryota > Metazoa > Chordata > Mammalia > Primates > Hominidae > Homo > Homo sapiens. The sequence goes on from NC_000002.12 coordinate 191,727,921, forward strand.
TTGGGTCTCCGTTTCTCATAAAACTTATATTAAATAAATTTGTTATGCTTTTCCCTGCTTAATCTGTGTTTTGTTACAGGAGTGTCAGCCATAAACCTTGTGATGGGAGAGGAAAGGTTTTTACTTTTTCTCTCAATTACTAGTAGTCAAAAATGTCCCTCACAATCCTTAAACCTGAGGTCTTGCTGCAAAGCCTGTATTCTGGCCCAACAGTATTACTTGAGGGTTATGAGATCAAGGGTATCCATAGACCAACCGCAGGAAGCTGGAGTTTCTCCAGCTGTTGTAGCCCCCTATGCTTTTCTGCTTTAACTTCAAATTTCTCTATCAGCTTAGCCTCAGACTCACAACGTGACCTTGGGCAAATTGCTTAACCTTTGGACATTGTTTTATTTCAAGATCCCTTGTTAAGGTGCTTTCCATTTCTAAAATACAGTTGAGGAATTCTTTGAATGCAGAGAATTTACAAATCAGACTGAAATAGGGAATTCATTCAATTATTAATTGTGTTCTTATTTTACAGGAGAAATACGCTATTCAAACAAAATACTCTATTACTAAAATAGGCTGTGATATGAAGGGATCTTATTAGAGCTCGGAACCAGGAGGAATTTTTCTTTCAAAACAGACCAGACACATTTCTAATGTAATAGAATAGTGTGTTTCTCCAAAGGCAACTCAAAGAGAGGGCTCCTATACTTTAATTCTTTAAAAAAAGTATCAACAAATTAGAAATAAGGCAAAGGGATGGCTGAGTGTCCTTTCTGTGTCAGACTACAACACTGTCTAACAGGATTACTTAATTCTTTGGGAGATTACCCTTTGTTTAACAGATGATTTATTATTGATTAGGGCCCAGGTTCTGTGAAATTACATGTTAATGCATAGAGTTTTGTCTGGTAGAGAAGCAAATGATTTCTGTTTAGTAGAATAATATAACCCGAAAGGTTATGGTTTTATTGCTCTGTAAAATATCAACCAATTATAGATCTACCCTAGCAATCTTGTTGCAACATTGTTCCTTCAATTTCTGTAACTGCTTAGTTCTCCAAATACTCTTTGGAGCTTTGTCATCCTACTGGTTCCCTTATTGGTAAGTTATGTAAATTTTGATACACTTTATATTTATGAGTCATAGTCATAATATTTAATTTAATTTAATTTTTTTTTTTTTTTTTGCTGTCACAGTTTTCATTGTTTTTACTACCTTCCTACTGCCACCACCTGGAAGAGTAGAGGGTTGCCCAAAGCAGAAAACGTTCTAACTCTAAGCGCTAAGCTCCTAGTTATTTGGATTTCCATATATTTTTCTTCTTCATCTGTGTCCTACCCCCTACTTCATGGATGTCTGTTGTAATGATTGAGTCCAATTACAGTAGATTATTGGGATTTGAGGCTTAAACATTTGCAGTTTTGACTATTTTCAAGCAACTTAACATGTAATGATTTGCAATTTTGCTGAGGAATGAATTTCGGTTGCAGGCTTTGCAATATTGATGTGTCTGGAATGACTCACAGAAGTAAGGGGGAGGGGTTCAGCAACAGTCTCTGAATTTTAACTTGGCTATGTTGTTCTACACTCATTATCATGCACACTAGCGCTCCTGAAGTGATAAAAACTTTGTTTCTTTGTGTAAAATGGGCTATAAAAGAAAATCATCTGCTAGTGTTGCTAATTGTAGTAAAGAGAAAGTAAAGAGGTCTACGAAAGCAATGATTCTAAGCCACAGAACAGAAGTGTTGGAGGTGCAAAGTACACCATCAATTCACAGTTAACTCAGCAAAGAATCATGAAAAAGTGTTTATCTGTGCTAATAATCAATGACCAAATTAAAATAACATATTTTATTTTATTAACTTGAAAAAAATCGATAAGTATTGGTGTTTCAAGGGTTTGAGAAAGGTTCTTGTCGAAGTTAGAGCAATATAGTGGAAAGATTAATGAATTTATATTCAGAATGTCTGAGTTCAAGCTCTTCTAATTAGCTATACAGCCTGAAATTGTACCTGAAATCTGTGGGTTGTAAATTCCAAGGGGACATTGTTTATTGATTTGTTGCACATGTTACATGAATTTGTAGGTTTGAAGTTGGCCAATGAATATTACAAAGATCCCTGCCCTTAAAGAGCTTTTCTATTGCATTATAGGATAGGGAGGTAGGGAAAAGAAAGATGGTGAGTAGACAGCAAAGGAATAAATAAATAAACAATTATCTTAGAAGAAGATAAATGACATAGAAAATAGAAATGAAATACGGTAAGTAAAGATTGACATTACGTGTGTGTGTGTTGTGTGTGTTGTGTGTGTGTGTATTTGTACAGGTGTGTTGTTGCAGTGTGTCACTGCAGTAATAAAAAAGGTGGTGAAGGAAAAACTTCATGCTATGGTGACATTTGAGCAAAGTCATGAAAAGAAGGTGAGGGAGTTAACCAAGCTGGAAATCACATCCAGGAGTGGAGAACAGATAAATCATAGTGGCTAAACTGGAGCCTGCTTGGTCCATGTTCCAGGAGTAGGAGGGGACCAGTGTGGCTGGAGTTGAGTGATTAAGGGAAAGAATAGTTGGAGATGAGGTCAGAGAGATGAGTGAGATGGTATTGTCAGCCTGTAAGGTCTTGTAAGCCATTGTCTTTTATTCTGTGTGAATGGGGGGAGAAAGCAGGGGATTTTGAGCAGAAGAGTGATATACATGTTTTAAAAAGATCATTCTGGATGCTTTGTTCAGATTAATTTGTAAAGGGGCAAGGGTGGAAATGGGAGAACTGTTCAGAGACTATTCCAGTAGCCAGGTGAGAGATGCTGGCTTAGACCACATGGCAGCAGAGAGGTGGTGAAAAGCATTCAGATTCTGCATAGATTTGAAAGAACAGCCAGCAAGGTTTGTGGTTGAATTACATGTGGCTGTGAAAGAAAGAGCAAAGTCAAAGAGGACTCTAGGGTTTTTCATCTGATAAATGTGGAGTTGCCATCCACTGAAATAGAGAAGGCTGAGGGTAGAGCAGGTTTTGGCAGTAAGACTAAGTATTCAGATTTTAGCATGCTGTGTTTGAGATGCTTATTTTACATCCAAGGACATACAAATCAGCAACTTCTAGTTGGATTTGTAAATTTAGAGGTCAGTAGCATATCACTGGTTCTGAAAGCCCCAATACTGCTATGATACCAAAGAGTAATTGTAGTTATAGAAAAGAACAGGATCAAAGACTGAGCCCTGGGACACTGCAACATAAAAGAGTTAAAGGAAGAACCAGCAACGAAAATTAAAAAGGAGCAGCTGGTGATATAGGAGAGAAACAGGATAATGTGGAAGCCAAGGGAAGAAAGTGTATCAAGGAGGAGAAAGTGATCAACTGTGCCAAATGCTGCTGATAGGACAAGCAAGGGAAGGACTGGGCTATTGGATTTGGCAGCATGGTGGATACTATTCATATTGTTCACAGTGGTTTCAATGGAATAGTGAATCAAAAATCTGATTGAACTGGTTTTAGTGGGGAATGGCAGAAAAGAAAATACAAAAAGCAGCTGTAGATAGCTTTCTGGAGAAGTTTTTGTGCAAAAGGGAGGAGAGAAATGAAACAGTAGCTAGTGGGGCAAGTGGAATATGTAGAAATTATTCTTTATCTTTTTTTTTTAAAGATGGGAGTAATATCAACATGTTGTTTGTATTTGAATGAAAATGATCCAATAGCGAAAAATTGGTATGAGAGAAAGAGGTGAGAAATGTTGGAATAGGTGATGTCCTTGAGTAGACTATAGGGGAAGGGATTTAGTATGATTTAGTGTACAAGAAGAGGAGTTGGCTTTGGGTAGCATCATGAATAGTAACAAATATGGAGACAGAGTATGTGGATGAAGATGCTGGTAGGTGAATAAATATGGTGGTGGAAGTCTATGGAGTTCTCTTCTGATTGCTTTAATTTTTTCAGTAAAGTAGGAATATGAAGACAAGAAAAAAGTTTAGGGTATTTTAGAAGATTGAAAGTGTAAAAAAGTTGTCCAGGAGAGTGGGAAAGTGAATGGTCTTGGGAAATTAAGTATGATATCCTGGTAGCATTAAGAGCACATTTTAAGATCTGTTCATAAATTGGAAGTGAGCTCATTAAGCATAATTGCCTGTTTTT